>NC_000012.12:102914673-103217703 GCF_000001405.40 Homo sapiens | reverse complement strand
GACTGAGTTCTGTAAGTAGTGGCAAGCCTCTCATGAAGGTTTTGAGTAGGAAAGTAGCCGGCACAGCATGGGGAGATGTGTCTGTGATCTGTACGGTGTTCTGGAGTGAGCAGTAACAGCAGAAAAAGGAGTTATATCTAATTTTTTGGAAGTAGCTTTTTTTTTTTTTTTTTGAGACAGGGTCTCACTCTGTCACCCCTAAGCTGAAGGGCAGTGGTATGATCATGGCCCACTGCAGCCTCGACCTCTGAGGCTCAAGGGATCCTCCTGCCTCAGCCTCCCAAGTAGCTAGGACTACATGCATGCACCATGACACTCAGCTAATTTTTTGTTTGTTTGTGTGTTTTTTTGTAAAGACAGGGTCTTGCTATGCTGACCAGGCTGGTCTTGAACTAGCTTCAAGTGATTCTCTCGCCTCGGCCTCCCAAAATGCTGAGATTACAGGTGTGAGCCGCTGCACTCATCTAAGAAGCAGCTTCTTTTAACAAGCATGTTTCAGCACTTCAATGTGTTCTGGACCAGAATTTTATAACCATGTTAACCAGAGAAATAGGTCTTGTCAGCCAGGAGTGGTAGCTCACGCTTGTAATCCCAGCACTTTGGGAGGTCGAGGCGGGGAGATCACTTGAGGTCAGCAATTTGAGACAACCCTCGCCAACACGGTGAAACCCTGTCTCTACTAAAAATACAAAAATGAGCCAGGGGTGGTGGTGCGTGCCTGTATTCCCAGCTACTTGGGAAGCTGAGGCAGGGGAATCCCTTGAACCTGGGAGGCAGAGGTTACAGTGAGCCAAGATCTCACAACTGCACTCCAGCCTGGGCCACAGAGCGGGACTCCATCTCAAAAAAAGAAAGAGAGAAAAAGAAATTAGGTCTTGGCTTACAATGGAGGACTTGGTGTTTGTCCTCAGTGTGACCTTGGGGAATGGACATGATCTCTGGGTTTGGTTCTGCATCTGAAAAATGGGACCAAAATGACACACCCTGCCTTCCTTATTGGATTCTATATTGTGAAGATAAACTTCAATGATCTTAAAAAAGTATTGTTTTCCATTCCCAGCACTTTAGGAGGCCGAGGCGGGTGGATCACGAGGTCAGGAGATCGAGACTATCCTGGCTAACACGGTGAAACCCCATCTCTACTAAAAAAATACAAAAAAAAATTAGCCAGGCGTGGTGGCAGGAGCCTACTGTAGTCCCAGCTACTCGGGAGGCTGAGGCAGGAGAATGGCGTGAACCCGGGAGGTGGAGCCTGCAGCGAGCAGAGATTGTGCCACTGCACTCCAGCCTGGGTGACAGAGCGAGACTCTGTCTCAAAAAAAAAAAAAGAAAAAAAAGTATTGTTCTCCACCAGAGAGAATTCTGGGTCTGAAATTTCACATTTTAAAGTGTAAAAAGAAATAACAGAACACAAATAATTATACATCTGACCCCAAACCTGCAAAGAAGCGAATCCATACTCCCTAGAGCTGTCACCTCAGAAAGAATCCTATTCCTAGAATCCAATAATTGTGTTGCCAAAGACCATAGGCTCATATTAGAGAGAAGAAGGAAAGACAGAGAGAAAATTTATCTTAGTTTCTTGGTCAGTATGTATGCCAGAGAGTCCAAACTTCTCTCTGAATCTGTGATCGGTGACTTTGACCACAACTGGGAGAACTCTCCCTTCGAGAAATTAGGTCAACATCATTTTTGCCTTTTGATATGGTAGGCTGGCATGACATGAGAGAATGCACTCTGTGAGAATGAACTCTATTTTCTCCTCTCCGAGAGGGAGACACTTGAGATATTTATGTCTTCTTAGAAGATTTAGAAATTTGCAGCAGAGGAAACCTTATTCCCAGGTTTTTCTTTCTCATCCAGCATGTTTAGAAAGTCTCATTTCTATTTCTCTTTTGAGTACTGTGTTCCAAGGCTCAGGCATTTTCATTCTGTCTAAGGGTGGACATCACAGCATCAGCTTTGCTATGGATAGAGCTAGGTTGGAGGGTGCACTTTCTTGATCATTCAGATGGGCTGGCTTGCTTTCCTCTTTGAAGGCACCAGCCCTGAAATCCCAGCCTTTATACAAAGTGTGAAGGACAGAGCAGAATCTCTTATCCAGGATTACTGCCTTTTGTAGATGCTGTCTGGGCAAAGAGAGATGAAAAGAGAATAAATCTTTGGGGGTTATAGCCTTTTAATTGATCAGAGGCTGTTACTCATCCATTAGGTTACTCATTCCTTCTCTGTGGAGAGGGATACAGAAGTGATGGGGTAAGAGGCCAGGAGGGATACTCAAGTGGAGGTCCTTCCATGCAGAAAAATCCCTGAGAAATATTTTATTAGCACCAGTGTCATTATCAGATTTTTATTAATACTTGTATTAGTATATATATATGAGTTTTGGTATTAATATTAATATATGTATTTATATTTGCATTAGTATTGGTATAATCATTATTATTAGTATCAGTGTCAGAGTTAGTGTTAGTATTAATATAATAAAGTGTTAGTATTAATATAATAAAACATCCAGAACAATATTGTGGCACAAATGGGGGTTCAAGACATGTTTATTTCTTCCCCTGCACTGAGATTTCCCCCTTTGTCTTTTGGGAAAGATTAGTACTTTCTCTTCCATGCAATAAATATGTATTAAGAATCATTTTGCTAAATCAAATGAACTGCCACTGCAGAGTATTGTCTTTGGTATATAGAGAATATTCTTGCTCGAGAGGAATGTTGCATAGTAGATTTATTCCTGGGAACATGGTGCAGCCTTCTGCAGAGAAGGAAAACTATTTGGACAATTTTGGTGAGGTTTGGTCTAGGAAAGGTAAGTAAAGAGGTCAGGATGTCAGGGGATGGTGATGGTGGCACGGCATCAACAAAAACTCCCTCCCTCCATGGGCCAAGCTTGGAAAGATGCAACAGAAATAGTGATAAGCAATTCAATAGACTCATCCCGCTAAGTTGGAGAAAATCTCTTGGGATTTTCAGTGGACTCCCTTAACTATGACCGTTATTTCCACACAACCAATAAGGGCAATGGAGATGTTTCCCCCTAAAATATCTTCCCTGGGGAGAACTTGATTTTCTTGGGGTGATCTCGATTTGCTCTTACATCAGCAATCTTATTACTCAGGATAAATTTTTAAAATCACAGCTTGTTGGCCCGTCTTTTGAATTAGGATGCCACTTGCTGGATAAACCAGATCTCCGTGCGGGGATAACTGAGCTGGTCCCACTAAAGTGAGGTGGGACCCAGTCAGTAGAAACTGCATTTGTCAGTAATTTGGAAAGGAGGATGTTCAGACCATTGTTCTGTGCCTCTGTTTCTTCCTCACAAAGATAGACATCATTCAACAAGCCTTCGTGAAGCATCTGAATAGCCCCCAAATCATCCCTACAGGACAAAAAGAAAAGGAGAAACTACAGACTTGTACTAATGGACTGTACAATGAAATTTTTCTTTTTATCTTCTGTGATATCTGACAAAGCTAATATTCTAAGGCACAAGCATCCAGTCATGGAAGCTATAGTGTAATTATTCAGAGAACAGGCTCCTTGTTCAAACTTGATGGGAACAAGTTCAGTATTCAAGTTAAGCCACCTGAATATTAAATGGGGTATTACATACAAAGTGCTTAGAAAAGTGCCAAACTCTGTTAAGGAAGTACTTAAAGAGCATTAGTGATCATTGTCATTGTTAATCATGATCATTGTCCTTTCATCTGATCATTGTTGAACAAACAGGACTTAAAAATAAGCTGGTCCACTTTTTCTCAGCTCATGTGCTGGGTATCAATCCATGGAAAATGAGATTCATGAAATTCTGTCCTATTGAAAACCCCAGACTCAGTCCAAAGGCAGAGAACTCAGATTTTAAATACAAATTATGGGGAAAAGACAGCTGGGGGACTCATAGTCCATGGTCAAAAATGAAACAGTAGAACTGCAGCAATCGGAAACTTTCTGGTGAGTTTTTCTCAGATCCCTAGATTCCTCTGGACAGATTTTCCTATTTGATCCTTGACTTTCATTTTTTGCACCCGTGTGTTGAATCTCCTCGAGAAAACTAAAGATGGTACAACTGCACGAAGATCCAGGGGAGAGGAAGGAGTGCTGGCCAGTGTTCCTGGGATGGCTTCTGTTTTGCTGGCACTGAGGACATATGCTTTGCTATGCTAGTGAAGCATAAACACTTATGCTTTAGATATGCATGCTTCCCTTTGAACACAAGAACACATATCCCCAAATTAATTCAAGCCCTTCTAGAGTCTAGCTAGCTGATTTGGGGAGAGATGCCTAATCTCTGTTCAATAAAGAGATTTACAAAATTTTTGTGTGGTTGAAAGCAATGATAATCTTGAGTAGGATCTGGAGTTAGACACCATAAGTTCCAATCCTGATCCTATCACTTACTTGAGCTTGGGCAAGTCATTCTCCTGGCATCAGTTTCCTCCTCTGTGAAATGGGAATGACAGTAGCACTGTACTATTGTTAAGAGGATGAGATCTCTTATGGAAAGTACTTAGTACCTGGCACATCATAAGCCTAAGGATTCTTCAGCTTTGAGCAATACTGCCTTTGATTGTGACCTAAAATATTTTTTTTAATTCCAGCATTTTAAATTGTGACCTTATTCTGAGATTTGGTAAAAACATCCAAAGTTTGCATAGTATTTTCATTATTGTAGAACTTTAATAATATAATCACTTAAAGTAGTATAATGTCTTAATTATATATATATATGCATACATACACCATATATATATATATGTAGTGCGTGTGTGTATCTAACTGCAGAATAGTAGGTTATCAATGAGTTTCAAACATATCTGGAGCCAAATGTTTATTGTTAAAGTCAGGAGGATGCCTACAATAATCATAGATACTATGTTTCAGGATAGCCAAATTGGATAAGTAGTAAGGACAAGTGTTTTTTTAGGGAAGTATGATGATAATGATAAATAATGATAAAATAATAGAATTAACTATGCTAATAACGATAAAATAATAGAATTAACATTCTACTATGTCTCAACTCCCAGTGATTTAATGAACATAGACAATGACTTTTGGTAGCTACTAACATCACAAAAAGAGAGACAAACAGATGTCATGTGCCTGCTGATGGATATACCCAACACTATCCATGAAATAGTTTTGCCCTCCCCCCAAAATCTGAACCTGAGTCTGGTCAACAAATTCACTAAACATATAGGGAACTGAGGAACACATTCAACACCACCAGAGAGATGTAGTTAGCAAAACTCAAACTATTTGAGACACTAAAGAACAAATAACCTGTTTCTTCAACAACGTTAAACAAAAAACATAAAAGGAAAACATCTAAATGAAAAGAGGAAACAAATACATTAGTTAACTGCATTTTATGGACCTCCTTTTGATCCCAATTTGAATAAACAAACTGTGAAAAGGAGAAACACATGTATAAGACAATCAAATATCAACATTGACCAGGTATTTGATGATATTAAAGAATAATTATATTAAGGAATAATTATTAATTTTGGTGGGTAATAAGAATATTGAAGTTATGTTTTAAAAAGGTAACACATGGTTATCTTTGTGGAAAGAAAAAATATAGGTAATAAATATTAAACCTTATCTCACACTATGTACAATATTTAGTTCAAAATGAATCAAATATTATAAGAGCTACAACTGTTAAAGTTCTAGAAGAAAACTTAAGATAAAATTTTGTTTAGGCAAAGTTTCTTATATAGGACACTAAATGTACTCTTTATGAAAGAAAAAATTATAAAATGTACCTTAAAATTTAAAAAAATGCTTTCAAACAATAATGTTGAGGGAGCAAAAGGGACTGAGAAAAATATTTGCAACATATATATCTGACAAGTGCCACTGTGTATTAGTTATCTATTACTGTGTACCATTATTCCAGAACATAGTAGCTTAAAATAAGCATTTACTGTTTCCCACTGTTTCTGAGAGCCGGGAATCTAGGAATGATTTAGCTGGTTGTTCTGAATGATTTAGCTGGGTCTTTCACTAGATTGCAATCAGGTTGACTTCCCCAGCCTTAGCCTTGTGATTCTCAAGGCTGGAGAACTGACCTTCCTGCTCACTCTCATGGTTGGTGTCAGGACTCAGTTTCTCTCTGGATGTTGGCTGGATGCCTTCATTCCTTAGCACCTGGCCAGCTTCGTAAGTTGCCTGGCAGCTGGCTTCTCTCACAGCAAGTGATTTGAGAGACAAAACCTAAGATGGAAGCCACAGTTTTCATAACTTAATCTTAGTAGTAACAGGCTCAGGCTGCTGAATGGGATTCCTCTAAAGTTTATATGTTGAAGCCTTAACTCCCAACATGACTGTTTTTGGATAGGGCTTTTAGGAAGTAATAAAGGTTAAATGAGGTCCTAATGATGAGGTCCTAATTAGATAGGATTGGTGGCCTTATAAGAAGAGGAAGTGCCACCAGAGGTTGCATTAGTTTTTAAAGATGTTTAGATAAACAAAATCTCCACATGCACAAAAAAGCTTTCTGTATACCTTCTGTTAGAAATAGAGGGTGTTGTAGGATATGCTCCAAAAAAGCAAGAGAGAAAACCCAGAAAGAGAACTCAGGAAACAATAATCCAGCCAACAAAGAGCTGTAGGGAATCTACAGAATGATCACTGCTTGCTGAGACTAAAGAACAATCAATCCAGATGGAAAAAGGGTGGAGAGCTCCAGCAGGAGATTTTACAAGATGGAGTCTCGCTTTGTCATCCGGGCTGGATGTGGTGCGATCATAGCTCTGCCTACTCGAACTCCTGGGCTCAAGCGATCCTCCTGCTTCATCCTCGCAAGTACCTGGGACTACAGGCACATGCCACCACACCCAGCTGAGAGCTTATTTTGTTGGATACTAGGTATATTTGCTTATATTGAGATTGTGTTTTCTTCTTCACTACTAATACCCTGACTGAATTAGTGATAGTCATGGAAAAAGGTCTTGTAACTTCCTGTATGTTTTATTGATCATGAGCAGTCTAAGTTACATAAACAATTAATAAAAGAAAACTAAAAGCAAAAAAAAAAAAAAAAAAAAGAAATAGAGGGTGTTACACCAAGATGAGGATATTACCAATGGTAGCAGAAGAACAGTGTTCATGAAATGCAATATAGCCCATAAAAGAGGCAAAGGGGCAACAGGCTTTCTCAGGCAATAGCAATGAGAAGTCCCCTGATGATGGCCCCACAGAGTGAAAAAGGAAGCAGCCTCCAGGTGAGGAGAGAGGCAAGTGGTAGAAAATGTACGTATCTAACTGTGTGGGAAAGAATATTAGGAAGCGATTTATAGTTCAGTGGTGAGTTTGGGAAGAATTATAATTATAGAAATATAAAAAAATTTGGAAATGGAAAAATGAAATGATTGCTTCAAGATAAAGTTTAGGCAAACAGAAAAATAGAATTGTTTCACAACTTGACTCAGGAAAGAACATTTACCTAGACACAACAATGTAAATATCTCATATCTATTTAACCAAAAATTGTGATAGAATTATAATTTGGAATAATGTGAGAGGAAAATAGGCAGGAGGAACATAAAAGTGGAAAATTACCATCTTTCACTTTAGAAACACAATAGAAAATGTCTAAAATTCACATAGTAGAAGACACTTAAAAAAAAAAAAGTATGGAAGAAACAGCTAAGATGCCAGGAAAGGGCTGTCTTTAAAGAGTGGACTGAGAACAATAAGGCAGGAGATTTCCAGGTTTTGTTTAAACACATTTATTCCATTTATCTTATTAAACTATGTGTGTGTGGTTCTTTGATCAAAGCAAAATTTAATTGCATTAAGAAAGAATTTGGAGGATACAAACTGAAAATCAACATGGAGAAAACACTCCTTTCCACCGTATACATAGACGTGTGGGTACTGAATAGAAAGTTCAAGCCAGACTGGAAGGCTTGACTGGCCATGCACAATGAGGAAGAGCAAGGCGGAGGGATCATCAAGGGAAAAGCTGAAAGATTGAGACTCTCGAATCTGCTGGGAGATAATTTTAGGAGTGAGTTTCCCCAAGGATTGCCTTTGAGACCTCTCCTTTGAAAACGGTCCTAATTCTGTGTCTCAGCGCTGGCCGTTGTGTGAGTATGAGTCAGACCAAGGGCATTTTAGAATAGATGACACTGGTAGAATTTTCTTGGTTTGCAAATCACCTTTTATTAATATTATACTTCAAGGAATGTGTAACACACATTAACAAAGAGCAATCAGAGAAGGAAACTTTGCTGAAAAGGTGCTGACTTACACAGCTTTCTAATTAATTGTGTATATTTTAAACACCAAAGCAGGAGTCTATTTTGTTCTCTGTTGTGTCTCCTCAACCATGTTACAATTAAGACGTATGTATTTCTCACCTAATATAATCAATGAACTGGAAACTATTGACATTTGAGGGAATCTTTGTGAGTGAGGTAAACAACTTTCTATTCAAATATGCCTCATTACACATTATTTAAGTTACATCATTATATAAATACAGATGTTAAGAGTACATTCTGAAGAAAAATTTTCTTTTTTTTTCTGAAATTGATATTCGTGTTCTGCTGGTAACACCTCACTCCCAAACCACATTGGAGTTGCATTAATGATGCTCAAATTTGATTGTTTATTCATTCTACTGTGCTTTTACCAAACTTGAGGAGAAGCACTGTGAAGGGAAGTTTTTTGATGAAATTGGTTTAAGACATTAAGAGTTAATCAGGACACTGATAAAAAAGAATTCGACTTTGTTTCTGTGAAAATGAGGAGATTAGAAAAAGGAAGAAACTGTTCATGAGGATAAGTCTTTCTCACTTTAAGAGCTGAGGGCTTTTATAATGAGGAACACTAAGCTCATTTTACATCACACAGAATTTAGCATTGCACCTGCTTAGAGTGAGAGCAAACTGAGCAAAAATAACAAAAATGAATGCAAGAAGTTACCCTAAAACACAAGCCTACTCAAAGATTAAAGTGGGGGAAATAATAACACATTTTCTTTTACAAAAATATGGGTGAAGAATGGAATTGCTATTGTTCTGCATGTTTTTCTAAATCAAGTCTGACCAGAGTCCAAGAAAAATTTTTCTAAGATAATGCCAAAAAATTGCTCTTTCTGGGCAAAAATCAGTCTTAATTCCCTTTGTCATAATGTAACGCTTCCTCTGTTACATTTTTCTTTAGTCAACAGTGTAAAAACAATTTATTGTCGATCTGAAAATTGTTTTTGTGGGGCTCAAAACTTTGTGGTTTATATAAATGTAGTAATTCTCTAGATTACCATTTCACGGTACACTGCACACCAAAGAAAGCAACCTGTGTCTTTTACGCAAGAGTGTGGGTGGGTGGGGAGATCTAAAGGGGGGCCGTGTGGGGAGCCATCAGCCCCAGAAGTAATCAGATAAAGCTAGTGGCTTGGTATTAGTGTGTTAGCTTTGTCTAAGTCCCAGCATCTTCAATGGGCCAGCCCCTCTTCATTTGTCACCCCAGCGCACCTTTTGTGCAAATAATTTCCCATTGGTATTACCCAGAGCTTGGAGTCGATAGCCGACTAGCCTCTTTGCTTGTACCATTATTTCCAGCAAGCTTGCTACATCTGCAATAAATCCTGGAGGATTTGTGGGTGGACTGAGGAAGTGTGAGTGGCAGAATGAGGTGATAAGGCCTGGATTCGGCTGAAACAAAAGCTTTTCCATTCTGGCCTGACGTGGTAGAGTCACAGCATCTGAAGATTTGATTTGATCAAGTTTTTGCCAGCTGTCACAGGGAGTTCAAGCAAGTTAAAAATGAAGCCCATGAGCCTTTCTCTTGTACTCCATTAAGCTTGCCTGTAAGCACTGGTGATGAAAATCTTTCTCTTTTCTTAGCCTTTTTATGTTGTGGTGGTGGTAGAGAACAACGGATCTTCAAGAAGATGGATCAGATATGCCAAGGAACTGTTTTAAGTGATAGGCCCAGATGAAAATCTCTGGATTTAGATAGCAGTCACTGGCAATTTTCAGGTGTCGGGGCAAGAAATGTGGTTTAATCAAAATTTCTCAGCTTGGTTGCAGAGGGGCTACAATGAGTTTTTCAAAGCAGAGTCGTTTTCCAGCAAGATCAAATCCATGGCTGTCATATTATATACATTTTTCTCCTTCTGGGTTTTATTTTCTCTTTTATCCAGAAAAGCTTAACTTGGAAGTGATGTCTGTTTATCAGCAGTGGCTCATTATGTCCATGAATGTGAGCACATCTGTGCGCGCGCACGTGTGTGCGCACGCATTTTAAACTACAAAGGAAAGAAGGCAACGTGGCTTCTGAAAAGCATATTGCATGAGAATCTGGGCAGTTACTCAAATATTTCTGTGTGGTGCTTGGGTATCAGGATCCCCTGTTAGGGCTCTGTATCAGTCAGCATAGTCTGAGTTACGTCTTGGTAACAAAGAACCCTAAATTTTCAGTGGTTCATAACACAAAATTTTGGTTAATCATGCTATATTTCTATCTGGGTCAGCTGTGCTCTCTGCCATTTGCCTGCACTCAGGTGGAGGGAGCAACCTCTGTCTGGGATATTACTTCTCTAATGGCAGAGGGACATGACAAATCATGCACTGACTCTTAAACCTCTGCTTACAGGAGGCACATGTCGCATTTCCTTAATGAAAGCATGCCACAGAGCTACCTTTTCATCCTTGGGGTGGGGAGAGATAAGAATTCCACAAGAGGGAAACAGAACTGGTTGGAGGCACAGTGACATAATCTCTAGCAGCACTCAGTTTCCCTATCTGTAATGTGAGAGAGCTCTGATTCCATTCAGTGGCACTGTAAGGCAGCAGTTCTAGCCGGGAAGATCGGCTGGAGGTGCTCCAGTGCAGAGAACGTTCCAAGACCATCATATTATGGATGGTGAATATGAAATTCTCACTTGGCTGGATGAAACGTATGTATCACAGCAGAGTAGTAGTTGTGGAAAAAGAAGGAAAAAATCAGTGAACCTAGGAGAAACTGTTTTCAAATATGACTTACACTTTATTTAAATTAAAAATAGTAAGCTCTGATTCTGCCACTGTACTCTAGCTTGGGCGAGACAGTGAGACCCCATCTCTTAAGTTAATTAATTAATTAAGTTTGTTAGTTTCTCTGTGAGGAATGAAAGTCACTTTTTAATCATGTGTGTGTGTGTGTGTGTGTGTGTAATATAGAAAAGGTCCAAAAAAGATTAATGTATTATAGAGATAACACTTATGCAACTACCACTCAAAATATAGAACATTGCCAATATTCCAGGAGCCCCAAAGTGTCCCTTCCCAGTAATAGCTCCCTCATTTTTCTGCAAAGATAACCAGTAAAGGCTGGCTTAGAGCTTCCTGCAAACAGACTCTAAGTTGGAAATTGCAGGCAGAGGATTTACTGGGGATATTCTTGAGAGAAATACCTGTAAGAACATTAGGAAGGCAAGAGGAGTAGAGGAAGAAGCCAGTTCACAGTGGTTCCATCAGTGGCTGTGTCAGTACCACATAGGTTCTTTGATTTGGGCTAGCCCTTTGGCGTTGAGTGCTGGATCTTTATATTCCCACATCAGCCAATCACTAGGCACTAAACCCTAGTCACTAGGCAAACCCTGATAGAGGGTGTGGCCTTGAGTGAAGAAGTTCCCCGTGGCCAAGAGTAATTCCCAGTTTGTCACTCAGGTGTGAACCATCAGCAGAGAATATTCTCAGCGGCTGAGAAGGGAACATGGGATGTCAAGAGGGAATCCTGGAACCACAGTATTCACAGAACTATTATAGCTCCTTCTTTTATATACTTTTTAATTTGAACGCTTACATATGCCTCTTATGTATGTTTTAAACATCTGGTTTGTTTTACTCAACATTGTATTTTTAAGATTCAACACTGTTGCCTGTGGTTGTAATACACATTCATTTTCATGTCAGCATTGTATTCTATTTTATGATTATACCCCAATTCACCCATTGTACTATAGAGACATTGGACTGCTTCCTGCCTTTGGCTGTATACATAATTCTGCTATGAATACTGCTATAAATGTCTCTTGGTGCATATGTACATGTGTGTGTCTCAGGTAGATAAGCAGGTGTGGCACTGCTGAGATACGGGCTAATATGGTTTTGCTGTGCCCCCACCCAAATCTCATCTTGAATTGTAGCTCCCATAATCCCTACAAGTCTTGAGAAGGACCCAGCAGGAGGTAATTGAATCATGGGGGCAAGTTTTTCCAGTGCTGTTTTCATGATAGTGAATAGGTCTCATGAGATCTGATGGCTTTATAAAGGGGAGTTCCCCTGCACATGCTCTCTTGCCTGCCACCATGTAAGATGTGACTTTCTCTTCCTTCACTTTCTGCCATGATTGTGAGTCTTCCCCAGGCATGTGGAACTGTGAGTCCACTAAAACTCTTTCCTTTATAAATTTCCCAGGTTTGGGTATGTCTTTATTAGCAGTGTGAAAACGAACTAGTACTCGGGCTATACATACTTTCAACTTTCCAAGATAACATCGAACAGCTTATTTTCCAACGAATAGTGTTTTTGTTCCCATTGTTCCACAGCCTCATCAACACTTACTATTTTTGATTGTCATCTTTTTTGTTGTTTGCTTGTTTTTAATGTAGCCATATGGTAGCTATTGAGCCATGTCTCATTATGGTGTTATCTTCCACTTCCCTGGTGACTAGTCAGTTTGAGCATCTTTTCAAATATATTTGTTATTTGTTAAGATTTCCTTTTTGTAGAGGAGGCTGTTTTTGCCCTTTTTTTAACTTTCTCTTTTTCCTAGTGAATTAAATAAGATCTTTATATATTTTAGATGTATCAATATTGTAAATAGGTCAATATTACAAATATTTTATTCTACTTTATGGCTGCCTTTTCATCTTCTTCTTCATGTCCCAAAAGTTTTTAATTTTAAGGTAATCAAAATTTATAAATTATTTTTGTCTTGTGAAATGCTGTGACCTTCAGTTTGCATAAGTAGTTTGGATTCATATACCTTGAAATATACAGATACAGTGAAATATACTATCTCATTCAATTGTGTGATGAGACGATATCTTGTGCTATTTTTCCTAAAAAAGCATTTTGAGTGTCTGGAAAGAGAAATGATTTGCTTTGCAAGATAAATTTACCTTCATTTTAACTTCAGGTTCTTTTCATTTTGACCATTGAATACACATGGATATGGAACTAGTTATTTAAACAAAAGAGACCTGCAAAGATATAAAAATGTACAAATTCAAATTCAACTGATTTTTCAAAGTTGCAATCTCTTTTCAGTAGACATGATCATTTCAGTAGTTGAGGAAAAAAAATTAACTCAGCAGGAGGCAGAAAAGAAAATCTGTCATGTACAAGCTGGAAAAATGAAAAGGGTTTAAATGAGTTAATGGACTGATGGTTTTGTAATGGGATTTTTTAAAGAAGTTGAAAGTTTTAGGGTCTGTCCATAACCTTTTAAGAACTATGTCACTTAGGGCAATGACTCCCAGCAGTTCCTTAAAGCCATCTCATTGGCTATTAGCAAGGTTATTTGACCCTGACGTATTTCAAACTGTGAATTTCCTTTTCCCCTGTGCATCTCCCAGGGCCAAGAATGTAGGCGCAAATTTAAGATGGTGGAGATTGAAGCTGTGCCTGCATAGTGGGAGTTTGACTTGTACATCTTGCTGGTTTTGCCAGCTGAAGAAATGATTTTATCATCATAGAAGCTGGAGCTTATAGGGGAAAGTAACCTGGTCCTGGGGCTGGGCTTTTCCTTCAATAATGTCCTTCCTATCAAAAATAAATTTCTGCTCTTCTCCTTTACATCTTTGCCATTCTCTGGCCTAAAATGTTGGGTGCTCATCTTTCCTAGCATTACATCTCAATTTTTCAGTAGACGTTTGGTTACACATATCTGTGCTGTAACCCAAAGTTGAGAGTCTCTGATATCAAGCAACAACACCTCTCCTTTTGTTGCTAGCTAGATACTTGGTACTATTTAGTGACTGGCCACAAAAGGGGAATTGTCATGCTCTTATGTTTGGGAAACCCAATCTGTCATTGTACTGCAGTATTCCTATTAGTGATGTCTTATCTGTGTGTCCTTGTGCCAGGAGGAGCTCCCATCTGAAAAGTTAAATTTCCATTTCTGTCTCAAGTAAAGATGTCAACAACCCATAGCTTTTAATTAATTAACCCAGAGTGGACATTTTTTTAAAGTAATTATGAGCTTTAAATCCTCAAGTCTCCAAGTTTTGATAGGTTAACCCACTTGGCTTCAATAAACACTCAAAATCAACATTTTCCTAGCAACCTTTGCCTGGGTCCAGTAAACATTATTCTTTTTCACTGCATAGGTTTTGATCAAAATTGAAAAAATAAAACAAAACACTAAAGGAACTATGACAAAAATCCTGTGATAACATGCCCTATGAAATCACGGGATTGGGGATCAGGGGCAATCCCCCATCCAGCTCCCTCTCTCAAGTTGCAGGGGATGAGTGACACAGAGGGAAGGGCAAAGCTAGGTGAGGAAACTTCAGACAACCACATCTTGACAAATGGGGAAGTGAAAGGTGGGTCTCCATATCCCTGGTATTCTCCTGGCCCAATATCCCTGTATCAGTATGACAAAACAAATATCAAATATCTGGGAGAGCCTGAAGTTGCTGCCACTACCCTTCAAGTCCTAGTCAGGCACAAAATCTTGAGTCAGTCATCCTCAATGGTGTAGTGCCAGAATAGATTTAGATCACAAATTGGAACACCATAACCAGGTGCTAGGACAAATTTAGATGACAAATCGAAATACCAGCTAGCTATACAGGTGTACCTGATTAGTCCATCAATCTCACAATAAACTGACTGAAAATCCAACAGCTGAATTGTTTGGCCCCCTCACCACTTACTATGTCAATGCAGGGTCTTTACTATTTGTCCCATATTACCAGTGAAAGCTAAGTTGAAGGAAGTCACTTAGCTTGAGACAAAAAAGCTTGCTGCCTGAGCCCTAGAAGGAGACAGATTTGTCCACCAGACAGAAGCAATGCTCCTTATATTGGAGTCAGGAAAACGGTAACTAGAATAAGACTTACGGCACAGAAAAGCAGAAAACTTCCTGTGGCAGCTTCTCCAAAAGGGAAAAATGGATGAGCTGAGGCAAGCATACACAGTTTATTCTTTCCAGATTTTCCAGTTAGACTCAACTGTTAACACTCAATGGTCTTCTGTTAAGTGGAGATATACTAACTCCTTTCCAGGTATTTTCAGGGTGTATGATCTCAAATCCTTGTCCCTCTACACTTAGAAAATCTTGGAAAGAAGAAGTATTTGTAGAGATTCATCTGAAGAATGGGTAGACCCATTCTTTTCCCTGAGTAAATGGGTCTCAAAAGGCCTTTGTTTGGACTCTTTAGCAAAATACTTTATTTCAAGTGAAGTATGTAAACAGATCCAAGAAGATACTGTAAATGGAATGGAACTCTGGGACACAGATCCACCTTTACTCGTCCTGATTCTTGCCAGCCTTGGCAAGTTCTAGAGATCACTGGGATCCTTCCAGTACTCCACAGGAAATCGTAGGTTTAGAGAAACAAGCATTTTGATGGATTAATCCAGGGCTACAGAAAGCTGGATTCCCAGAGTCTGTGGTTGCTGGCCCTGGTAGAGTTACTAGGTTACTAGGTGTTTGCATTGTTGAAGTTTGCCGTTTGATATTAGAATACATTCTTAAATAAATGTGGTAATGTTATACATCATTTTGATGCACATTTCTTGCTTTTTTTTGGCTAATTACTTATTACTTGCTTATTTTATATTTATTTTAGACTATGCAAATGATGTTAACAAAAAGCAAACGAGTGATTTTCTTATTCAACTTCAAAATGGGTCATAAAGCAGTGAAGACAACTCACAACATCAACGCATTTGGCCCAGGAACTACTAATAAACATACAGTGCAGTGGTGGTTCAAGAAGTTTTGCAAAGGAGATGAGAGGCTTGAAGATGAGAAGCATAGTGGCTGGCCATCAGAAGTTGACAACGGCCAATTGAGAGCAATTATCGAAGCTGATCCTCTTACAACTACGTGAGGAGTTGCTGAAGAACTCAACCTTGACCATTCTATGGTCATTCAGCATTTGAAGCAAATTGGAAGGGTGAAAAATCTCAATAAGTGGGTGCCTCATGAGCTGAGCAAAACTTTTTTTTTTAATTTTCATTTTGAAGTGTTGTCTTCTCTTATTCTATGCAACAACAATGAACCATTTCTTGATCGCATTGTGATTTGAGATGAAAAGTGGATTTTATAGGATATCCGACAATGCCCAGCTCAGCGGTTGGATGGAGAAGAAGCTCCAAAGCAAGCACTTCACAAAGCCAAACTTGCACCAAAAAATGGTCATGGTCACTGTTTGGTGGTCTGCTGCCACTCTGATCCACTACGGCTTTCTGAATCCCAGCAAAACCGTTACATCTGAAAAGTATGCTCAGCAAATCAATGAGATGCACCAAAAACTTCAATACTGGCAGCCAGCATTGGTCAGCAGAAAGGGCCCAATTTTTCTCCATAACAATGCCTGATGGCATGTCACACAGCTAATGCTTCAAAAATTGAATAAATTAGCTTATGAAGTTTTGCCTCATCTGCCGTATTCACCTGACCTCTCGCCAACTGACTACCACTTCTTCAAGCACCTTGACAACTTTTTGCAGGGAAAATGCTTCCATAACCAGCAGGATGCAGAAATTGCTTTCCAAGAGATCATCAAATCCCAAAGCACAGATTTTTATGATACAGAAATAAACAAGCTTATTTCTCATTGGCAAAAATGTGTTGATTGTAATTGTTCCTATTTTGATGAATAAAGATGTGTTTGAGCCTAATTATAATGATTTAAAATTCTTGGTCTAAAACTGCAATTACTTTTGCACCAACCTAAAACTTAGTTATATTTAGTTGTAATGTCTTCCACTTCCACTAAGAGAAGTTATTGAAAAACAAACAGGCATACAAAACTAATTATACTTATTGTAAGGATGTTATTGAGAATGTTTACTGCATTAAATAATTTCATTCTTTTTTTCAAATTCAACATACATAATTAATGTGTACAACTTGATGAATTTGGAGCTGAGTACACACCTGCGAAGCCATCACCTCAATCTATGCCATTAAACTATCCATCACCTCTAAAAGTTTCCTCCTGCTCTTATTTATTATTTTTTGTGTGATTAGAACACAATATAATATATACCCTTTTATGGCATATATGCAATACAGTATTGTTAACTTTAGGTGCTATAATATACAGTAAATCTCTGTAATTTGATTAAGTTGTATAACTGAAACTTTATGCCTTTTGACTAATACCTCTCTGCTTCCCTGTTTCCCCAGTCACTGGCAACCACCATTCCACTTTCTACTTCTAAGCGTTTGACTAATCCAGATTTATCATATAAGGGGTGTCATGTAGTATTTGCCCTTCTGTGTCTGGCTTATTTCATTTAGCATAATGTCCTCTAAGTTCACCCATTTTGTTTCAAATAAGCAGGGTTTTCTTCTTTTTTAAGCCTGATTAATATTCCACATATGTGTATACCGTATTTTTTTTTCCATTCATCTGTTAATGGACATTTAGACTGTTTCCATATCTTTGCTATTGTGAATAAAACTGCAATGAACATGGGAGTGCAAATATCTCTTCCAGATCCTGATTTCAATGTGTTTGCATCCATACTCAAGAATGAAATTCCTGGATCATACGGTTGTTCCACTTTTAGTTTTCTGGGGACCTCCAAACCGTTTTCTGAATTGGCTGTACCAATTCACATACCCATTAACATTGTAAAAGGGTTCCTTTTTCTCCAAATTTTCACCAGTATTTATCTTCCATTTTCTAAATGGAAAGATTTAGAAACAAAAGCCATCCTAACAGGTGTGAGTTGGTACCTCATTGTGTTTTTGATTTATATTTCTCTGATTATTACTGATTCTGAGCAACTTTTTATACACCTGGTGTTCAATTGTGTGTCTTCTTCAGAGAAATGTTTGTTTATTAATGGTTTCTTTGCCTATTTTAACATTAGGTTATTTGTTTTTTTGCTATTGAGTTATAGAAGTTCTTTACCTATTTTGGGTATTAACCCTTTATCAAATATGTGGTTTACAAATATTTTCCCCCATTCTGTCAGTCGCCTTCTCATTTTGTTGACTGTATTCTTGGCTGTGAGGAAGACTTTTAGGTTGACTTATCTAATTTTACCTATATTGCCTGTGTTTTTTGTGTCATATCCAAAAAAATTATTGCCAACATCAGTGTCCA
Source organism: Homo sapiens (assembly GCF_000001405.40). Lineage (NCBI taxonomy): Eukaryota > Metazoa > Chordata > Mammalia > Primates > Hominidae > Homo > Homo sapiens. The sequence continues at coordinate 103,199,393 of NC_000012.12, read as the reverse complement.
AAAGGTTTCCCTTATGCTTATTTTCAGGAATTATGTGGTTTCAAATATTGTGTTTATAATGAATTATTATTATAATTCATTTTGAGTTGATTTTTAGGTCTGGTGTGAGTTGAGGGTTCAATTTCATTCCTTTGAATGTGGATATCCAGCTTTTCCAACACTTTATTAAAGAAACTATTCTTTCACCATTATGTATTCTTGGTACTGTTGTGAAACATCAGTTGACCATATATGCCTGGATTTATTCCTGTGGTCTCTATTCTGTCCCATTGGTTTATATGTCTGTTTTGCCACCAGAACCACACTGTTTTGATTACTGTAGTTTTATAATATATTTTGAAATCAGGTAGTGTGATGTTTCCAGCTTCATTCATATTGCTCAAAATTCCTATGGCTATTTGGGGTCTTCTAATATTATTTTTCTGTATCTCTAAAAATTGCTATTGGAGCAGCAAGATGGCTGACTAGAAGCAGCCAGGAAGAGCTGCCCCCACCTAGAGACCAGACCATCAAGAAGACTGGCACATTCTGAGTAAATCCTTGGAAGGAAGGCATTGAGAGTGGATGGAGGGAAGATGCAGATCCTGGGATCATGGGGGAGGAAGCTAGGAACCCTGCATGGGATTGCTAAACACAGGGACTTGTCCCTGGTCCTGAGCAAATCTCAGGGAAGGGGTGAGTTAAGCAGGTGTGGAGTAGCACACTCTTGCCACAGACCTCAGGAATCCTAGCTGCAGGGGGCCCCATGAACCCCATGGACATTTGAGCTGGAAGGCAGAGCTGCTTGCAGAGTCAGCAGTGACAGGACTACAGCCTGTGCAGAGCCCAGATCGTTTGGCATGAGAACAGTTACAGTGGAGCATGGCGAGGGATGCCCATCTCACAAGGATCACCATGCTCCTCTAGGTGGCTTTGGCCTTTGGTGACTGTTGGACCTGGACAAGTAGGGTGGTCTTGCTTGTGGAGTGGCGTCAGTCTGGTCTGAGCACCAATCTGTCTGCCGGCCTCTCCCAGGGTTCCTGCCTGGCTGAGCTCAATTGCAGTGCAGCCTCACATGCCCAACCACAGTGCTTCCCAGTGCCACTGTCATAGCTCCTTCTCTGGCAGAGGTCACCTATCTGTCAAAGAGCTTCTGCAGGTGAAGCTAGTGCATGCTTGTCCACAGCCTCTCCCTCTGTTTTGCTGGCACTCATTCACCCACGGCCATCCCCTACTGTGTTACTGGAATGTGTATGCAGATCCTGTTGCTTCACCGCCACTATTGCATGTATGCAGACCTCACTGTCACTGCCTGCTTCTGTGTGTGTGTATGTGCACAGGTGCTGCTACTCTACTGCTGGCAGCACACACATGTGACTGTGGATCCTGCTGCCTCTGTCCCAGTGAAACACTTTTGCTGGGACCCCCTCCCCCATTGGAATGTTATTGTCAGTGGACTGGGAACACCTGGGTCTCTTCAGTACAGCAGGTGCTCAACCTTAAGGGGCCAGAGAACAAAGCCATGGGCCTGGTCCCAGCCCCCTACAATTACAGCATGCAGCCCAGGAGTGCTGAGCTGAGGCTTGTCTCACTGAAGTCATCCAGAAACAAAGCCGGTTGACTGAACCCAACTCATACAAAAACCAAACCCTCACAGCCATCAAAGAGTATAAAAGCAAAAAGCCCTATCCAAAGGAAGCAACTTCAAAGATTGAAGGAACATCAGCCAGACAGATGAGAAACAACCAGTGCAATAACTCTGTCAATTCAAAAAACCAGAGGGTCTTCTTGCCTCCAAGTGACCATACTAGCTCTCCAGCAATTATTCTTAATCAGACTTAAATAGCTGGAATAAAAGACATAGCATTCAGAATCTGGATGGCAAGGAAGATCATCGAGATTCAGGAGAAAATTGAAACCCAATCCAAGGAATCTAAGGAATGTATTAAAACAATACAAGATCTGAGAGATGAAACAGTCATTTTATGAATGACCCAAACTGGTCTTAAAAAGCTAAAACAAACTCACTACAAGTATTTCACAATATAATCGGAAGTATTAACAGCTGAATAGACCAAGCTGAGGAAAGAATCTCAGATCCCCACCAAGGGAACCCTATCAGGCTAACATCAGAACTTTTAGCAGAAACTGTACAAGCCAGAACAGATTAGAGGCCTACATTCAGCATCCTTAATGAAAATAAATTCCAACCAAAAATTTTATATCCAGCCAAACCGAGCTCCATAAACAAAAGTGAAATAAAATCTTTTTCAGACAAGCAAATGCTAAGGGAAATTGTTACCACCAGACCTTCCTTAGAAAAGGTACTTAAGGGAATGCTAAACACAGAAATGAAAAAACATTACCAGCTACCACAAAAACACACTTAAGTCCATAGACCAATGACACTATACATCAACTATACAATTAAGTCTACATACCAACCAGCTAAGAACATGATGACAGGATCAAATCTGCACGTATCAATATGAGTCTTAAATGTAAATGGGCTAAACACCTCACTTAAAAGGCACACAATGACAAGTTGGATACAGAAGCAAAACCCAACTGTATATTATCTTCATGAGACCCTCTCACATTCAATGACACCTGTAAGCTCAAAGAAAAGGAATGGAAAAAATCTATCAAGCAAACAGAAGACAAGAGTAGAGGTCGCTATTCTTGTTTCAGAAAAAAAAACAGACTTTAAACCAACAATGACTTAAAAGGACAAATAAGGGTATTGCGTAATAATAAAGACAGATTCAACAAGAATACTTAACTATTCTAAATATATATATGCCCAACACTAGAGCACCTAGATTCATAAAACAAATTCTGAAAGACCCACAAAGCGATATAAGAGTGGCAGACTTCAATATCCCACTAATAGTATTAGCCAGATCATCGAGGCAGAAAACTAACAAAAATACTTGGGACATAAACTCAGTACTTGACCAAATGGACCTAATAGATATCTACAGAACATACTGCCCAACAACAACAGAATATACATTCTTCTCATCTGTACGTGGTGTATACTCTAAAATCAACCACATACTTAGTGATAAAACAATTCTGAACAAATTCAAAAGAACACAAAACGAAATCATATTAAACATACTCTAGAACACAGCAATAAAAATAGAAATCAACAGCAAGAAGATCTCCCAAAACAGTACAATTATATGGAAATTAAACAATCTCCTCTTGAATGACTTTTGAATAAATAATGAAATTAAGGAAGAAAGCAATAAATTGTTTGAAACTAATGAAAACAAAGTTACAACATAACAAAACATTTGGGATACTGCTAACACAGTGTTAAAAGGAAAGTTTATAGCACTAAATGCCCATATCAAAAGACTCCTTATACAATAAATGATGTCGGGATTCAATAATTGGCTAGCTATGTGCAGAAGATTGAAACTGGACCCCTTCCTTTTACCATATACAAATATAAACTAAAGATGGATGAAAAACTTAAATATAAAACCTAAAACTATGAAAACCCCAGAGGCAAATTCAGGAAATATCATTCTGAATATAGGCTCTGGCAAAGATTTCATGATAAAGACTCCAAAAGCAATTACAACAAAAACAAAAATTGAGAAATTGGATTTAATTAAACTAAAGAGCTTCTGCACAGCAAAGGAAATTGTCAACAGAGTAAACAGATGACCTACAGAATAGGAAAAAATATTTGCAAACCATACATCTGACAGAATCTGATAGAATCTATAAACAACTTAAAAATATTAATGAGCAAAAAACAACCCCATTAAAAAATGGGCAAATGACATGAACAGACAATTTGCAAAAGAAAATATACATCTAGCCAACAAGCATATGAAAACATGCTTAACATCAATAATCATAATATAAATGCAAATCAAAATCACAATGAGATAGCATCTCATACCAGTCAGGATGGCCATTATTAAATGTCAAAAAATAACAGATGCTGGCAAGGTTGTGGAGAAAAGAGGATGCTTATACATTGCTGATGGGAATGCAAATTAGTTCAGCCACTCCGGAAAGCAGTTTGACAATTCCTCAAAGAACTTAAAACAGAACCATCATTCAACCCAGCAATTCCATTACTGGGTATATACCCAAAGGAATAGATATCATTCTACCATAAATACACATGCATGTGTATATTCATCATAGCACTATTCACAAAGCAAGACATGAAATCAACATAGATGCCCATCAGTGGTGGACTGGATAAAGAAAATGTGGTACATATGCACCGTGGTATACCACACAGCCATAAAAAAGCAAAACCACGTGCTTTGCAACAACATGGTTGGAATTGGAGGTCATTATCCTAACCAAATTAACACAGTAACAGAAAACCAAATACTGAATATTCTTGCTTATAAGTGGGAGCTAAACACTGAGTTCATATTGACACAAAGAAGGAAAAATAGACACTAGGGATTACTTGAAGCTGGAAGGTGGAAGGAGAATGAGGATTGAAAAAAATACCTATCAGGTGCTATGTTTGTTACCTGGGTGATGAAATAATCTGAACACCAAACCCCACCAATACACAATTTACCCACCTAACAAACCTGCACATGTACTTCCTGAAACAAAATAAAAGTTGGAAAAAATGCTTTTGGAATTTTGATAGAGATTGAATCTAATTTGTAGATCACTTTGGGTAGCATGTACATTTTAACAATATTAATTCTTCCAATTCGTGGACATGGGATGTCTTCCTTTTTATGTCTTCTTTAATTGTTTTCATAAGTGTTTGTATTATGATTTTCACTATAGATGTTTTCCACCTTTTCACTTGAGTTTATTCCTAAGTATTCTATTATTTTTGATGCTATCGTAAATGAAATTGTTTTTTGAATTTTCTTTTGGTATGCTTTGTTGTTAGTGTATGGAAAGGCAACTAATTTTTGTATGTTGATTTTGTTTCCTAAAAATATGCTGTATTTATTTACTAGTTCTAACAGTTTGTGGAGTCCTTTAGGCTTTTCTAGATATGAGATCATGTCATTTTCAAGCAAAGGTAATTTTACTTTTTCCTTTTCAATTTGGATGCCTTTTATTTCTTTCTCTTGCCTAATTTCTCTGGCTAGGAATTCCAGTACTCTACTGAATACAAGTGCAAGAGTGGGCATCTTTGCCTTGTTTTGATCTTACAGGAAAAGCTCTTCAATTTTCACTGTTGAGTATGCTACCTATGGGTTTTTCATATATAGCCTTTATTATGTGTCGAGGTAAGTTTCTTCATATCTGATTTTTTGAGTTTTTTTTTTTAGCATGAGATGTTAACTTTTTTCAAATGCTTTTTCTGCATCTATTGAGATGATAATATGATTTTATCCTTCATTTGTTAATGTGGACTATCATACTGATTAACTTGCATGTGTTAAGCCATGCTTGCATTTCAGGGATAAATCTTACTTGGTCATGGTGTATGATGCTTCTAATGTGGTTTGAATTCTGTTAGCAAATGTTTTGTTGAGGATTTTTGCCTTCATGTTCATCAAGGATAATGGCCTATAGTTTTGTGTTGGTGCCATTGTCTGCTTTTGGTATCAGAGTGATGCTGGGCTCACAAAAAAGAGTTTGGAAGTATTCCCTCTTCTAGTTTAAAAGTGATTGGTATTAATTCTTTTTTAAAAAATCTTTGGTAGAATTCACCTGTAAAGCCTTCTGGTCCTTGGCTTTTCTTTATTGGAAGGTTTTCGATTACTGATGCAATCTCTTTTGTTTTTGGCCTATTCAGTCTTTCTATTTCTTCTTGTTTCAGTCTTCTTAGATTGTACGTTTCTAGGAATTTATACATTTCTTATAGATTGTTCATTTTGTTGGTGTATAATTGTTCATAATTCCTTTTAATCTTTTTTATTTCTGTGGAACTTGTAGTGTCCCCTTTTTAATTTCATATTTCATTTAATTGCTTCTTTTTCTTGTTGATTTTGCTTATCTTTTTGAGGGAAGAACTCAGTTTTATAATTTTTTCCTTTTTTTATCCTTTATTTATTTCTGCCTTGACATTTATTATTTTTTTTTCTGTTAACTTAGAGCTTAGTTTTTTCTTCTTTTTTCTAGTGCCTTGAGGTAAACTATGAGATTGTTTAAATATTTCAGAGTTTCTCTCTTTTTTTTAAATATAGGTGCTTATCACTATAAATTTTCTCTTAATATTGCTTTTGCTGTATCCCATAGTTTTGGTATGTTGTTTTTATTTTTGTTCGTCTGAAGATATTTTCTAATTTTTTAAATTTATTCTTTGACCCATTGGTTATTGATGAATGTGTTGGTGAATTTTCACATATTTGTGAGTTTTTCCTTTTCATTTTTTATTCATATTTAGTTTTATTCCATTTTGGTTGGGAAAGATACTTATGGAATAATTTCAATCTTTTAAAATTTGTTAAGATTTGTTTTGTGTTCTAGCATGTGATCTGTCCTGGAGAATGTTCCATATGTGCTTGAGAAGAAGGTATATTTTCTGCTGTTGAGTGGAATGTTCTGTATATAATTGTTAGGTTCATTTGCTCTACAGTGTAGTTTAAGTCAGCCTCCCTTGTTGATTTTCTGTCTGGATGATCTGTCCATTATTTCAAGGGGGATATTGAAGTCTTTTGCTATTATTGTATTGCTGTCTATTTCTCCCTTCAGATATATCAATCTTCGCTTTCCGTACTTAGGTGCTCTGATGCTGGATAAAAATATATTGATAGTTTTATCCTCCTTTAGAATTGACCTTTTTATCATTATGTAATGACCTATTTTGTCTCTTGTGACAGTTTTTGACTCAAAGTCTATCTTATCTCATGTTACTATAGCACCTATTCTCTCTTTTGGTTACCATTTGCATGGAATATCTTTTTCCACCCTTCACTTTCAGCCTATGTGTATTCTTTTTTTTTTTTTTTTGAGATGGAGTCTCGCTCTGTTACCAGGCTGGAGTGCAGTTGCATGGTCTTGGCTTAGCTGCAACCTCTGCCTCCCAGGTTCAAGCGATTCTCCTGCCTCAGCCTCCTGAGTGGCTGGGACTACAGGCACACTCCACCACACCCAGCTAATTTATGTATTTTTAGTAGAGAGGGGGTTTCACCATGTTGGCCAGGATGGTCTTGATCTCTTGACCTCATGATCGGCCCACCTCAGTCTCCCAAAGTTCTGGGATTACAGACATGAGCCCTATGTGTATTCTTAAATCTAAAGTTGGTTTCTTGTTGGTGGCATATAATTGGATCTTTTTTTAAATCCAATCTACTAGTCTGTTATTTAATTATTGATGTAACTATTAATAGCTACTTACTATTGTTATTTTCTTTGTTGTTTTTGTCTGTTTGTGTTCTTTTGTTCCTCCTTTCCTCTCCTGCTGTCTTACTTTATCATTTGATGATTTTTTGTAGCAATATATTGTATACTATAGAATTTTTGTTTGTGGTTTTAGTGAGGTTTGTATAATACTTTTTATTGCTATAACAGTCTACTTTGAACTGAGAAAACTTTGTGTGGCTGTACATAAATTCAGTCACATACAAAAACTCAAACTTTTGCTCCCTCCACACACACTTGGTGTTATTGATGTCACAATTAGTTTTATATTGTATATCCATTTATTAACCAATTTTTATGGTTATAGCTCTTAATATTTTCTTTTCTTTTCTTTTTTTTTTTTTTTTTAGACACAGAGTCCCACTCTGTTGCACAAGCTGGGGTACAGTGGTGCAATCTCAGCTCACTGCAGAGTCTGGACCTCCTGGTCTCTAGTAATCCTCCTGGCTCAGCCTCCCAAGTAGCTGGGAACACAAACATGGGCCACCATACCCAGATAATTTTTTTCTCTTTTGTATTTTTTTTTTTTTTTTTTTTTTTTTTTTTTTGTAGAGTGGAGGTTTCACCATGTTGCCCAGCTGGTCTTGAGCTCCTGAACTCAAGTAATCTGCCTGACCCAGCATCCCAAAGTATTGGGATTACAGGCATGAGCCACTGCACCCAGCCTGTCTTTTAATTTTTATACTAAGGTTAAAAGTGGTTCATGCACCACCATTACAGTATTACATGATTTTGTATTTGTTTATATGTTTAGCTTAACTATGAGATTTATACCTTCACAAGCTTTTGTGTTGCTGTTTAGTGTCATTTTGTTTCAATTTGAAAAACTGTATTTGACACTTCTTTTGTAAAGCAGATCTAGTGATGATGGACTCTGTTTTGGTTTTCTGAGAAACCTTTTTTCTTTATTTATTTTTAGAAAACAGTTTTCTTGGTATAGTTTTCTTTGTTGGCAGGTTCCTCTCCCTCCAACAGAACTGTGAATATACGCAAACTACTCTTTTCTGTCCTGCAAGTTTTCTACTGAGAAATCTACTGATAGTCTTATGAAGACTCCAGTATATGTAAAAATTCACTTTTCTCCTGTTGATTTTAAAATTACCTTTGTCTTTGACATTTGAAAACTTATAATGTTTTCTCAGTGTAGATCTCTTTAGGTTTAATCTATTCAAGGTCCTTTGTGTTTCATGAATTTGGATGTTTATTTTCTTCCTCATATTTGGGAAGTTTATGGCCATTATTTCTTTGAATAAACTTTCTGCCATTTTCTTTTCTCTTCTCTTTCTGAGAATTCCATAATATGTACATTGGTTTACTCGATGGTGTCACATAACTCCCACAGGCTTTCTTCATTCATTTTCATTCATTTTTCTCTTTTTGTTCCTCTGACTGAATAATTTCAAATGAACTGTCTTTGAGCTCTTTTATTCTTTCTTCTCTTTGACTGAATCTGCTATTGAAGCCCTATATGGCATTTTTCAGTTTAGTTATTGCATTCTTTAGCTCCAGAATTTGTTTTGTTCTTTTTTATGATTTCTATCTATCCTCAGCATTCTTTGTAGGCTTGGATTGATATATGTCCATTTGAAGAAGTATATCATAGTCAATATTAGATGTCAACTTGACTGGATTGAGGGATGCCTTGATGGCTGGTGAAGCCTTGTTTCTGAGTGTGTCAGTGGAGATGTTGTGAGGGGCTTATTTGACTCAGTGGGCTGGGAGAGGAAGGCCTACCCTCACTGTGAGTAGGCACCATCCAATCAGCAGCCAGTGAAGCTAGAACAAAGCAGGCAGAAGAAGGGGGATAAGCAGCTTGCTGAGTCTTCTCACTCTCTCTTTCTTCCCATGACAGACACTTTGCTTCTTCTCCTCCTGCCCTTGGACATTAGACTCCAGGGGTTGCCCAGAGGCTCTCAGGCCCTTGGCCTCAGACTGAGGTCTGCACTATCTGCTTCTCTAGTTTTGAGGCTTTTGGATTTGGACTGAGTCACACTACCAGCTTCTCTTTTGCCCCAATTTGCAGACTCCTATGATGGGACATTGCCTTGTAATTGTGTGAGCCAATTCTCCCAAATAAACTCTCCCTCTCCTCTGTGTGTGTGTGTGTATATATATATATACACATGTATATCCAATTGTTCTGTCCCTCTGGAAAACCCAGACTAGTACAAAGTAGTTACCTCTTTCCATTCACACTGGACCTTGATAAAGAAAATGCTTCTCAACTCAGTCTGGCCAAATATTTTTAGTAAGTTGGCTGGCTAGGATTGTGGGTGGCCCTGCTGCTGAAGTCCATAGGCAGGCAGGTCTGATGCCTGGGTCTGTGGGTAGGAAAGCCTGTTGCCCAGGCAAATTGTTGTGGTTCCACTGGGGTGGGCCTGGTGCCTGGGTTTGTGGGTGCAGGCATGAAGCCTGAGTTCTCAGGAAGTTGGATGTTCATTTTACCTACTTTTTCCCACTAGAGCTCCTAGGAGGAAGATGTCTCTCTCAGGCCTACCCCAGGCCTACACTATGCAGATTTGGGGAATGGGTGATGTGAATGGAGTTAAACTGTCCTTCCTACACTCTTCAATGTTCTTTTCTTGTTTTTGTGTCCCATTTGGAAGCTGTGATCTGTCACTTGGATTTTGGAGATCTTGTGAAGGTATTTACATGCATGGGTGTTGTTAAATCAGCTCACATTTCCTTGAGGAGAGCTAGAATCTCTATCCTGCTGACATCTCCCAATAATGTCTCTTTTATGAAAGCCCATGAGAGAAATTTCTCTCCAGTTCCTGTTTCTAGGAATACTTGCTCTCCTTAAAGCATCTGGCTTGTTTTATTCTACAGACACTCTGAACCCTCAAAATAACTTCATATTTCTGTCTTTGTACTGACTGCTAAAAAGCTCAGACCCAAATCAGTGGTCTACCTGAAGCAAGTAGATGCATTTTGTGTGTTAATCCCAGCCTTGTTTTTGTCTCATGTTTTTAATTTTTCTTTTGATATTTGTTTCCATTAGGAGTCGTTTCTTTTGTAAGTCACATAAAACTCAACTAAACCTATCTTAACCAATTAAACAAATAGGAAAATCCAGAAGGAATTCTCAAATGCTAAAGTGATATTAACACACTCAGTTTTATACTCAGCTCTGTTGTTTTCCATGAAGCAGCTACATTTTAAGACTGACTTCTTTCATATTAGCCATATTTTGTTGCTATAAAGGATTACTGGAGACTGGGTAATTTGCAAAGAAAAGAGGTTTATTTTGGCTCACAGTTTTGTAGGCATAAAGATTTTTCAGGAATCGTGGTGCTGACACCACATCTGATGAAGCTTTCAGAAAGCTTACAATCATGGCAGAAGGCAAAGGAAGAGCCAGAGTATCATATGACAAGAGAGGAAGCAAGAGAGAGGTGGGGAGGTGCCAGCTTCTTTAAGCAATCAATTCTCATGTGAACTACCAGAGCAAGAACTCACCCCTTACATTGTGGATATCACCAAGCCATTCATAAGGGATCCACCCCCATGGCCCAAACACCTCCCACTAGGCCCTTCTCCAACACTGGAGGTCATATTTCAACATGAGATTTGGAGAGGAAAAATATCCAAACCATATCGCATAGTATCAAAATGGCTTCTGTGGTTCCAATCCTCACATCACATCACCAATAAATCAAGTGAAAGAAAAGACAACAAATATGGTGCAGTGTATACTGTTCAGGTGATAGGTGCACCAGGTTCTCACAAATCTCCACCGAAGAACTCACTCATGTAACCAAATACCACCTGTACCCCAATAAACTTATGGAAAAATAAAATTAAAAAAGAAAGAAAGAAAGAAACATGTTAGACATTGCCAAAAAAATAAAAAGGAATCAAGTGAAAGAAAGAAACATTATCTTTTCCCAAAACTCTGGGAATTGTCTCCTTTTTTCTCCTTGGATCTATTCAGGTGAACTGCTCATTTCTGAACTAGTACAGTAGAAACACTGCTTGCCATAAGCCACACAGAGCCCAGCTCTGAAGCTGAAGATGAGATTGAACCCACCCAAGACACATAAATGAGAGAGGGAGATTTCAAAGGAAATTCAGAGTACTCTTACCAGAAGGAGAGAAATTGAGGTAGCAAGCAGTACACATTTACTATTCTGTTTCCCTGCCTGCCTATTTTTTAAAACTTGGTATAATTGTATGTAGTTTTGTAAGCCTCCTTAAATCCTCTTTTTGTAAGGAGTCAAGGCACACACAAATAAATGATAAGTTATGTGGTGACCAGTGCCATTAAAGGTGTAGCTAGCAAGTGCTACAGAAATAAGAGGAAAGGTGAATTGTCTTACCCAAAACTTTATTCCATGGCAAATCTTGATGCAGCTGCTGCTCAGAAAATGACAACAATTCCAGCCTTTTTTTTAACTTAGGACATTATTACCTTCCAAGAATTGCCCAAGTATAGATAACAGAGATACTTAAATGCCAATTATTATTCAGCCTTTCTTCAACTATTTTCCTCATTCTCATTGATATGAAAAGACCATACATTGGCAAAACAAAAGTATATGTTTTAAAGGGGCAAAGAGATCTTTACTTGCCATGATCATGTCTTCCTATCAAGAATGGAGTCTATAGCATGACCTCAGTGGTCATCCCATCTGCCCTTTCTGAGATACAGCTTAGCTTGGTAGTAAAAGTTGGCTTCTAGGGCCAGACAGCCTGTATTTGAATCCTATCTGCATTAATCATTAATGTTGTGACTATGGGAAAGTTCCCTAATGTCTCTGTGTTTCAGTTTTTTTTTATTCTGTAAGGCAGTTAATTGTACTTATTCCATGGAAGCTTTATGAGGATTAAATGAGTTAATCTGTAAAACTGATCTGTAAGATGCACTTAAAATAGTGTGTGGCCCTTGGTAAACATTATATAAATAGTATTATTCCTTATCTTGCTAAGGCAAAACAAATCATTCTTGCCCATTTTGAGTTCCCTCCCTCCAAGAGAATGAGTCTAGTATTCAGAGCTAACCCTAAGAAAAACAAAAAGTCAGGAAAACCTGACTAGAGACTTCTTCCAGGATTTGATGGTATAGTATGTAATGTTTTATTGTGCTTTTGTGAGTTAGAGTAAATTTTTTTGGAACAAAGCATAATCTGAAATACAAATGAACAAATGAGAGAAGTAGTGAGTACCATCAAAGTAAGGTGGAAAGGGCAGAAAACAGGGTTCTCAGCTACATTTCTCTCTTTGGCTTTAGTTTCCTTTCCTGTTATATTAGGGGAAAAATAGGATGCATCTTTCCTACATCTTATAATAATAATGAGGAGTAGACTGGTGGAAGATAATTCTGGAGCCCAAGGCCACTGGGTTCCAGGTGTGTCACCTCAAGAGCTTACATCCCACTTGAACCTTGTATTTTAAGAGATTGTATCCCTCACATACATCCATTAATTCATGATTTTTCATGAAATTTTTATGTTTCAAATTAATCAATCACATCCATAGTAGCCAATTAAAAAAACAATCAACAAGAGTCTCTAGTGTCCTTATGATGAGATAATAAAGTTTCTGCCAAGAGCAAATGATTTATGCCATTTTGATTAGACAGTGTACCATTTCTTAGGCTTTTAAACATAATGAAAAATCACTTTTGAACGCATGTCAGCTCAAATTTTAAGTGCGTGGATGAAAGGCAAGAACTCTAAATTCTTATCCTCTTACATACCACCATCACTGAAAATTTATGAGGAAGATTAACAGAAGGAATACTCCTGGAAAACTGTTTTTACTATTAGCTACAATTTGGTGTCATACTACAAGACAGTCTTTGAGTAAGCTGGATGAACTTTATGGAACCCTACGAACTTCTTTCCCAAGTTGATAGATAGTCCTAAAAGCCTATAGCCATGAAAACAGACCTGGTAGCTTTCTTGACCTAGTTCCACAGTCTATATCCTACTCTCTTCTGTCAAGAGATGGTAACTATAACAAAAGGTGGAAGTATTAATAACTTCTTTTGTATGTCCAGAGCTGTAATTATAAACCTACCATGCCCTAAGACTCATTTCACATGGGTCCCACTCTGGACCAACTTAGTTTCTTAAGGAAGGGAGCAGTTGAGGATGGCCAAATAGAAGGTTTTGGCCATTTTACCACACAAGGACTTGAAAGACTGTTTCTCAAGGGACATGTTGTATTAGTACATTTTCATGCTGCTGATAAAGACATACCCGAAACTGGAAAGAAAAAGAGGTTTAATTAGACTTACAGTTCCACATGGCTTGAGGAGGCCTCAGAATCACGGCGGGAGGTGAAAGGCACTTCTTACATGGGGGCAGCAAGAGCAAAATGCAGAAGATGCAAAAGCAGAAACCCCTGACGAAACCATCAGATCTCATGAGAATTATTCACTACCACAAGAACAGTATTGGGGAAACCACCCCCATGATTCAAATTCTCTCCCACCAGGTCCCTCCCACAATATGTGGGAATTATAGGAGTATAATTCAAGATGAGATCTGGGTGGGAACATAGAGTCAAACCATATCACATGTCAAAGAGACTGAGATTTCCAAGAGCCTGGCAGGAGAAAAAAGAAGGAAAGAAGGAAAGAGGGAAGGAATAAGGAAGGAAGGAAGGAAGGAAGGGAAAAAGAAGGAAGGGTCTGTAGTAGATATTGTTGATGCTTACCCATATGCCAATGGTCCACACCTAAGTTCACCTGCAACTACAGTGGACGATGAGTGATCAAGCACAATCATAACTTCCTACCTGAAGTACCTGTGACTCTTTGCTTATCTGCTGAAGAGCTTTCTCCAACACCATGGAAGCTAGCTTAGCCCAAGCACAGGTAGTCCAGAAATGTCAGGAATTTAACACTTTATCTAGGAGTCGCCCTTAGCCAATGAGGGACAGAAGAATCCAAGAGTAAATCCTAAATGTCTACAATAGAAAACCTCTTATGAATGCACTCTTTATTGCTTTTTCTCCCTGCTCAACTCATTTATCCCATACCCTTAGTTACTGTATTAGTTTTTTTAGGGCTACCATAAGAAAATACTACAGATTGGGTGGCTTTGACAACAGAAAATTATTTTCTTATCATTTTGGAAGGTGAAAATCTAAGATCAAGGTGTTAGTGGGTTTAGTTTCTTCTGAAGCCACTCTCCTTGGCTTGCAGATGGCTTCTTTATTGCTATGCCTTCATATGGTCTTTCCTCTGTGCATTCACCTGTCTACATCCTAATCATCTCTCCTTACAAAGACAATAGTCATATTAGGCTAAGGATCACTTATATGACCTCATTTTTTCTTAGTTACCTTTTTAAAGACCCTATCTTTAAATATAGTCACATGCTGAGTTACTGGGGGTGAGAACTTTAACATATATATTTGGGGGGGGGGGGGTGACAATTCAGCCTATAGTACTTATGTTTTGTGTAATCATCTGCCCCCATGTCTTTGACTTGGGGTCTTCCTAAACTAGAAGAGAAACCAAGAAAGAATCTACCACAGAATTTTCTTTGTTTCTCATATACAGAGCACTACATAGCCATTCCCCACCCTCATCTATAGCTTTCAGTTCAATTCCCTCTTCTCTGATATCCTTATCCCCAATTTTGTGCTTTCAAAAGGAAGTTTGACAATTATATGCTAGTTACAAAAATCTCATTTCAAACTCAATGACATAGGTAGGTTAAAATTAAAAGGATGGAAAAAGATATACCATGAAAACATTAATTTACAAAATCACTAATTTACTATATTAACACCTGATAAAGTAGACTTTAAAGAAAATTACTAGAGACCAAGTGGGGCATTATATAATGATATAAAGGTTAGTCCATCAGGAAAACATAAAGATCTTAACAGGTATGCACCAAACAATAAAACCTCAAAAGATGTGAAGCAAAAATTGATAGAGCTGAAAGGAGATAGACTAATCCTGAATTATAGTTGAGGATGTCAACACACAGTGTCCCCAGAAACTGACAGAATTAATAGACAGAAAATAAGCTTGGTTATAGAAGCTCTAAACAACATAATCACCAATGTGAGACATTATATATTAGCAGTGGCAACATACACAGCTTTTTCCAAGCATCTATGGGACATTCCCAACCAAGACAGAACATATCATGGGACATAAGACAAACTTCAACAAATTAAACAAAAACTTGTAATATAGAGTATATACTATAACCATAATAGAGAGAAACTAGAAAACAAGGACACAAAGACAACAGGAAAATCTCTAAATAGTGATTATTAAAAATACATTTCTAAATAATCCATAGATCACAGAGGAAGACTCAAAGTAAGTAAAAAATATACATAGAGCTAAATAAAAACGAGTGTATAAAATGTGGAAACATGTGAGACATAGTTAAAGCAGTGCTGAGAAGAAAATTTGTAACACAAAAAGTTTACATTAGAAAAGAGGAAAAATCACAAATCAATAATCTTAGTTCCTGTTTCAAGAAACTAGTAAATAAAGGGAAAATCAAACCCAAAGAATGAAAGGAAATAATAAAGATAAGAGCAGAAACCAATAAAATAAAAAATGTAAGACAATAGAAACAATTAATGAAACCAAAAGCTGGTTATTCAAAAAAAAATGATACATTGATAAATATCTGGCAAGACTGACAAAATAAAAATAAAGATAAAATTCACCAGTCTCAGCAATAAAATAGAAAATCTCACTATAGGCTCTACATCTATTAAAAAGAGAGCAAGGGCTGGGCGTGGTGGCTCACGCCTGTAATCCCAGCACTTTGGGAGGCCAAGGCGGGTGGATCATGACATCAAGAGATCGAGACCACCCTGGCCAACATGGTGAAACCCCACCTCTACTAAAAATACAAAAATTAGCTGGACATGGTGGCATGTGCCTGTAGTTCCAGCTACTCAGGAGGCTGAGGCAGGAGAATCTGTTGAACCTGGGTGGCAGAGGTTTCAGTGAACTGAGAACGGGCCACTGTACTCCAGCCTGGCGACAGAGAAGAGATTCCGTCTTAAAATGAAATGAAATGAAATAGAGCAAGAGAATGCAATTAAACCAACTTTATACAAATTCTTTCACAAAATACAAGAGGAGTACAGTGATTATTATAAAAGGGCACCCTTGTAGTGATGGAATTGTTTCCTGACTATGATGGTAAATACTTGAAACTGCATATGTTATAAAATTAAATAGAACTAAATGCACAGACAGAAATAAGTATAAGTAGAATGAAAAATTTGAATAAGATCAGTGGATTGTATTAATATCTATGTCCTGGTTGTGATATCACATTGTTTTACAAAATGTTGCTATTGGGAGATATCAGCAGTAAGAAACAACAGTTTTTGCTTGACATATTTTGAGGTTCTGTTGGATAAAAGCTCTAGAGTGTTTTTTTGTATTATTTCTAACAACTTCTTTTAAACCTACAATTATCTCAATAAAAATTTATATGAAAAATAGAAATATAAGAGGAGAGAGTTGAGGGTAGGGTATTAGTAAAACCCCTAGTGGTTAGTGTGCCATGAACTAAACCTTTATTACCTTTATTAAGTAACTGTTTCTGACCCAATTCTTGCCTTAGGTTACCTGCTACTGAATGCAATGCTATCACATGGGTAGAACTGAGTAAACACTGTTCTCTTGACCTTACCATTCCTGCTCTGCTCCTCCTCTTTGCCATTTTCTTCAGAATTTACCTATTTCATATCTGTTTCTTTGCAGCTTTGCCCTGAGCTAGGATGGGTCAATCAGATAACTAATCCGTTCTCAGCTGGTAACTTCCAGATAACATAATGCCTTAACCTCATTTACAAGTCCCTTAAAAGACCAATAAATGCCATGGCTCTGGTATATATTTTATTTAAGAACACAAAATGGAAGTAAGAAGGAGGCTAATAAAAGCACACATAGTATTGAGTCCCTTCTACTTGCTATTGGGAGTGAGCAAGTCTGGTTTTTGCTTTTTTAGCAGCCTAAATTAAGAGAGGGGAATAAAGACCAGCCGTGTAATTCTCAGTGTCCATGAGTTAAAACAAAATAAAAACACGAGAAAAACCCTACGATTACTAATCACCTAACAGAAACAACCACCAGAAGAGTGGTCATTCTAATTACTAGGCAAAGTAATGACCACACTTAACATCATTCTTACAAGTGACATGGTGGCAAAATGAGAAGGAGTCTTTCATCCTAGGGAAATACAATATAAGCTTACGGCATTTCCCAAAGTCAGCCTAGCATTTTATTAAATGTGTCTTAGCTTTTCTCCCTACCTGTGAGACAGGGTAGGGGTAGAGGTGTAGATTATAGATGAGTGGATATCTTTCAGACAATCTCCATAAATGCTATTTCTCTGGTGAGTTTTTGATGGATATGGTGTAACTCTAGAGGTCAGGCAGTACCTGCTACAGAGTAGAATTTGTTGCGTGAATGAAGAAGATCATTCTGGTACTTTCACAGTTTACATAAAACTAACCTCGTTGGAGCTCCCATGAGAACTGATGTCTGCCAGTGGATTCAGATTAACTTCCCCTTTTCAGCTTACACAGGCTACTGGTGTTTCAAACTGAAACAAATGTAGCCATGTTACCAAAGCTACCTCCACCTCTGTCTTTCTTCTTTTTGTAGAGGGACATCTATTTTGTTGTTGTTGAGTAACCCATTTCAAAGTTTGGAAAGTGAGACCTAAGCTCCTAAGTTCCATTTATGGTATGCTTATGATTTTACAATGCTTCTTCTCTTGAAAATTTCTCATCCACCACTGGAATATTGCTTCCTAATTCAATCTCAGATCCTTGAATTTTTTTCATTTTTTATTTTTTTTAATTTTTACTTATTTATTTATTTTTTTAGATGGAGTCTTGCTCTGTCACCAGGCTGGTGTGCAGTAGCACATTCTTGGCTGACTGCAACCTCTGCCTCCTGGGTTCAAATGATTCTCCTGCCTCAGCCTCCCTAGTAGCTGGGACTACAGGTGTGTGCCACCATGCCCAGGTAATTTTTGTATTTTTAGTAGAGACGGGGTTTCACCATGTTGGCCAGGATGGTCTCAATCTCTCAACCTTGTGATCTGCCCACCTCAGCTTCCCAAAGTGCTGGGATTACAGGCGTGACCCACCGCACCCAACCCAGATCCTTGAATTTTTAAATTAGTTAGGTCAAAGTATAAAAAGCAAATTAGTGGGCTGGGCACGGTGGCTTATGCCTGTAATGCCAGCACTTTGGGAGGCTGAGGTAGGCGGATCACCTGAGGTCAGGAGTTCGAGACCAGCCTGGCCAACATGGAGAAACCCCATCTCTACTAAAAATACAAAATTAGCCGGGTGTGGTGGCACATGCCTGTAATCCCAGCTACTCGGGAGACTGAGGCAGGAGAATCGCTTGAACCCAGGAGGTGCAGTTTGTGGTGAGCCGAGATCACGCCATTGCACTCCAGCCTGGGCAACAAGAACAAAACTCCATCTCAAAAAAAAAAAAAAAAAAAAAAAAAAAAAAGGAAATTATTTTAAATGCAGATTCCTGGGCTCTACTCATATGGAATTCTCAATATCACAGAAGGTGTGAGTCCTGGAATCTGCATTTCAATAAACAGCAACCTGGAAGATCCTGACCCAAGAGAACTGTACTAAGCTATCCAGGGGCTTTTTCTCCAGTGCAAATATTGCTCCAAACTCCATGTTAGCCAACGAAGTCAACTCTCTTTGAGTTTGTAACAGCCAACAATAAAACCACAGATTTAAGTCATTGTTTTTCAATCTTTAGTTCGTTATTGCCATCCCAAGGATCATTTTCAGACATGTTTTTTTCCTACTTGCCACCTAATTTTCTCCCCTCCTCGCCATGAAATTGTAATAGCATTATAGATATATAGGTATGTGTTTGTGACCCTTTGAAGAGCCACAAACCATTGTAATATGTAAGAGCTTTTTGCTGACTCCTCCCACCAAAAGTAAATTTTCACCTTTTTTTTTTTTATTGAGGGAAATGTTGGCTTCATTGGGAAGGCATGGTTTAAATCATTGATTTTTGGAAGCTCACTCTACCTGTGTCTGACTGCCTCCTAAACTCTGTCCCACTGTCCCAGGAGGCACCAGAATTTGTCATGCTCCCTATTTACTTCTCCTCTCCTCCTTCACCTTCAGATCATTCTTCCTGGAGGCCCTCTCTTGGTCAACAGCACTGTCACCATCCTGTTGTCTAAACTAGAAATCTGGGAATTATCATAGCCTCTCCCTTTTCCTGATCCTGCTAATTTTGCCTGACATACATTTTACAAATCTGAATTTCTTCCTCAACTGCACCACCAAATCCGTCATTCTGAATTTTATTCTTTCTTCCCTGAATGGTTGTAATAGTCTGCTAACCATTCTCCCACAGCCTGTTTTCAAATCCATTTACATGAAGATATAACTAAATTTAGATCTGATCCCCTCATATTTCTAATTTGGCCTTTCAGTGGTTCCCTGTTGTCCTTGAGACAAAGTACAGATGCTTTAAAATGGTGGCTGGACTCTCCATGGTGCAATAATCCACTATTCTTTTTTCCCATCTCATCCCCTCTTTTTCTGTTCTCACATTTTATGCTCCAGGTCTACTGAACTGCTAATCCCACCATTTTATGCCTCTTTGCCTTTTCTTACATGGCTTCTTCTTCCAGAAATTTCTTTCTCACTTGGTTAATTGGTTTATTCCTCCATATTCTTCAAATCTCAGCCCATTCTTCACTGCCTTGAAAGGTCATTCCTGAAAGTCCCAGGTTATGCTAAAAGTCTCCTTCCCAATAGCCACAAACCACTCTGGGTTTCTTTTCATGACATTACTTTAAAACATGTCTGTCTCCCACAAAATCTCAAACTTCTTGATAGCAACAATCACCTCTTTTTATCTTTCTATCTCCAGAATCTAGCAGAGTGCTTGGCTCATGACAGATGTTCAATAAAAATGTTCACTGAAGTAAACTGAAACACCCTTCTCAAGTTTGGGGTATGAATTAGTATTAAAATAGGCCCCAAAAAGCAGGTGCCTAGAAAGAAAATAGAAAGAAAGCACAGGCCTTGATTATCCACCCATGGGGTAATTACTTCTAAATAATTCAGATTGAAGCAGAGTTGTTCCTGAAAGATGCCAAAACAACTGGTCAGTTCATTGGAAAAGTCAGCCAGTTGGCATCATGGAGATCAAAACACTCGGCGAGTCATTTCACAGGACTTGTGACTTTCCAGCAGGTGTCTATGCAGGCTGTGATGGAAGAAGTTACTGACCACTCTTTGTTTATTTCTACTTTCTCTTCCTCCTACCCTCTCACATCCCTCACAGTTTATGCTGGTTTTTAAACACATACTTGAAAATATAAACATTGAAAAACATCCATATATGAGCAGGCTTCTCAAAATGCCTAGAGAACAAATATTGTCCACATGGAAAATCCCACATATGAAAAGGCAAGTTTAACCACGTTGCTCTAAAGCACTAGCCCCTTTCAGGTTTCGGACACGTGGCCTCTCTGGCTGAATGGACAGAAAGTCTGAATGTGTAAGAGCAGCTCAAAACAACAACCACCCAAACAAGACAGCCATTCTCGCTCCTCTCAGACCACTGCTCCGAGAGGCTTGCTCTCCGACGGGTCCTACATGCTAAATAACTCCTATTCTTAGTTCACGTTGACTTGGTGGCTCGAGCCAGGTGAAAAGACAATTGACCCAAACAGCCAAACCGAACTCGAAACTTCACTAACGAGGCAGCTTATTTTCTAATCCCAGTCAGCATTGTAGGGCACCGAGTGAGTGCCACTTTCTAAAAATGTGTCTTTTATGCAAAAGAAAAAAATTATTAAAAGAAGTTGGGGGTGGGTAGAAAAGGAGCCCTTTAATGGACTGTTTTATACTTTTGTTGTGTGGTGTGCTTTCTTGCAGGCGACTTCTTGGCAGATACTGCATCTTCAGCCAGGAGAAGTTGGCTTAGTACAAAAGGGCTTTTGAAGCGGTGAGTGTAAATTCAGGCTCCTTTTCTTTCTTCCTTCCTTCCTTTCTTCGCCGTCGCTCTTCTCCTGTGTCTGGAGACCACTAAGAAATAATAAGCACCATTGCTTGCAGCACACGTTCCATGAATTACTCAAACATCAAATGTAACTTTAGAAAGGAAACACGCTTTATTCTTTTCTGCAAAACTTTCCCTATCCATTCTTTATTTACATGTTGTCGTGAGGCTAAGAGATGCACTGCTGTTAGCGCGCGCGCACACACACACACACACAAACACACACACACGGCCATTAAACAAATTAAAAGGGATGAGGATGACTAATACAGTACTCTTGGAATCCCCAATTTGATTAGTCTGAGTTTAATACACAAAAGCAGCATCGGAGAAGGAGGAGAGGCAAACTGCTATTTAATAACCTGTACAATTAAATTATGTGATGAATTTAACTATTCTGTACTTCTTAAAGGAGTCTTATTATCTGATTTCTTGTAAAAGAAAGTCAGTTTTTCAGCAGAGTTTCTGGCCGTGCCCCTGGAAGGCCCATAGTGGCAGTTCTATGCTTTCACAATGATTTCTTTCCCCCATATAGAACGGCTTTTCTGTTTCTCAAGCTTTGTCTCAAAAAATTATTCAAGCAGTTTTAGTTCCTTGGGGTCCCTTACATTTCTTTAGCTCTTTGGAAACCTGGAGTCAGAAAGGGTAGTGCAGTGGCTAGGGAATAGTTCTCTCTTTGGTAGCTCTAGGTAGATACTTAGGGGTAACTTTTGGTCAAAGGCCTTTACATAGTTTAGATTGTGGAGAGCATTTTGTTCTTACTTTATGGAGGCTCATCTTGCCTTAAAAATTTAGTCACATCACTGAACATCCAAGGGCCATTGTGTCAGAAGCTGAGATGGTGTGGCTTGATTTTCTAGGGATCAGGCCGTCTTATTTGTTTTCCTCTTGGGAGTCATCATTCTATCATAAAGCAGGGTGTGGATATCCTTCCAATAGAATTTTTTTTTTTCCATTTGCCTTTACTTAACAGTTATAGTTCAGGCAAGTGCTATCCTAACAGAAGAATACTCTGCAATTCAGGATACAGTCTCATATCTCATAAACTGTTGAATAATGAATTAAAATGGAGCAAGGGTCACAGAAAGTTTGAGGAGAATTTTTTTTTTTATGGCTGGCTTCAAACATAGCTTCTATTAGACCTCAGTTCCTTTTGGAAAATCAGGTCTACCTGTTTCCACTAAAATGTAAGTGATGAATAATAACTACTCACGGGGACATAATTTTCAACTACAAATGGTCGTGGTGTCTTATTGGCACCTAAGTTCTGAGAGAGTCCCATATGATTTTCCTATGTGGTTGCCAGATTGGACTTTGTTTTGAGGTAGTACAGCATGAAGATGAAGAGCACAGATCCTAGAGCCAGACAGCCTACCTTCAAATCCTGGTCCTGCCATGACTATCTTCAGGACCTCACCCATGAGGTGAAACTCTCTGTGCCTCAGTTTCCTTATTGCAAAATGGGGATAATAGTGATACCACAAAAGATTGTTATGAGAGTTAAATGACACATATAATACCACAGAATGGGACCAGAAAATTAGAAATTGGGCCAGAAAATTGGGACTCCATTCATTATTGAACATTTACCAGTGTGCCAGGAACTCCGATAAACCCTTATGTGCATTATTATCTCATTTATACAAGAAACCTAAAATGTAGTTGCTGTTTTCTCTGTTATAAATATGAGAAGTTGAGGCATAGAGAGACTCAGCTGCCTGCCTTAAGGTCACAGGGATAGAAAGTGGTAACTCAAAGAATTAGGACTATAAATGTGGGAAGTCTGACTCTAAAACACATGTATTCAGACATTTTTATACGATGTATGTTTGAGAATATTTTCCTGGTCCCCAAGAGTGTCTAATCCAATCAGGGACAGAATAGCAATTCCCTTTTGTTTTTTTAATAGTGGTGGGATGAGATGCAAACAATTAGCCGGTAAGCAATTCCAAGGAGTAGTATTGAACTGGGGGGAGGTGGGATATGGCATGGCGGGAAGAAGCAGAATAAGAGAAGTGCCACATGGTTGATGAAGCCTGCAGGACAACAGGGCTCTGGCATATGGAGCAGCAGCAAGCAATTTCAGTGGTCTCGATGGAGGATCAGTGTCCAGTGTCCAGCATCCAGTGTGCTGATCTAAGGAGGTCAAAGCTTAATCATGGGGAAATGTGCCAGCTGTAGTTATCCTGGCTGCTTTGTCCTCCCTTTCATCTCAGTATGTACTTATTAATTGGCTGATTTAATCATCCACTTGGTTTGGGTCATGGTGCCCGGTCACCTTGCCAGAGATCAGCATTAAGAAAATATTCCAGGGCAGAGTCAACTGATAAATGCTGCCTCTCTCTCATTGTCATATACCCAAATACAGCCTGAAGAGTTGTGCAATGCTTTGTTAGATTTCTCACTATTTTCGTAATCCATCTGGAGAGGTTGAAAGTGGAGTGTAATAGAAAATTATTCCATTTTTTTTCCCTTTGGATTCTAAAACTTGGTGGATCCCTGAACTTCACGCCACTCTTTTTGGCAGTCGAGGCCACATAAGCTCCTTGGGCTTTATTTTCACTGTGGTGAAGATGAGCGCCCAATTTTTAGGGCATATGCATTTTAAAACTTCTAGCTCGCCAACTCTTGGCTAGGATGAGCTTTGCAACATTTTCTTGTTCAACTGTCCTTTCATTGTGGTTTATTAGATACAATGTTGAATAGTAGGTTTGTCCGTGAATGGATTTTGTTTTTACTTTGTATTTATAACTTGGGATCAGAGTGACTTTGCATTTTGTCCCACCACTATTAAAAAAACAAAAGGGACTTTTTAGAGATTATATATAGAATACAGTCTGGTCTGCCATTTTATTCTTGAATAAAACTGGTTATAGATTCTCATGCCATAGGACATATTTCTCTTTACTCCATAATAAGATTAAAGTGTGCCTTTGATTACCTATTAGGGTAATTACCTATTAGGAGACAATATCCTATAGCATATAATATCCTTGCATTTTGAGCAAATAGAAATTATAATGCATCTAAATTGGTTGGATATCAGTAATTAGTATTTTTATTTGTGCTACTGATTTGTCAAATGGTAATCAGAATAATTTCATACATTAGCATATGTGTGGCAAATCATAATACAATTTACTTTTCGCTGGATACATGAAGTAACTATCAGTAAAAACCATATGTACATTATATTGGTTCATTTGGAGTAAAATTCAAAGTTCTGGGAACTTTGACATCACTTGGTGAGATTTGATAGCACTTTCTTCCCACTAGTCACTGAATTTTATTAATACAATTTAAAACTGTTAGAAGATATGAATTTGAAAATGAATTAGGTATGCTTTCTAGTTTTGAGATAGAAAAATGAATCATAATTTTGATATACTTCGATTGTTTACAAAATGGCTTTCAAATATTTTAAACATTTGAAGATTGCTGTTAACTAACAGATTTTCAGAGGGAACGTTGGTTGGCGATTAGAAGTCAGGCTAAAAAACAGACTCCCTGAGTTTGAATCCTATCTCTATTACCTAACAGCTGTGTGACCTGGGGCAATATACTTCTCTCTACCTCCACTTCCTCATCTGTAAAGTGAGAATGCTGATGCTAGTATCTACATCATGGGTTGACTGAAGAATTGTGTTACTTAACACATATAAAATACTTAGACCAGTGCTTGGTACATAGCTCCCAAATTAACCCTGAGACTATGTTCTTTTGGCACACTTTGAATCACATTAGTCCTTTTGTTCTCAAAAAATCACTACTTCTGATATACATGTATGTTTAGTTGACCCTGAATCCAAGTAAGGGCTCTGCCATAGGTTGTGTGACTTTTGGCAGAGCATTTAATTTCTGAATTCCTTCATCTATGAAATGGGAATCATAATAATGACTTAATAGGATTGTTATAGTAATGAAATCAGATAATGTGATAAAGCACTAGGCAGAATGCCTGAAACACAGTAAGTGTTGAACATATGGTAACTGTAGCATTTATTAGTCAATAGAGGCAGTGTTGTTTCAAGAAATGAGCAGCGATCTGTAAGTCTAGAGAGATAGCCTCTAATTTGGATTCATAATCTCTTTTATGTGGGGCAAGTTGATCCAACACCTTGTCTTCTATGTTTAGGAATGCAGATAAGATGTCCTGTATTTAAATCCATCGTCACTTCCCAAATCTGTGAATACCTACAGTGAGAGCAATATGAGTAAATAGAGGGTATGCTTGAGTTCCTGCAGTGAATGAATCTGGTAGAACAAGATGAGAGAGAAGTGAGTGGGAGACAAAAGTAGAGAAGAAACCACACGATTAATCAGGAGAAGAAGAAGTGAGGATCAAGCACAATCCACCAAAGGAAAGAATCACGGGGAGAGGACTTTTAAGAGGGAAGGGTGCATTTGTTTAATGGAAGGCATTAATATAAGAAGAAGGAGTGGAGGTCTAATGAAAGTTACAAAGGGCCTTTGGTGATTTCTCCATAAAGGTCTAGGATACAATGAAAGACAAAAGTTGTCTTGTTACAGTATGAGGCACTCAGACCTGCATGAAAAACTTGGTAAGATCTCAGAAAGTCTGCAGGCAGGGGCTTTTAGATTCCTCAGATAACACCAGAGTTCATGATTTAGGAAGGCTAGAGTGGGAAGGAGATTTTCTTTAAGACATGAAAGTGTCCATCAATCTCTATTTTGAGAAGCACTGTCCCATGTGAAATCTCCAAATAGGGAATTGGGTGTTCAGCTTTTTTGCTGCTTTCCCATGTGAACTCAGAAGTATCACTTAGACTCTCTGAGCCTCTGTTTCTTCATTTATACAATAAAAAACATTAAACTGGATATTTTCTGATCAATTTTACTTCATGTTTTATATACAGGCTATATAGATGCCAGCAAAAATAAATAACATGGATTTAGTAAAATGTACGAACAACTCTGGACCCCTAAACAAATCACTGAACTCTTTGGTACCTGAGATTTGGTCTCTAATTAAGGAGCCTGGACTGGCTTATCTCTAACAGCCACTGTGGTGCTAATGTTCCCCCTAAAAACATTTATTTCCTGGAGAGAAGTGGACACACACTTCAAAACCTTGTTTGGGAGAAGCTTTGTCATTGGAGGTAAATTATTGGGCAATATAAACTAACAAAACAAACAAATCTCTGGAGGTTATGTGGTGGAAACTTTAATTATTAACTCCTAGGGTACGAGTTCAAGAGATATATTTGACAAAATTTAGATTCTAGGCACAAAAGAGGCTTATGTTAGCTTTAGTATTGTGTTATTATACTATGTTCTTCTTTTGGATAAAATTCCAGGAAAAACATCTGAAACTGTTGGAAATATTTTGTAGCAATATCCTTGAAATAGGCCAATAAAATCTGGGTATGATTTATTAGGAAATACAGTGATGTCAGCAGAGGACTTTGTGGGGTTGCCACATGACACTGCAGTGAAATAGCTCACCTCCAACTTAGAGTTTGTCTAGGGAGAGTGACACTTTAGGCAAGTCTTTTGCTTCTCTGAGACCCTGTTTCCTCATCCATAAATAGTGGGGGAATATTATATACTCCACATAGCATTGTGAGGAATGAGATATATCAGCAAGGGGAAAAGGTAGGCAGACCAAAGGAAACTGACAGCTCTATAAAAATATTATAATTGCTAGTATCATCATAATTGTCCTACAACTGTGGGCTGCTCATCTCTGGCTCATTCCATCAACTTCCTGACACCATCTTGTCACTTAGTTACTTCACCACGTACTCATGAGCTAGACTTCCTTAGAGCTATTTCTTCTACCCACTCAACTCCCCACCTTTCCTGCTTTGCTTCATGCATATTACCCTATTCTGTTTTTCCTGCTATCACAGATTGGGAAATTTATGAAAGCAGGAGACCTGTCTTATTCATGAATTTAGGCAGGAGGAGCCTCCCTCCTGCCTAAAATTTGAGAAATGAATGAAGGAATGAATGAATGATGCCCATTCTTAGAAACAGACTGGACTTGGCCTTTGCCTCTGGACTCACCATTCTGCCCTATCTTGTGCCCTACCTAATTCATTCTGGTTCTCCAAACAAACCATTTTCTTATTGTAAGTTCCTACAGTGCTCAACATAGGGACACTGGCCTTTTACATTTTCTCCCTGTGTTATCCCCACCACTTTAGTCTTTCTGTGCCATTGACACTGGGTTCCCTTTGTCATCCCTGGCCCACTAATTAACTCACCTTCAGTCTGGTACATTTCTTCAGTCCTATAATACCAATATAGAGAAGAGGGAGAAGACTTGTCTCTTCTTCCCCAAACCTAGGCGTAGGTGGGCCCCAAGGCTTAATCTTTGATCTTCATTGTTCTCCTGTTTCGTTCCCCTAGTCTGAAATCTTATGGAGTCCCATACTTCAATACCACTGTCTCTCTAATGCCTTTAATTTCCTTCTCTAACACTTACTTATATTTTCCAACTCTTCAATTTATTAAAAATACTATTCTTCCAGCTCCTGCGACTCAATATCTTGGTGTACTCTTTAACTCTACCTTCCCCATTGATTTCTCAGATCCAATCAATTGTGAGAGTTACAAAATACTCCTTCTTAACAGTTCTTCCTTCTATTTCATCCTTTATTTATACTTTTAAGAGTTACTTCTCATGCCTATCCATTTGTTTATTCACTCACTCATCCAGTCTTTTATTCAACAAATATTTATAGAGGGCCTCTTAGTGAACAAGGCAGACAATGCCTCTGCCCTCATAGAAGTTACTCTCTAGGAAGGGAAGATAGACAATAAACAACTAATAAGTATATACCGAGGTGTTTATATAATCTCAGTTATTGATAAGTGATATAATGAAAGATTGTGCAGGGTCAGTGGATAGATAGTATTGGGATGGCTGCTATTTTAGTGGTCCTTTTGAGTTAGTGATACTTTAGCAGAAATCTCAATAAATAAAGGTGACAATCTTGGATGAGTGTTATCTAGAAGAGCTAAGAAGCTCCAGGAAAGAAGGGACTTGGTATATCCTAGAAACAGTACAGAAATCTATGTGGCAGGAGCATATAACATAAAAAGCAAGTATAACATAATGGGATGAGTATAGGGTAAAAAGATAAATGATACAACTTCTTGTCCTGATGTGCAACCTCAAAAAGTCACTTCTCTTCTCCAGACTGAAAGAGTTGCACTAGATGATCTTTAAGATATCACGAGGCTCTAAAATATCTTATCAACTCAACTACATTGTCAGTTATTTTAAGACAACAAGCCAATTTATATTTACTAATATATTCTTCACAGTTCACAAAGCAGTAGCATACACTGAATTGAATTGAATTGAGTGCGTTGGGTGTAAATGGAGTGATGAAAAGGGGTTGGAGAAGAGAGAGAGATGGCAGGACACAGCTCATGCAGAAACTTGTTGAAGATCACAAGAAATCTTGGATTGTACTGGATTAGATAATCAATGGAAAATGGCAGGATTTGGCTTTTTTTTTTAAAGGATCATACTACTATATAGAGAACAGAGTATGTGTACGAGGAGAGGAGAAATGGACAAGTAAGTGAGAAAAGTGGAAGGCTGATGGAAGCTTGCACTAGGGTATTGGGGAAGTATAAAGTGGTCAAAACTTGAAAATAGATGTAATTTGCTGACAAGCATTGTGTAAGGAAGAGTCAAGACTGACCTTGAGCCACTGAATGAAGAGAGGAGGAGAAAGTTCCAGAGGAATACTAAAATGTCAGGTTTTTATCTGACTACATGTAAGGCTAGACATCCAAATGAAAATATTAAGCATGCAATTAAGAATTATTAGCATATGCAGGCTATTTAATGTCATGGCATAAGGGTATAATTGTACATAGAGAAGAAAAGAGACTTGACAATGGAAATCTGGGACACTCCAAAATTTAAGGGCCAAGAAGATGAAAAGTACCCAGCAAAGGAGACTCAAAGGCATAGCCAGTAGGTTGGGAAAAAATTAGTGGAGTGTTCACCACTCAAGCCTGGAGTACTACACTGGTGTCTTGCCTTTTAGCTTCTTGACTTTCCAATTTTTTGATCTGTTGCTTTTGGTTCCTTCTATATACAAAATTAAACATACTTTATTCAATGTCAATTCTCAGTTGAAAAAAGCTCAATGGGAGCTCCTTAGTCCAGTACCAGAGCTTATTTATATTTTCCTTCTGAACCTCCTATTCCTCTCAGCATGAACCATTGCTCTAACCTTGGTCTGTTCACTAATCTATGTCTTGCACATTCACCTTTACTCATATCTATTCATGCTCTATCATTTTTATTTTATCCTTTTTATTTTTAGCATATCAAATTTTTATATGTATATCTTTTTAATGATATATCCTATCTCATCCAAAACACCTTCTTTAATCAATTAACAATGTAATTATTTTGCCCACTATAACACTGTAGTAGCATTTATTTTCTGAGTAATCTACAGGTTTTGAAAAAGTAATGCATTGTGTTTAAGAGCACTGACACTGGAGGTGGGTTTTCTAGACTTAAAACTCATTTCTTATACATACTAACCATATGATCTTGGATAAGTTACTTGTCTTCTCTGTACCTCATTTACTAATTTGTAAAAAGCATGTTATAATAATGTCTACCTCCTAGAGATGTTCTGATTTTTTTTTTTTGAGTTTAAGAATGGAAGTTTAATAGGCAAAAGAGAAAAGCTCCCTTGTGCAGAGGGAAGAGGTTCGGAATGGGTCTCTCGGTTCCCAGTGAGATGTGGTTGGTTTTATAGATGAGCTTGAGGAGGCAGTGTCTGATTTACATAGGGCACAGAGGATTGGTTGGACCAGGTATTCCATTTACATAGTGCACGAAGAAGCTGGCTGCTCCACCCTAATCTTTATTTTATTTATTTATTTATTTATTTATTTATTTATTTATTTATATTATACTTTAAGTTCTGGAATATCCGTGCAGAACATGCAGATTTGTTACATAGGTATACACATGCCATGGTGGTTTGCTGCACCAATCAACCTGTCATCTACATTAGTTATTTCTCCTAATGCTATACCTCTCCTTGTCTCCCATCCCCCAACAGGCTCCAGTGTGTGATGTTCCCCTCCCTGTGCCCATATGTTCTCATTGTTCAACTCCCACTTATGAGTGAGAACATGTGGCATTTGGTTTTCTGTTCCTGTGTTAGTTTGCTGAGAATGATGGTTTCCACCTTCATCCATGTCCCTACAAAGGACATGAACTCATTCTTTTTTATGGCTGCATAGTATTCCATGGTATATATGTGCCACATTTTCTTTATCCAGTCTAATATTGAAGAGCATTTGGGTTGATTCCATGTCTTTGCTATTGTGAATAGTGCTGCAATAAACATACATGTGCATGTGTCTTTATAGTAGAATGATTTATAATCCTTTGGGTATATACCCAGTTCTGATTTTTAAACGGGTTAAGAAATAAACTTAGAATGGTGTCTGATACCTAGTAAGCACTCAATAAATGAAAACTAATGTTGGTTTTATAATATTTTAGCTCTCATCCTATACTGCCTTGCCATGTTGAATTTTTCATGTAAGTGTAAGCTCACTATGTAAAGCAAGTATAACATAGTGAGAATAATGTATTTAGGTGATAAGATAGGGATGTGACTCCTTATCCTGATGTGCAACCTCAGGAAAGTTACTTTATCTCTCTTGATTGAAAGAGTTGAACTAGGTAATATCTAAGATATCATCAGGCTCTTAAATATGTTATCTGCTCAAGTAGCATGTCAGTTATTTGAGGGGAAAAACTGAGTCATATTTATATTTCCCATAGTTCACAAAGCAATATTATACACTGAATAAATTGAGTACATTGAATATAAATTCATGTATGGTTGGATGGATTGGTGTAAGCAGAAGAAAAGTGGGAGGAATCTTCTTTAGATGATATGCCCTGGGTCTTGCCTCTTAATGTACATCAACTTTATGTTTAAAGACTTCCATTGTGGTGAATAAAAGTATCCACAATAATGTAATCATTTCTTGTTTCTCCCATTCTCCCTCACCTATAAAGAGATGCATGTACATATTAACAGACACAATTAAAAACATGGAAATTTTTCAGAATTCAGTTGTTAGAGACTGTTCTTTCTAACCATTTGCAGTATACACACACACACACAGACACAAACACACACACACACACACACACACACACACACACGCCCACCCCTCAGAGATAGTATGTTACATATTTCTTTCTGTTTCTAGCTTACTTTTTACCTCCATTTAAAGCGCATTTTTTTTTCATTTACTGTTGGTTTGTCTCATAACTCTAAAAGTTTCTCAAGAATAAGTCTAATTTATTTTTTGTGCTGTTAAGTGCTTAAGCTAAGAGATACATCATACTAAATGCTTATTGAAATGAAATGTCAAAATCCCTTTCATTGGATGGAAGAAATGCAAGAGGAGATTTTGGCCAATAGTGAATGAGGAGCAACATATTTTTTCCTGGAAAAAAATCCACTGGGTTGAAACAGTAACCCAGTCACTGGCTGGGGCTCCAGGTTGAGGGAGCTGTTAAGAGATAGGAATTCATCGGGGCTTCAGTGAGTTCAATAAAAGACTCAGCTTAGAGAAATGACTAGTGTTCAATTCAAGGACTAGAGATTTGTAGCCTAAGCCAGGTAGAGGGGATGAGTGGGAGAAGCTTCAATTTGGGGGGACACAAAATTGTCCAGTAAATCTCCGGGAACCCTATAGTTCAGGCTTAGGAAAGTAAGCCAAATATCTGCATGAGTTTCTGGAGGAGATGCAGCTCCTAATCTCCTGCCAGACTTGGTTCTCTTTGGAACAGGACCTTGGTGATACTGACTTGGGTTTGAAGGTCTGTAGTACCTGGGGCTGGGCCAAGTCGGAGCAGGCCAGAACATACACCTGGGAGGATCTAGATGTGAAGAACATGATTGCGCAACCACTAAGACTATCAGGGTCAGAGAAACCTGTCCAATCTGAGATGTAATGTGACACACAGGCCATACACACTAGTGAGAAGAGCAATTTATTTCAAAAGCGTGAACATTTGGATAACAGCAAGGAGAAATTTAATTTAGGACTAGAAATATCAAAATGTTGTCAGGTAGATGTTTTAGAAGAGTCGATAAAGATAAAGACTAATAACACTTATAATAAAAGCTAATTTTCTGAGCCATTACTAAGTGCCAAGCTCTATTTTGAGCTATTTGTATTGCAGAACAACATAAGGAAAAAAAAAGATGGATGAAATTTTGCCTTAAGAAGTTAATTTGCAGGTTGAGAAGAAAATATTTACCCATCTCATCATAACACTAAATCAAATGGGTATGTAAAGAAAGAGTAAAGACAGCACAAGAAGAAAGAAAAGGATAAATATGAATTGAAATATCTCATTTCAGGCAAGAATTTTAAAAATGAAGAGAAGGGTTTATTGCCTTTGAATTCAATAATTTATTAAATGAGGATTGACTAGCTGAAGGAGTATGACTTTTGGGAAGAAATAGACCTGGATTCAAATTCTGACTCCATTTATTATGTGACTATAATTATGTTATTTAAAAATCTTTGTATTCTTGCCCATAAAATAAGAATAACAATACCTACATCATTAACTTGTTTTGAAAATCAAGTGGAATAAAATAAAATACACAAACTATTTATTAGAGTGTCTCATTCTTGAGAATAAGAATATCACCTTTCTTTAATAACAATAATAGCTAACTTTTTTTAAGCATTTATCATTTAATAGGAGCTCCACTAAATTATTCCTCTATTATCTCATTAAATATTCAGAACAACCACCCTATAAACCTAATCCTATTTTCTTCACTGTATAATGGGAGAAAATGAGCCACAGAGACATTCATATTACTTGCACAAGGTCTCAGAGTCCTTGCTGGGAGCTAGGATTCAAACCTAGAGAGGCTGACTTCAGGGCCTGTGTTTCTACTCACACTTCTTGTGGTTTCTTCCTTCCTTCCTTCCTTCCTTCTCTCTCTCTCTCTTTCTTTTTTCTTTCTTTTTTTTTTGAGACGGAGTCTCGCTCTGTCACCCAGGCTGGAGTGCAGTGGCGCGATCTCGGCTCACTCCAACCTCCCCCTCCCGGGTTCACGCCATTCTCCTGTCTCACCTCCCGAGTAGCTGGGACTACAGGCACCCGCCACCACGCCCGGCTAGTTTTTGTATTTTTAGTAGAGATGGGGTTTCACCATGTTGGCCAGGCTGGTCTAGAACTCCTGCCCTTAAGTGATCTACCCCCTCGGCCTCCCAAAGTGATGGGATTACAGGCGTGAGCCACCGCGCCCGGCCTGGTTTCATTCTTTATGCGCACTGTGATGTCTTCAGATTATAAGCTTCTTAAGGGCAGTGATTTTGCCTGGCTTTGTGACTGCTATTTCCACAGCTCTTGATACAGCACCAGGCACATGACTGGTTAAAAGACTAACCTGTGTGATTTTTTTAATTGCATTTGTTAAAGAAAAACAGGAAGGAGATAGTCCATTAGTTGGCTAAGTTATGTGAATTTGAGTCTCTACCTGCCACTGTTTCTATATGCCACCTTCAGACCTATTGTTATCTTTGGCATATATTTGCAATCCTCTCCCTCACTTCACAGGTGAATTTCGTCATGAAGAAAGTTGAACCAGAATCCACTGAAAATAATTTTCTTTTGAAAAGGGGAAAGAGACTTTATTACAGCTAACAGTTTGCAAACCTGGGAGATGCAGCCATGTTTCAAGAGAACAAAGAGAGGGCCTGTCTTTTATAGGGAAAGTGCCTGCCCGGTTTCCCACTTTGGTTTGCTTATGCGGATAAAGAATGCAAACTTGCTTAGTTCTAATTGGTTGATGCTTCTTGAGTTCTGATTGGCCAATGCAGGTCATTGTCCATTGGTTGATTCAGGTGGCATAAATAGGAACAGACAGCTATACAAATCCCAAAGTTAAGTGAGCATGGGGGTTCTCCAGGAACACAGACTATGTGTGTGACCTCTAGTCAGCAAACGGTCATTTCACTCTATTTTGAATTTAGGCCCAGTTAGCCACTCAGGATCCAACTTTACAGACTGGCTCTTTCAGGGTTCACATATGTGATAGTAAACCTTAATTTCTCTGTCTGAAGACATTTGTCCTACCTAAGTATCATGGGTTTCATTAAATTCTCTCAACTCTGAGCATATTTTATCCTAATATCCTAATACTCCACATTTGTGAGTATACTGATACACATGGGTTGCCTGCCAATTTATCTTGTCTCTCCTACTGAACCGGTAATTGAATTCAATACGACAGAATCAAAGCCTACTCTTGTCTGGAGTGTTACATGGAATAAATAAAGGAGTATTCATCATGGTTTCCGCTCTCCAAGAGCTTTGAATCTGGATGAAAACAAAAGGTTTACAAAAGTAACACAGACAACAATGCAAACTTAAAAATATTAGTATAAGTATATGGAAAATATTGATATACTATGTAAATTTCTTCAGGACAATGTCTTTTATACTGGCACCCACCCCCTGTGCCTTAGACAGAAGTTATGCAAGCAATGCCCAATTCTTTCCTGGCAAATAAAGAAATGTACTCACTTATTCAGTAATTCATTCGTCCAGCACCTATTTGCTCAGAACTTACCATGAAAATATCAGGCAATATTTGCATTCAAGGAGCTGCTGCCAAGAAGAAGAAAGAGTCATATATAAATGTATAATTTCTATGAAAGGGGATAGGAGAGTCTGTAAGTATACAAACAGCTGTGATGTTAGAGAACAAGAAGTGACTACTGAAAGTTTCCTAAGATTCAAGCCTGGTAGCATAGGATATATGGAGATACGAATAGGGTTGTTGTTGTCTGAAGTGACACAGAGCATCTTGTGGAGACTCTTATTCCACTTATGGTCAGTACCATACATTAGTGTTCATTGTCTAGGTTGCTTTTGAGAAGAGAAACGATACATTGGGTTTCCTTTGCTTTTCCATTTTACAGATCTTAGCACAGAGCATACAACACTGGGCTTATAATAATTGCTTCTGATCATTGCATCATGACCTGGTGGAAGGTGCATGGGCTTTGGTGTACAGTAAATCTAGTTTGGACCCCCCAACTCTGTGACTTATTAGTAAGGACTGGGATAAATTGACCTCTCTGAGCCTTTTTCCCCAGATGAGAATAAGAAGCACTGTAACAAGTGCTTGTTAAATAATTATCACATTTAATCCTCTCCATGACCCTATGAAGTAGGCACTTTAACTATCCCAATTTTACAGATGAGAAAACTGAGGCTCAGAGAGCTAAACTGACTCACCCCATATCACACAGCTAATCACTGGGGGCTGGGATGAACATCCAGGCAAACCTACTCAGTTATACTTGATAACTGACTTTCCAGGCCTGTAGTATTAAAAATAATTTTGTAAAAGATCTAGTTCAATGCCAGAAACATAGAAGGTCCTCTCTGCTTTTGTTTTTTAATTAATTGGTGATGGAAGGTCAAATACAGACTGGTCAAGCTGTGGACAGAACAAAAGACACAATGTCTAGATTAGATTTCTCTAGTTCTCTCTTTCTGAGCTCACTGCCATCCAGCCCTCAGCTCAAACACAAGGGCAGTCCTGGAGCACACAATTCAAGGGCACTGGTGTTTAAGGGGTAATAAAACCAACATGAAATGGAGGCATTTTTACTCCTTAAAGCCAGACTTCTACCCTATAAATAGTTGGCTACCTGATTCCTTCCCCTCATTTCACATCACACCTCAATCTGCCATTGATTGGATCTAGATGAAGTACCCTTTCTATGAAGCAGGATCAATTTAGCCAATTTGTCCAATTTAGATGCTGCTGAGATCAGTTCCTTGAAGCCCAGGATTAGCAAAGAACAAACTTCTTTATGTGATTTTGTATTTAATTCAACTGCTCCTTGTTCAACTAGTAAAATTCTTCCCCTAGTTGCCAGACACTGATGTGAGTAAAAAGTGAACTCTGAAGTTGGGCAATTGATGTTAAATGGTGCTACCAGGCAAAAAGATGAGCTCCTGGGAAAAAGAAGGATTTTTTCTCCTTCAATAGAAATGGATTTCAAATGTAATTTACTGTTTCTACCTGGTGAAAGGGCATCTCACCTCATGAATCCATGGGATGCTGAGAGAAGCGCCATTTCTTTCCAGAAGGCTGTGTTTCCAAATTAACTTGTTCAGATGCTAAGCAGAAAAGCAGCCGTGCTGCTAGGATGAACAATTACTTTCTCTGGGTTGCCTGCAGGCTGATTCATTCAGCTCACTTTATGTTCCAAACCTTGGCTGGGTCTGGAATGGTGGTTCAATATTGTGGGGGCTTTGAGTTTTTATTTCAGCCAAACTAGTGACACAAAAAAATGAGAGCCTGATGAGAATCTTGTAAGATGCCAGGTTTGTGCAACCTGCCTTTGGAGTCATGCAGGTTGACTTCCAAGAGGAGAGCTAAGAAATACAGAGTAGTTATTGATTGGCTTCCCTCTTCTTAGGTGTACAGATGTGTGGTTACACATGCTCCTGCACACACACACACACACACACACACACACACACCAGCTTGTTGGCTTGACATCTATGTACCCTCACAGTTGTAACTGAAGGTGCTTTTAAATAAAGGGCCATTTCACTATGGCTACAGCTTCCCCCAGCCAACCTTGCAAAGTGGGCCCTGCAGGGGATTTGGACCTGAGCACTCTTTCCATGATATTGTCTGGTGAGGCAGCAGTCTACCCCAGTGGGTACTGAGCTCAAGGTAGAGATTGACAGGAGTGGGGGTGGTGGAGAGGCCCCCGCAGGCTTGCTCCATACTGTCACTGTCACTCCTGATGTACCAAAAAGTGCTGCCTCTTTACCGAGTGCTGCTTATGCCAATTCACTCTCAAGGGACATAGGACAAAGGCGCATGCTGGATCTTCACATTTTAGAATGAGGATCATCAATCTTACTCCATGTATAGAAAGGAGCCAATGTTGGGGAAGAGCAATAAACCCTACTAGCTGCTCTGGGGCATTAGGAGGGAAAAGGGAAGGGGGGCTGGGGGATTGTAGGCTTCTTTTATATTCCCCAAACCTGTGGGAACAGATTCTATTACACAAAGAGAGTGCGAGAGGGGAAAACAAACTGGTGTGGAATGGAGTTTGATGATCAGTTTTCTAAGAAACAATTTCTTCTGAAAAATCAAAATCAAACTCAAGCTATTTGTGCTTAATAAGTACATAAAGTTCTTCACAAACAAATAGGTCATTTTTGTGTACATGACCCCTGTAACCACGCCAGTGTGAGCAAGACCTCAGGTATTCAGGCCCAGGTAAGATCATTTTGTGAAAGGAGAACTTAATTGTGCCCAGTACTAACTACTGTGCAATTTTTAAGATTCTATTTTTATTTTTTTAGAATTTGGCAAAATGGAATGCTAGGTGTTTACAGTACCATCATTTATTATTGTCCTTGACAGTCTCCTCCATTTCCAATGCTTTTTTCTAAAAACAAGAGTTCCAAGATATTAACAAAGTATCTGTGGTGAAATAAGTGGCAGAAATACTATGTGAGATGAAGCTGAACAGGTTTTTTTCTGCATGATCTTTTCATACCTTTAATATGTTGAGGTATATAAAAATCTACAAGAGAGGGAGATGGTAGGTGGTAATTTTTTAAAATGTATTTGATCATGGGTTTTTTTTTTAGCATTTTGCAGAACTAGTGCTAGGCACTAGTCACTTTGGGACATGCTAGTGAGAAGGCTGATGCCCTCAAATTACTTTAAAAGGACACTTTTTCAATCCCACCTTTCAATGCTTAACTATTTGGAAGTTATAAATTCCCTCTTCTAGTCTTGGATTCAGGATTAAGCAGTGAAGATTTTCCTCAAGACTTGGGTATCTCCAAGAGAAACTCTAAGATTTAGAATTTATGCAATCACAAGAGTGGAAAGCCTGCCCCACTTTGGAAAGTTATGGTATCCATTACACGTTTTGCGTCTGAGATCCAGTGGAGTGGGACAAATAATAATTTACTGAGCAATCAAGCATGCCAGACGTTATGCTCAACGTTTCACATAGGTTGTCTAAATCAGTCTTCAAAATAGCTCAATAAGGGTTATTTCTACCTTTCCGCAGCTGAGGAAACTGAAATTAAGCAAATTACTCCACAGGGTGACTGTATAGTGAGTGGTAAAGCTGGCACTCACACAAATCCAGTAAGTCCAGAACAAAATGAGGCAATCTGACTTTTAGCCACTACACTATGTTGGTATGTCTAGATAGCCTGCCTCATCCAGGGTCACAGTTTAGTTGTGTTCCAGAACTGTATTTTCCCCAAAGCATGGAAATCATCTGTGAAGTCTAGCTTAGGAGGAGTCTAACTGCCTTAGGAAGTATGGGCTGGGATTCAATAAGGGATTGGGGTGTTGCACTGTTCAGTGGCTACTCAGCAAGGGGTTTTATTAGCAAATATAGACAGCCTGCAATTGCTGTAGTCTTGAGGGATCTTCTTTGAGGAATCCATCCCATACCTTGTAAATGGTGATTTCAAGTCCCACTCCTGCTTATCCTTTGCTTTACTTGGGGGAAAAATTTACTTGGGGGAAAATTTTATTAGAGAACAATGTTCAGGGTATTAGATTTAAAGACATAAAGTCATTCTAAAATGTGAATACAGGGTATTAGAGAACAGGGTAATTCCTATAAACCTTTCACATTGACTTCTGGAATAACTGGACACCTTTCTAGGAAAGGAGGAGTGGGAATGGAATAGCACTTGGTAGTTTTGCTCATAAGAATTTTATTTAAATCTATGCAACTCCCTGTGGTTCTAGGAATTATTCCACTCTGCTTTGCTGTAGAACCTCTGGAATTTTTGATGTTAGGACAGATTCTGGGAAGGATCAATGATGGAATTTTCCTTTAATTCTATCTGACTTTTTTTCTCACAGAATTAGGTTTAGCAAGGAAAGCGCAATGCTCATTATCAGTTACTTTTGACAAACTCTTGCCCTGTGATTATACGTCAAACACAATGAGCTAAATACCCCCATTGAATAGTGTGCCCTGTTGTTCCACCTCAGCTGGCCTCATCCCAAAGAAACACTTCTGGATTAGCCAATCTGTTTTGAAATATGGAATAGGCAGTCTCAGAGTCATCTATTGAATAGTCAGTTGACCAACAATATTTCCTAAGCTAAATTGACTATGCAAACCAAGTCTGAACAAGGCATTCTAAGCATGCACTAACTAAGAGTCAGGGGTCCCTGTCTTCAAAGAGTTGGAGAGATGATGCATGTGCACACACATGTTCCTAGGATACAACTGGAGGGGACCATGAACATAGGGACAAATGGGACAATGCAAAGGAGAGTGTGAACCTGAGTATTGAAGGGGAAATTAAATGGATGGCAAATGGTGTTTGCTGCAGAAAACAGTTGACTTGTTAAATAAAAGTGCAGGGAGGGTGGAGGTTGGGGGGCTGTTGAGACAGATACCTTCTCAGATGGCTTGATCCAAGTAAAACCAGTGATTCTGCAAGTAGTCTATGGATTCAGGCAGCTCTGAGGTGATTTTAAGGGTACTGGACCCCAAATCCATTAGTGACAAGACTGGAAGCTTTCTGAAGGCAGGAGAAATATCCAACTTACCATCATAGCCTCAGAATCCAATACATAGAACGTCTAGTATATATGGCAGGCACTCAGTGAATTTTTTATTAAGAATTAAATTAATCTGTGTCATCACTAACATTAGGCCAGGAACTGCCTCTGTAGACATGCACCACTGGAGTGGAAGAAAAAGTCGTGTGACTGTGGGCAAGAGGTAAAGGGGAAGAAGAGGTGCAGGGATAGAAGTTTGTCTATAATGCAATTCTATCAGTCTAATTGTAGCCTTTATGTATACTTTAAAAAAATCAATGGAAGAAGCTTTACTTGCCTATCTTCTGGCAAGGAGACAAATAAATCCATTCTCTCCTTTCTATACCAGGAGGGTTTAAAAGTTCTGTCGAGAGTTCCACATGATAGTCAAAGAAGATCTATGTTTTGTGATAGATTATTGATGGAAAATTTTTTTTTCTCTTAACAGATAAAACTGTACCTTCTACCACCTTTCACTCATGTCTCCTTATTTTATTTATTGTAATTGATGTAAAAAATCAGCTTTAGGATATCTAGACTATCAATCCATTTTTTTTTTTTTTTTTGAGTCTTGCTCTTTTGCTCAGGCTGGAGTGCAGTGGCACGATCTCGGCTCACTGCAACCTCCGCCTCCCGGGTTTAAGTGATTCTCCTGCCTCAGCCTCCCAAGTAGCTGGGATTACAGGCGCCTGCCACCACGCCCAGCTAATTTTTTGTATTTTTAGTAGAGACGGGGTTTCACCATGTTGGCCGGGCTGGTCTCAAACTCCTGACCTCATGATCAGCCTACATCGGCCTCCCAAAGTGCTGGGATTTTGGGCATGAGCCACCACACCTAGCCATCAATCCATTTTTATATTTTTACAAAGCAGAAGATGAAATTGAATCTCCAATACATTTTCATGGTGCTTCAAGCTCTATCTAAGTACTTAGGAGGGATATTAACTTAGGAAGATAAGGTTAAAAACAAAAACAAAAACATCCACAGCCTAAGGGTTCCTTAGGAATCCTTAGAAATGGAAGCGAATGTGTTCCAAGTCTCTACAGTGCTGAGTGGTCAGCGCAGAAGCTATCTTCGTGGTATATTTCAGTGAACTGGCATTTTTGTGAGAAACAGACCCATGGGCAATGTGATGTGGTGCCAGAAGAACAGGTTTGGGAATGAAACCTGACATAAATCTACCTGGACTTGGGAAAATTAAATAAAGTCTCTGAGCCTCAGTTATCCCATCTGCAAGAAAATAACAAAATTCATCTCATCAGACATTGGGAATATCAGAGATAATCCACGCAATGCTTGTGATGTATAATAAACATTCAAAAAGTGGTAGTTGTTATTTTTATGATTGGCATTCTTACCACCAGAATGAAAATACTTTTTTATTGTTTCTTAATATCCTCTTTTGAAACATAATAGAGTGAAAATTTAAAAAATCATAAGAAAATATTTCTTTGTGAGAGAGTAATGAATCAAGAAACTTTCAGAGTATAACAGAATTATATGAAATTACTATTTCTGAATTTCCATACCATTTAACATATATGGTCATGTTTCTGCAAATCATTTATAGAAAAGGACTTGAACAAAATACTTCTAAATTTTTCACTTTTTATTGGAGTGTAATATTTCTCAGAGACCTCAGAAATAACACCACACACCTACAACCATCTGATCTTCTACAAACCTGCCAAAAACAAGCATTGGGGAAAGGATCTTCTATTCGGTAAACGGTGCTGGGAAAACTGGCTAGCCATATGCAGAAAACTAAAACTGGACCTGTTCCTTACACGTTATACAAAAATTAACTCAAGATGGATTAAAGACTTAAATGTAAAACCCAAAACCATAAAAACCCAATTAGAAAGCCTAGGCAATACCATTCAAGACATAGGCATGGGCAAAGACTTCATGACTAAAACACCAAAGGCAATTGCAACGAAAGCCAAAATGGACAAATGGGATCTAATTAAAGAGCTTCTGGACAGCAAAATAAACTATCATCAAAGTGAACAGGTAACCTACAGAATGGGAGAAAAATTTTGCAATCTACCCATCTGACAAAGGTCTAATATCCAGAATTTATAAGGAACTTGAACATATTTAAAAGAAAAAAACAAACAACTCCATCAAAAAGTGGACAAAGGATATGAACAGACGCTTCTCAAATGAAGACATTTATGTGACCAGCAAACATGAAAAAAAGCTCAACATTACTGACCATCAGAGAAATGCAAATCAAAACTGC
Organism: Homo sapiens; assembly: GCF_000001405.40. Taxonomy (NCBI): domain Eukaryota; kingdom Metazoa; phylum Chordata; class Mammalia; order Primates; family Hominidae; genus Homo; species Homo sapiens. The sequence continues at coordinate 103,157,193 of NC_000012.12, read as the reverse complement.
AATGAGATACCATCTCATGCCAGTCAGAATGGTGATTATTAAAAATTCAGGAAATAATAGATGCGGGCGAGGCTGTGAAGAAATAAGAACGCTTTTACACTGTTGGTAGGAATGTAAATTAGCTCAACTATTGTGGAAGACAGTGTGGCGATTCCTCAAGGATCTAGAACCAGAAGTACCATTTGACCCAGTAATCCCATTACTGGATATATACCCAAAGGAATATAAATCATTCTACTATAAAGGCACATGCACATATATGTTTACTGCAGCATTATTTACAATAGCAAAGACATGGAACCAACCCAAATGCCCATCAATGATAGACTGGATAAAAAAATGTGGTCTATATACACCATGGAATACTATGCAGCCATGAAAAGGAATGAAATCATGTCCTTTGCAGGGACATGGATGAAGCTGGAAGCCATCATCCTCAGCAAACTAACACAGAAAAAGAGAACCAAATACCGCATATTCTCACTCATAAGTGGGAGTTGAACAATGAGAACACATGGACACAGAGAGAAACAACACACACAAGGGCCTGTTGTGGGGTCGGGGATGAGAGGAAGGAACTTAGAGGACAGGTCAATAGGTGCAGCAAACCACCATGGCACACATTTTCCTATGTAACAAACCTGCATGTTCTACACATGTATCCCATTTTTTTTAGAAGAAAAAAATTCACTTTTTATTGGAGTGTAATATTTATTCACATAATTGCACATTAAAACACACAGCTTGGTGAATTTTTACAATCAGAACCCACTCATGCAATCTGCACCCACATTGAGAACAAAGTCCATTATAGCACTCCTGAAGCCCTGCCCCCACCTTTATGCCCCTTTTCAGTCACTACCACCCCCAAATGCAACCACCATCTTGACTTATAACACCATAGATTAGCTTGGTCTGTTTTCGCCTTTAAATAAATAAGAATCATACATTAGGTATGCTTCTGTGGCTGGGTGGAACAACTTACATTTTTAAATGTCAAGAGAAACTGTGTGGCCTGGTCACTAGAACATTCAAACTGATTCAAAGAGGATAATCTTTCAGATGTGACCTGCCCAGAAGGCAGAAGGGACTAGTCTGTGAATAAATACAGAATATAAATTATAATTATAACACTACTTAATAAAATTATTGCTATTGATAATTATTCATGATTAATATAAAATAATATTAACAAATGTTCATAATAAAATGTTCATAATTAGAAAATATTTTACAGTAATACAAAATTAAATGTAAGATGTAGAAGAATACAAAGGCACAACTTGTTTCAAAGGAGGCATATATACACACATATATGTATATATGTATATATACACTCATATATGTATATATGTATATATACACACATATCTATATATACACATACTGGTATATGTATATGTACTATTTTTACTATATGTATATATACACATACTTGTACACATTTACATATGCAATATGTATATATATACACTTGTATATGTATATATACAAGTATGTGTATATATACATATGTATGTATATATATGTATACAGACACACACATACATATAAAATGGTAACCCACCAGCAAGTACTCTTAATAAAATCTTTAGAAATAACCTGAATTAGCCATGAGCATCCCAATGTGCTCTCTGGGAGAGAGAGAGGCTTCCAAACAGGGAGCAGCAGCTCCAATGTGTCCCCACCGTTATTTTGTTATAAAACTCATTATGTGCTCATAGAATCAGCTCACCATTGTTTTTTCTGCTTTCTTTGTTATTAGTTGCCTTATAGCTTATATAGAAGACACATTGGAGGGCCCAAATTGACAAATTTGTAAATATTTACCTTTCACCATTGAATAACCACAAAAATGTGACATTCCCAACAGCTTGAGGTCTCATGCCAATTGGAGGTGCATACCACCTACCACCAAACTCACCTGTTCAAATGTGGTTCCCCACTCAGAGCTGTGATTTGGCCGTGGTGCTGGGGAAAAGATAAATTACTGGCAAGAAAATAATTTAGGAGGTAATTGTCCAAGCATTATCTTCAAGGGCCTAAACTAAGAAAGGGGCCATGAGTATAGAAAAGAAAGACTGGTATATTGTGGTACATTTCCAGCTAAATTTCTAGTTCCACACAAATTTCTGCAGTGGGCTTTATACTGATTTACCACTGTGAAAAGAGGAGTGGGGGAGGTTTCGCTTTGGGCACCAGTTCACTGATAATACACAGGACTAAGTATTTTTCAAGTAGTAATGGTATGAGGAGGGTGAATTTTATTCCAGACACATGAAATGTAAAGTAGAGCCAAAGCCAGTAGACAGTTGCAAATGTATAATCCATAAATTCGACTCACTTTTTAAATAAAAAGTTATTTTTAGCCAGCAAAGATTACGTCAAACATTATTTTTTCTCTTTGTTTTTTTCTGAGCATAATGTTTCTGTCTTATGGAAAAAAACGGAATTTCCTCCTTTTTTCCCCTCATAAAACTAATTTTTCCCTAGTATAGAAAATCGGCAAAATATAAATGAGTTGAAAGAGAAAGAATGAATCCACCTTTTTATATCCAAAACAGTTGCTATTATTATTTTGGTCTGTTTCCTTTCATTCAACATTCTATCATAAGTATTTTCCATGTTACTGATATTTCTTCCTTTGATTTGCATTTCTCAGAGTACAAGTTAGAAATGTTTTGCATTTCTGAAAAAAAAAATTTGATGGAATGTAAAACTAGGATGGAACCTCTTATCCAGTGTGGATGAGCTGGCTTCTTCTGTAAACCTCATGATGCTGATGGGTACCTGAACTGCTTCCAAGGTGTTGGGTTTTTTTGTTTGCTCGTTTTTAAGTTTTACTTTTTATTAAAGTATAATATTCCAACAAAAAGGCAGACTTATCACAATTACATAGGTTGATGAATTTTCACAAACAAAACCCAGCTGAATAACCTCTTTTAAATTAAGAAAGGGAGCATTCACCAGCATACCAGAAACTCATTCTCCAACTCCATGCCCCATCCAATCACCTGCCTTCTACAAGAGTAGCCACCAGCTTGATATTTGTCAACAATAATTAGTTATGCTATTTTTTACTTTTTACGAAAATGGAACCATATAGTTTTAACTCATGGGTCTGGCTTCTTTCCTCCACATTCTTTTTTTTTTTTTTTTTTTTTTTTTGCTGAGATTTGTCCACACTCTTGTATGTCTGTGTAGATTGTTCCATCTTACTACAGTCTAGTACTGCACTGTATGAAAATACCACAATTTACTTATTCATTCTGCTGTTGATGGAGATTTTGAAAGTTATAGTTTTGGACTACTGTGAATAGCGATGCTATGAAATATTCTGGTACTTGTTTTCTGGTGAGTATATGTATGAATTTCTGTTAGGCACACAGTTAGTAGAGAAACTGATGAGTGAGAGGATATGCAGATATTTAGATATTATAGATACTCCCAAACAGTTTGCGAGATGGTTGCACCAATTTACCATCCTGCCATTAGTGTATTAGAGTTTCAGTTGTTCCACATCCTTTTAGATACTGGTCTGTCTTTTTTATTTTGGTCATCCTAGTGGGTATACGCTAGTTTTAACTTGGATATCCCTGATTATAAATGAATTTGAGCACCTTTTAATAAATTTGTTAGCCATGGAAGATCCTCTTTTATAAAGTATTTGTTCACATTTTCAGTTTCTTTTTCTATTGGGAATGCCTATTTTTAAAATTGATTTGTGAGGTTCTTTATAAGTTTAGAATATGAGTTATTTGTTGAATATATTTATTAAAATATCTTCTCCCACTCTGTAGGTTGCCTTTTAACTGTTGTATTTGTGTCTTTTGAAGAACACACCATTTTAATTATAATATAGTTTGATTTAACAATGTGTATCTTTTAGAGATGTGCCTTGTGTGTCATGTCTTAAAAAATATTTGCTACTCCCAAGTGAGAAAGATGTTCTGCTGTATTTTTTCCTCCAAATGCTTTGTAGTTTTTTCCTTCATAATTAAATCTGCAGTATATCTGGAATTTAATTTGGTACACAATGTAAAGTAAGAGTTAGGACACATTTGTTTTTCTGTAATGCTATTTAATAGACACAGAACCATTTATTGAAAAGACCATTCTTTCCCTACCTAGCTGATGTGTGACAATACCTTTTTTTGCTCTTTTTGGACTTTTTGCATTCCCATATGAGTTTTAGAACTAGTTAATTTTATCAGAAAAAGTAAAAACTGCTGGAGTTTATATTGGGAAAGCATTAAGTACATAGGTTAGTTTGTGGGGGATTTGATGGATTTCCAATATTGAGCCAATTCATGAACATGGTATGACTTTCTATTTGTTTAGATCCCCTTTATTTAAATATTTTATAGCTTTTAGTATAAAAGTCTTACACATTTTTCATACTTCTCACATGTGTCTGCTTTTTCATGCAAGCATAAATAATATTTTAAAATTTTATTTTCTACTTTTTGTTGCTTATTAGCCACAAAATATGATTACTATATTGCATTATAAGAAAAAAAATTATTGTCGTTTATTGACATTGGACTCAGCAACCTTGCTATATTTATTGTCAATTCTTAAAGTTTGTAGATTTTTTTGGATAGTCTAGTATTCTAGGTACAGAATCATGTAGTCTGTAAACAATGACAGTTTTATTCATTTTTTCCTATATTTGTGATTTTTATTTATTTATTTTGTTTATTTGTTTTGTTGCATTTGCTAGGATGGCCAGTACCGTAATGAGTGGAAATAGTGAAAATGCATTCCTGATCTCAGGAAGGTCTGCAATATTTGCCATTGAGTATGATGTTCTCTATAGATTTTTAGGTACTTGTTTACCTTAGCTCTCTACTGCTGCATAACAAATTACCATAAATTCAGCAACTCAAAACAATACAAAGTCATTATCTCACTTTTCTATGCCATACATCTGGGCAGGGTTCAACTGGATACTCTGCTCAGGGTCTCACAAGGCTAAAATTAAGGTGTCAACCTGTGGCTAGGTACTTCTCTGGAGCTCTTGATTCTCTTCCAAGGTCATTCATTAGCAGAATTCAGTTCCTTTCAGTTGTACCATTGAGGTCTCTGTTGTTGTTGTTTTCCTGGCTATTGGCTGGGGTTTTCTCTAAACTTTCAGCAGCCACTTTCAAATCCTAGCCATTTGGCTTCTTCCATTTTTGAAGCCAGCAAAGGAGAATCTCCCCTGCATCAAATTTCTTGGACTTCAGGGAGGTCCCACTCCCTTTAATGACTCATCTGGTTAAGTCAGGCCTACCTGGGTAATCTGCCTTTCAATTAAGACAACATCAAGTGATTAGTAACTTAATCCTGGGACTGAGTGTGAGCTTTTGCCCACACTCAATAAGAGAGAATTGTACAGAGCTTACATACAATTGTGTGGGAATCTTGGAGATCATAGAATTCTGCTTAACATAATATTCTTTATTAACTAATGTATCTATAACTAGGTTACCCAAGAGTTGTTACCATGGTTGAGTGTTAAATCTGATCAGATATTTTTTCTGCATCTATCAAAATGTTCATTTATTTTTCTTTTTTTGTGTGATTTACATTGATCTTTTTCAAAGCTCATTAGGTTCTTAAAGATAACTAGATCCAGTTTGCTATGTTGATTTGAACCATGTGAGATTGCTGACATTTTACCATACTTGAACTATAAATGGCAGTTTATATATTTGAACTTAATTTTAAAATAATTTTATACCTATTTGTATAAAATATATTGATCTGTAATTTTTCTTTCTTGAAATGTTCTTGTTGAGTTTTATAATTGAAGCTATTTAGGCCTCCTAAGGTGCTGGAAAGTATTCTTTCTATATGTATATATATACTCTGAAAGAGTTTGTGCAGAATTGATATTATCTCATTCTTAAATGTGTGAATTAATTCATTGGTGAAGCCATCTGGGTGTCTTCCAGTGTTAATCACTTTGAAAGATACACTCCTGGTTGGGTGTGGTGGCTCACGCCTGTAATGCCAGCACTTTGGGAGGCCGAGGCAGGCAGATCACGAGGTCAGGAGTTCGAGACCAGCCTGACCAACATGGTGAAACCCCCATCTCTACTAAAAATACAAAAATTAGTCAGTCGTGGTGGCGTGCACCTCTAATCCCAGCTACTCAGGGTGCTGAGGCAGGAGAATCGCTTGAACCTGGGAGGTGAAGGTTGCAGTGAGCCAAGCACTCCAGCCTGGGTGACAGAGTGAGACTCCATCTCAAAAAAACAGATACACTCCCTTCCGATGTTTTAATTGATGCTGAGGAAATCTTCATATACAGGTTAAGGCTGTAATCTATGAGAATTTTCTTGAGCAAAATGGTGATGATGAAAAATATATGTATATGAGTCAGTCCAAAAGAGAAGAACTCAGATATAGTCGGGAATTGCTCCAACAATATTCTGATCATTCCAGTATTTTTTTATATTAGAAATAGAGGCTCTGATCCATAAGTGAATTTTCTCAGTAGAAACAAAAACTACAGGTCACTTTGACTCAATCCTATATCCTGGTTTCTTCTATTCATAGCAGGAATCTCTTGGGCCACCCTTTAGTAGATGCATGTACTGGAATAAGTGATTCTGCTTCACTCTGCCTCAGTTTCCTCATCTGAAAAAGGAATAATAACATTGTCTATGTCACAGAATTATAAGGATTCATTATATTATGGATTAACCTAAATTAGCACAGTGGCTAGCCTATGGTGTGCAGTCAATAAAAGCTAATTTTAAAAATGCTTTACCTAATCACTTTCAGAAGTGCTTCAGTTTTCTAGAATATGTATTCTTAACACAAGTATCAAATTTGTGTGGATGTTTCTGAAGTTTTATAGCATCGTTGACACTTTCTTACACATAGCTGTTTCTGCTTTTGCCTATTTAATTGTGAGATTCCTGATGGAGGGGATGTTACTTTATATTTGTATCCCTAGTGCCTAACATAAACCAGGTACTCAATACTCTCTACTAAATTTTCAAATTAAAAAATAAATCAATCCCCAAATATCAGCAGTGACAGAGATTTATTAACTTATGGCATAATCTTAAATTTTAGGAGCATATATATACCTGAAATTTTTGGTTTAACAATTCATCCTGCAAAATATACTTATATAAATTTCCTAGATTTGAGCTAACTGGAAAATTTTAATATGGGTGGGAAAATAAGCTATCATATAGGGGAAGGATGTTATAAAAAATAATGAGCAATATTTCATTGATACATCTGTGAGTTATAACATTCCCAGACTTACTAATTTAAACCTTAAAGATGCTTCTTCAATCAAGGAACATAGAGTGAATAAAAAAATGAAATCTTAATTTTATGACTAGGTGTATTAATCCTTTTTCACACTGCTATAAAGAAATACCCAAGACTGGGTAATTTATAAAGGGAGTAGGTTTGACTTACAATTCCACTTGGCTGCGGAGGCATCAGGAAACTTACAATCATGGCAGAAAGCAAAGGGGAGCAAGCTTGGACCTTCTCACATGGTGGCAGGAGGGAGAAGTGCGAGAAGGGGAAATGCCAGATGCTTATAAAACCATCAGATCTCATGAGAACTCACTCACTATCATGAGAGCAACATGGGGGAAACCGCCCCCATAATCCAATCACCTCCCACCAAGTGTCTCACTTAACACCTGGGATTGCAATTTAAGATAAGATTTGGGTGGGGACACAAACCATATCACTAGGTTAGTTCTTGGACATTTACAGAAGGCAAAGGGACATACTTATATTTCTTTATACTAAAAAAAATCATTGTTTATCAGAAATTCAAATCTAACTGGGTGTCCTGCATTTTTACTTGCTAAACTGGTAACCCTAAATATATTACTTTTAGTGGTAGAACCTCTTGGGGCAACCTTTATCATACAATGTTCTGTGGAAGCACAGTTTAAGAATCACCACATTTTATGGTCCCAAATTTAGAATAAAAATTTTTGTTATGCTACTTACAGAGAACTAATTCTGAGCAGGGGAATTTTTTTGAAAATCAACGAGAGGAGGATGCAATTTAATCCCAGTCTTTGAAAATGGTTTTGCTTCCATTGGACCCCAAAATAGATTTCTGAAGACAAGTAAATATTTAGGTATCAAGTAGTTGGGTATGTGGGCCACCTGACCCTCTACAAAGACAACTTGATTTTCAGGATCAACAAGAATAAAGGATTATACACTGACTAGTCCAACTCTACAGATTTGCAGTCTTAATATAAATTTGTATCAAGACATGTTATAATATACAAATTCCTTCATGAGTTATAATGGGCAAATAATTTTCTGGATGCATATACATCTCAGGGAGCTTGTTCTAGAGTTTCTCTAGTCTTAATTTTAACAGGTTCAAGATTGAGCATGATTTTTTAATAACACTTAATTCACCAGAGTAGGTAATAGTTTCACTTTCCACATGGATTAAGTAAATTATTCCACAGTTAGGTGTTTAAATGTGTTACATTATAGAGACAATTAAAGAAATATTGGAGTAATATTAAACTAATGCCAATTTATTTATTGGTTTTATTCTAAGATATTACATTTTACTCAAACGAGCACTATGATTTACATCTGCTAGCAAATCCATTAGTTAGGATGAACTTGGTTTAGCATCTGCTCACTCCATGGTCCAGAGACTCAGGGAACAATAAATAGCACTAAAGGAAGAAATTGAACTAGACCATCATGATGTAAGTCTAACCATCAAAAAAGATCAGTATAGTGTGGGCCAAGCTAGACCATAATAAATCAAGGTTATAAATTAGGCATTTTTAAAATGTAATTAGAACTATGGGGGTGGCTTGAATGAAAGCAAAACATACTTTGGTCTGAGATTGGTAACACCGAAGTCAAATTTAAGGGCTTGACTCTTGATAGAATCATAGAGTGAGAAATATAATAGTGATCTTTATTAATTAGTAAGGCCTTTTAATTGTAAGAACCTAAAATAGTTGGACTTCTAGTAGACCCACACATAAACTTGACCATGGTTCTGTCACACCACAGTGAGGATCCAATTCCAGAAATCTGCATTGTTTGCTTTTATTGAATGGAGTGAATTCATTTTTCCATCTGACTTATTGTCACTCATCAATAATATATAGAAAAAGATATGATTCTACCATCTGTACTTGTCCTTCTAAAATTCAATGGTTCTCTTCTGTATGACTAATAAAAAAGGGAGGGGATGCTACCAACATTTATTTCTCTTATTGTTTTCCATGAGCTTTGTCCTGTGGTTTCTACTTTAAGAAAAGTTAAACCACAAAGTTGGTTAGGCTATCTTGACTGCTGCTGGTCCATGTGTCTTGGGTAAACAGACTTTCTCTGCAATCTTTTCTCCCATGTTTCTGGGCATTTTGTTCTTTCTTGTAATGGTTGAACAAGGTTTTTCAAAGCCAAGATAGAAAAGGGGACCAGGGACCTGTACACGGTGACATATACTGTACCAACATTCCAAGTGAACACCAGCCTCACACAATTGCGGCTTTACAGAGCAAACTTTGTGTAGTAGTTACTGTCGTACATTACAAAAAAAAAAAAAAAAAAGAGAGAGAGAAGAAGTGGCAAAGTACTGTGGGTCACATTCAATTCTGAGACACAATAACAACCAGCAGGAAAAAAAGAGACAGAAGTTTCATCAGAAAGAACCAAAAAAAAAAAAAAAAAGAAAAAAAAAGAAAAAAAGAAAAATTAAAAAAAATTAACCTCTGTGTCACAGCCGTGGATTTCTGTATAGAAAATGCTTCATTCACTGCAAAGGGCCAAACTTTAATTTGACATAATGCTAGTTCTTCATTTTACAAAGTACCTTTCTTCATTTTTGACCTGAAAATTCTTACTAGGCAACTGAATTAGAAAATAATTGCTTAGAAAAATGAAAACTAGAAGCCAAAATAAGGGGAAAAAACTAGGTTGTTTTCCTCCTTCGAGACTTAATTTTAACCACAGCACAGAGAAATATATTAGTGCTTTTTTCCTGCATTTTTATAGGCCTCCTTGTCTGTAAAAGCTACTATAAAGGCTTAATTTAAATAAAAAGTTTACAATGTTAATCCTGAGCTTCTATACGTGAATGTATCTTTTGTATACTTACGGGCCTTCTTAAGTATGCTCCATGAGCCTACATTGCCCTTATAGAAATGAGGGTCTGGACCATTTTTCTTGCTGCTTTATCTACTGAGTTCTTCCATGGGCCATGCCTCAGTGGCCTTCAGGCTGAAGCATTCTTGGTACCTAAGTAGGCTTTCTGTTATTTTGTCAAAATGCAGGAGTTTTCTCATCTTCTTCCCATGGCCAAATGAAGCTCCCCATTTCCCATTACCCAGTGGTTTATGCAAACCACAATTGGTAGATAATCTTTGGGGAAAAATGTGCTAGCCTCATATTGTGAAAAAAGATATACGAAATAACATTGTTCTTTGTCTCATAAAAATATAAGGTTGTTTTCAATTGTTAAAAAGCACAACTTACTGTAATGCACACATTTTCTGATATATTATCTGTGACATTGGTTTTGCCTCCACATGCTCATTTATGTTAACCTGTGTTTACTTTTCTTTTTCTTTCTTTCTTTCTTTCTTTCTTTCTTTCTTTCTTTCTTTCTTTCTTTTCTTTCTTTATTTCTCTTTCTTTCTTTCTTTTCTTTCTTTCTTTCTCTTTCTTTTCTCTTTCTTTCTTTTTTTTTTTTTTTGAGACAGGGTCTCACTCTGTTGGCCAGGCTGGAGTGCAGTGGCATGATCTCAGCTCATTGCAACCTTCACTTCCCTGGTTCAAGGGATCCTCCCACCTCAGTCTCCCCAGTAGCTGGGATTACAGGCATGCATCACCACACCCAGCTCATTTTTGTATTTTTAATAAAGACAGGGTTTCACATGTTGGTGAGGCTGGTCTCAAACTCCTGACCTCAAGTGATCCACCCGCCTTGGCCTCCTAAAGTGCTGGGATTACAGGCATGAGCCACCACGCCCAGCCCTATGTTTTCTTAATGTAAAAAACCTTATAAATAACTTTTATTATGTTTTAATTACATAATATGTATGGAGATATATATTATTGTAGTATGTATTACATAAAGACAAAAAAAACAGAAAACACAAGTAAAAGCATAAAAACCACCCATAATCTTGCCACTCTAGATTAGCATTAGCATTTTGATGTATAACCTCCCAGATGGTTTTCTCCCTCTCTCTCTTTCTCTCTTTCTCTCTCTCTCTCTATATATATATGTATACGAAAATTCACACAAACTCTATATCCATGTTTTTAAATCAAAAGGTCACCATACTTTACATATTGTTTGGACTCTGTTTTTTTTCTGTTCAACAACATATTTTACATATCTATAATGTTAACAAACACAATTCCATAACATCTTTCAATGATTGCAAAGTATTTCATCATTTTGATGTACCATAGTTTATTCATCCAGTTCACTTTTGTTGAATATTTTTGTGGTTTCTAATTTTTCACAATTATATACAATGTTGTAATAAACATTTTCATAACATCTTTGTGTTTACACTATTTTTTCCCTTTATGGCAAATTTCTAGAGATGATGTTAATAAGTTAGAGGATGTGAACATTTTAAGGCTTTTGATACGTAATGTCAAATTGCTCATGGCATAGGCTGTATCAATTTAATCTTCTACCAATAATGTATGAGAGTGATTTGCTAAACCCTCACCACCACTTGTTATCATTCTATTTTTATGTTGGTCAATTTCATAGAAAAAATAATTTTAGTTCATCTTTTTCAAAGTGATGAAGGTGAGCCTGAACTGTAACATCTCTGTCAATGGCCATGAGTATCTCTACTTTTTCTCTAAAGGGCTCTTTGAGATTGACAAAGGGCAACTGAACTGGAACTGGAACTAGAAAAGTCAGAACTCTTAAGAATTACCTTTGTGGAGTAAGAATAGGATTATTTTAAATGTGGGAAAGATAGTAGCCATAATTAGAAATAACAGAGTTAAAATCTAAACAGTTCGAAATGCTTTAAAAAGTACAGTATAAAAGTTTGAGTTTTTTGGGGAGACGGGGACTCTCCAATATTCAATACTAACCCTTATAGCATCCTGATTGCTTTTCTAGATAATCCCTCATTGTGTGTAGTCATGGGAAAAGATGATGTCTACTGAAGACAGGACAGCCCCAATATATCCAGGGTAGATCACATGACTAGGACTTTGCCAATCAGATATGCTTTCCTGGGATTTTGAATCTTGAGGGAAGGACACAATGATATAAAAGATGGTTGTCAATTATGCCTCTCAAGCAGCAATGGTTTAGCCCTCCAGAGTTTCCATGGTTTTTGCTCATTCTAAGCCTAGTCATCCCAAGCAGTATCTATACCCTTCCCCAAAATCCCTTTCTGCTTAAGTTGCCCAAGTCGTTTTCCGTGGCCAGCAGCCAACTCCAGCTACATACAAATGGATGATGTGATTGTTTTAAGTTGTGAATTCTAAGTAATTTCTCCTCCCCCCATCAAGATTATATCACCCATAAAAAGCTTCTTTTTAGCATCATTTACAAGGACGCTATTAAAGCTCAACTCTCAAGTATAATAAATCCATTTTGGAAGAGTTTTCTTACTGCCTTGCAGTGATGAAAGCTGATACCAGCACCTACTTTGCCTAGCCCACGGCGGCATCAGAAAACTGTACTCTCTGCCTCTACGATATCTCATTTTTCATTAAGGGACTTACCTCATGCATTTCAAATATAGCTTATGGATGGAAAACACCATGGGACTTTCCTCAGTCTTGCTAAGGTGACTGCAAGTAGCCTCTGGAGCGATAAAGAGGCTTTGTATTCACAGCCAAGGTTGCCTACAAATGCACTCTTTTACCTTTTTTCTCCTCATCTCCTCTTTTTCCTCTGACTTCTTTTTCTTTTACCTTTTTTCTCCTCGTCTCCTCTTTTTCCTCTGACTTCTTTTTTTCTATTAACAGAATGAAGCCAAAGTAACTTACTGTAAAGCATTTCAAGCCAAGCTACAAAAGTACTTGTCCAAGACTCTTTAACTAAGAGTCTCCCCATAAATAGGCATCTCCCAAGTTTATATTTTCTTTCAGACCTGGAAGATAATAATAATGATAAACATAGGGAAATGAAGTTATTAAGTAATTATTAAACACTTAATATCTGTGATGCACTATGGTATATGCTATGTTATGTTATTTGATCCTTACCATAAATAACCCTGTGATAATAATAATGATGATTAGCAGCAGTCGTAGTATAGTATTATTATCCCCATTTTGCAAATGGGAAAGCTGAGACTAGAGATATAAAAATCCAGTTCAATTGTACATAAATAGTAAATGGCAGAGCTGGGATTAATACTCAGGCCATCTGGCTCTTAATCAGTGTTTGGTTTGTTTGTGTTTCACAGATTACAATTAAGTAAAATTTCCCCAAACAGTCCTGTGATTTCATTAGATAGATTCTTCAAAGTCTTGTTCTCCTATTAGAGAAAGACTCTGTAGACACTTCTTAGAACTATGCAGCCTTTGGATGTACTCTTAAAATGAGAGGTGACTTTTCATTCCTCTCACATAAATGGATTGAGGCCTTAAAAGTCTGCCATGAGTCTGCAAAAACAATCCCAGCAATGGGGGTGGGGAAGCAAGTTTCTGACACCCACAGTAGAGGAGTTTTCTTGGTTTTGTGAGTTTCTACAGTCCTGGGTTGCTAGAACCCCCTGACTCCTCAGAACTGAGGTATGACCTGAGCAAAGAGGAAAGAGTGACAAAGACTAGGAATGCTACCGAAGATAAACTACCAGTCAGGGAGCCTGGCCTCCTCCAGATCCTCTGCCAGATTTTGCTTTTATAAATTATTTCTACTTCTACCCACTAATTTTCCAATTCTAGATTCCAAACCAGCCATTTAGTGAGCATTGAACTCCCAACGCCTCCTTTCATGGGTCAGGGTATTGGAAATGCTGTCGCTGGCTTAGAAAAGAGGACACCCCACAGTGTCTACTATTCTGCACTTGCTTTTTCAAAGGCAGAAAGTTGCTTAAGTACTTTCCCATTTTTTCCCCTTTCTAGTTATTCCCTGAGGTGAAAACTTGCAGACAATAACCTTTTTGCCTGTCACGTTCCAGTGTAAAACGTGCTGCTCAGAGACAGATATTTTTAAACTAACCCCAGCCTCCAACCTTGCCCCCTTTGTGTGATCATGTTTTGAGCTGTGAGGCTTCCCCACAATGCAGTTTTGTATATTAAATAGAATTGCATATGTTTTCTTTGAAATTCAATGCCTTATGATTAAAAACTTGTCTTGGACACTCTAGGTGGACTTGATTAAAATATATATGTTTATATTTTTACTGTTAGTTATTACTGAAAAAGGTAGTTTGCTGCACAAGTTGAGTTATATGTAAAATGCCTTGAGTATGGAGATAAAGCCCTCTTTGAGACATATAGAGAAATTCACATGGAGGTTTTAGATTTCCTTTAACAGTGACTGCTATCCCCCTGCATTTCCTTTTCCTGTCTGATTTCTCCAATCACAGAATAAAAACTGTCATTTTATAGTTTAGTTCAAAGAGGTGGGTAAAATGAAGCTGTCACTCTCTTTTCTCTCTCTCTCTCTGATGCACTTAACTTTGGGGTCAGTCCTCAGTGAAAATTAAGTCTACCAAATTTAGTTATGTAGATCCACTGAAGATTTGCAAGAGAAATAAACCAGATAAAACTAATTTGACTGGGGTAAAACATTCCAAAACCATTCCAAATTAGCACCCTGAAATATATGGGTTTGTAAACTGTTCTTTGTTCTGTTCTGTTTTTAAGTGGTTATCTGTAAGAAGCAGCTTGTGAGTTGTGAGAAGGAATTAAGAATTTGTGTTGTTCATCTCAGAGAGAGTCCATTTGGAAGAAAGTGACAGTAAAATCTACTTTGGGCAAAATTTTTACCAAATTATGACTTTAACAATCTCATTAATTTTAGTTCACTAGAGACAACAACTTCAAAATAACATCAATGAAATAACAACAGCAAAACTAGTCACTCAAACTTGATAATCACATCCTTTAACCAGCTTCTTTCATTGAGTTACATATCTGGAGACAATGTCATGTAAAAGGAAAACAGAAATGAAAGGGATACCTAGACATTTTTAAATGTCTAGGATGTTTTTAGTTTCTATGTTTTTTTAATTTGTGTTCATTCTATTTTAATTTTGGGAGTCTCAATGTTCATTTATCTTTCCCCAACATTTTATTACAGAAAATTTCAAAATACAGATAAGACGAAATAATTTTATGGTGCATAGTATCTACTCACCACCTAGATTCTACAGTGAACATTTATCTATAATTGTTTTATTATGGCTGGGTGCGGTGGCTCATGCCTGTAATCCCAGCAATTTGGGAGGCTGAAGCAGGCGGATCATTTGAGGTCAGGAGTTCCAGACCAGCCTGGCCAACATGGTGAAACCCCGTTTCTACTAAAAATACAAAAATTAGCTGGGTGTGGTGGTGGACGCCTGTAATCCCAGCTACTTGGGAGGCCGAGGCAGGAGAATCGTTTGAAACTGGGAGGCAGAGGTTGCAGTGAGCCGAGATCCCGCCACTGCACTCTGCCTTGGGCTACAAGAGCAAAACTCTGTCTCAAAAAAAAAAAAAAAAAGTGTTATTATTTATCGATCCTTTATCCATTCATCAATCCATTTCACTTTTTGGTGAATTTCAAAGTCAGTTGCTTATATCATTCGGCTTCTTAAACATTTCAGCCTGCATGTCATTAAATAGAGTTTAATATTTAACTCTTAATATTTGTTTGCCAACTAGCTGGTTTTTAAGACACTTTATTATTGCCTTATATTTGGGGTTCTTTACTGACATGTATCTCCCAGATTTTCTTATCTTTCTTTCACTATTTCTTCTCTCACCCTAATTGTCCCCAATCTCTCTTTTCTTTTCTAATTCTTTGTTACCTCCAGTTTTATTCCGCTCCTTTAGAAACAGTATTGTTCAGGTCAAATGTTATAGGTCACTGCTAAAAACTGAACTGTGTTTAGTAAAGATTACAGGTGGCTAAATCAGGGAGCTTGAGAGTCTGCTAGGCAAATGGAAAGGCCTGGGCTTTGTATAGTCAAAGTAGGCCTTGACTCCTTTCACCTTATGCTGAAGGTATTTACTTGGAAGATGGTTAAGGCAAAGTGCTTTTCCCAGGTCTGCAAAATTTGATATTCTAGTGCAGGCTTATATTTAGCTTTTAAATACAGCAGCAATTTTTCAGTGGTTTCACTCATACATCAGGGATGTTGCATGTCTGTGTGCAATGCGTACATTGTATGGTGTGTGTGTGTGTGTCTGTGTGTGTGTGTCTCCCAATCACATTTGGGGCCTCTGTGGCCTGCAATTCAACATGGGGTTTGTCACCAAGCCTCTTTAGACTTTCAGCTTTATTGGTGCCATTTTTTTAAAGTTTGTTTTGTTCCCTATGCTAATAAAGCTTGTCTCTGCCTCAATCAAAGCATATCATCTCTCCCTTTTTGTCTTGTAAGTAAGGCAGCAATCTGTTCTGTTTAAATGCTTCATCATCTTTGCTCTCCCCCTCCCTGTTTCCTTAGATTTTTGAGATTGTTGACTATTATGTAACAGATGGCCCAACAGACCTCCGACTCTTTTGCGGTGTTGGCCAGCTTGGCTCAGGAAAATAGCAGCACTGGAGTAAGTATTCCCAGGCATGGGACGCTCATGAATTTTAACTCCTCCACAACAAAGGAATTCAAAGAGCGTAAGAGCCAATCTATCAGGAGCTGAGGCAATTAAGAGACATAGGTTGGCATTCTGCTGAGGAGGATTCCCTTCCCGGGGTCTGAATATTTAGACTAGATTAGGTCAGCCTGTCTTTCATTCATCTCTGCCCTGCCACAAGGTATCAAAACAATGAAATGACTCAAAAACAGAAGCCAGTGTGTTTTTAGCTTTTAATTATAAAATGTGTGTATTGTTGTATAAGAATTCCATGGAGGAAGAGACCAAGGAGCCATAAAGATGACACCCCGATCTTGCCAAGGACAATTCCAGTGACAACCAGGAAGAGGCCACTGTTTCTGTTTCAGATTTGATTCCTGAGGCCCTGGTTTTTAGTTCTTTAGCCACCTCGAGGTTGGGCTGAGCACTCAGATTGTTTGTACTTTGGCGATTATTTCAGGGCATAAGGAGAGACCTACAGAGCAATGAGATGAGGAGATGGGGTGGTAGTTATTTGTCTGTATTTTAACTTAAAAAGTACATAAATGGACAAAGAAGAAAAATAGCTATTTTTCACAGTACCACCACTAGAAAATATTTTGGGCATATTTGCCTTTTCTCCTTTTTTTAACCCCATGTTTACGTTTTATTTTAACCTGCAAGCACTGCATATGCATTGTCTGTATTGTCTCTTTAAATAATGACCATTACAGAAGAAGCTGCACAGACTCAGCCCCTAAGCCCTCCAGTACCACCCAGTGCCATCTCCAGCGTTCTCTGGACCTCAAAGTCAGCCTATATTCATTTCTGAGTTTTCTGTGTATTGATGCTGCTTCTTTCTTTCTTTCTTTCTTTCTTTTTTAAAGAGATACATACGTCATAATTTTTTTTGGTCTTTTTGCTTTTACTTTTGGCCCCCTTTTTGCTCTTCTTTTTGAGCCAGCCACACATAAATCAATATCTTGAAATACTGTCTTTAATCATGTCTGTGAGAGAAGCAGAAGAATAGGGATGATTCTGTCTGTGCTCAAGCTTCCATCTGGAACATCCAGAACAAGAACTCTGAAGTTACTTTTTAACCTGGAATAATATGAATGGTGAAATCAAAAGTCAGTCTTTCAATTTACTGAATAACATTGTTTTAAAATGAAAGGAATTTATATGACATCTACATGTCTGGAAAATAGTATCCAATAACAATAATTATTATTATAATCTGGTTTAATAATGCGCTTTATTGATAAAGAAAATGAGGGCTAGAGAAGTGAACACTTCAGGTCATGCAGTGGATAAAGGGCAGAGCTTGGGCTAGAAGGTCTCATTTCCACTTTGGTATTATTTCTTTTTGTTTGTTAGTAAAGTATGATATTCAATTATGATACTTAGTGCTGGATTCTGTGGGGAATGAAAAGAAAACACAAGACAAGGGCACTGTTCTTGTAAAGCTGAAAATCTACCAGATAAACTTATATGACACCATCGAGAACAATACAGATACATGATGGTGCTAAACTGCATGATATTGATGGTAGGGGAAATAAGAATTCTACTAAGGTAGAGGGTTAACACTGTAGAGAAGTTTGATTTTGAGATGAATCTTGAAGAATAAAATTGTGAAAGGATAGCAGGGGATGTGTGGATGCAAGAGAGAGGCCAGAGGGTGAGCAAGGCAAAGTGGAGCGTGAAGTGGCTTGGAAGGGTCAAAGGAAAGAGGCAGTCTGATTGGCTCCAGGGGTGTGCCAGGACATCAGCTGAAAGTGAAACTGAAGTGAGAACAAGAATGATGACATTGATTTCTCAGAAAGTGCAGAAATTTTGGTTTCTGACTGGTTTTCTACCAGGGATTATATAGTGTATTAGTGCATTCTCACACTGCTGTAAAGAACTACCTGAGACTGGGTTATTTTTGAAGAAAAGAGGTTTAATTGACTCAAAATTCCACAGACTATAGAAGAAACATGGCTAGGAGGCCTCAAGAAACTTACAATCATGACAGAAGGTGAAGGGGAAGCAAGCATGTCTTCACATGGCAGCAGGAGAGAGCGAGCGAGCAAAGGGAGAAGAGCTACACACTTTCAAGCAACCAGATCTTGTGAGAACTCACTCACTATCACAAGAACAGCAAGGAGGAAATCCGCCCTCATGATCCAACCACCTTCCACCAGTCCCCTCCCCTGTCTGTGGGGATTACACTTCAACATGAGATTTGGGTGGGGATACAGAGCCAAACCATATCATGCAGCTTCCAGAGAAAGAATTTCTAGTGAGCATCTCAGAAAGGGATTTTTTTAGTTGATACAAATATCTGTACATATTTATAGGTTACATATGTGACATTTTGTTAAATGTACTGACTGCATAATGATCAAGTCAGGGTTTTGGGGATGTCCATCACTTCAATTATTTATTATTTCTATGTGTTGGGATCATTTCAAGTCTTCCTTTCTAGCTATTTTGAAATATACAATACATTGTTGTTAACTATAGTTATTATACTCTGCTATCAAACATGAGAACTAATTCCTTCAATCTAACTTTATGTTTGTACCCATAACCAACCTCCTTTATGCCCCCACCCCCACACACCCTGCCTGGCCTCTCATGTCTATCATTCTACTCTCTACCTCCAAGAGATCAACTATTTAACTCCTACATCTGAGTGAGAACATGCAGTATTTGTCTTTCTCTGCGTGGCTTATTTCAATGAACACAACGCCCTCCAGTTCCATCCATGTTACTGAAAATGACATGATTTCTATGTTTTATGGATGACTAGTATTCCATTCTGTATGTATACCACATTTTCTTTATCCGTTTATCTTTTGATGGATACTTAGGTTGATTTCATGTCTTTGCTATTGTGAATAGTGCTGTGATAAACATGGGAATGCCAGTATCTCTTTGATATGTGATATGTGAATTTCTTTTCCTTTGGATAAATGTCCAGTAGTGAGACTGAAGGATTGTATGGTAGTTCTATTTTTAGTTTTTTTTTAGAAATCTTACTGTTTCCACAGTGGCTGTATGATTTACATTCCCATCAACACTCTGAGTTCCCCTTTCCTGACATCCTTGCCAGCGTCTGTTTTTTTTTTTTCTTTTTAAAAATAGCCATTCTAAGTAGGAATGGGATGATATCTCGCTGTGGTTTTGATCTGCGTTTCCCTGGTTACTGATATTGAGCATATTTTCATATATGTGTTGGCCATTTGTATGTCTTCTTTGGAGAAATGTCTATTCATGTCCTTTGCCCACTTTAAATGGTATTATTTATGTTTTTACTGTTGAGTTGTTTGAATTCCTCATATATTTTGAATATTAGTTCCTTGAATGAATAGTTTGCAAATATTTTATTCCATTCAACAGGTTGTTTCTTAACTCTCTTGATTGTTTCCTTTGCTGTGCAGCAGCTTTTTAGTTTAATATAGCTCTATTTGTCTATTTTTGCTTTTGTTGCCTGTGCTCTTGAGGCCCTCATCTTTGCCTAGACCAGTGTCCTGGGGTGTTTTCCCCATGTTTACTTTTAGTAGCTTTATAGTTTTGGGTCTTACAATTAAGTCTTTAATCTATCTTTCATTTATTTTTCTAAGTGGTGAGAGATAGGGGTTCAGTTTTATCATTTTGCATATGGCAATCCAATTTTCCCACAACAACTAATTGAAGAGAGGGTGTCCTTTCCCCAATGTATGAGGTTGACACCTTTGTCAAAAAGTGGTTGACTGTAAACATATGGATTTGTTTCTGGATTGTGTACTCTGTTCCATTGTTTGATGTGTCTGTTTTTATACAAATATCTTGCTGTTTTGGTTACTATAGCTTGTAATATATTGAAGTCAGGTAGTCTGATGCTTCCAGCTTTTTTATTTTGCTCAGAATTGCTTTGACCATTTAGGTTATTTTATGGTTCCGTATACATTTTAGGACTGTTTTTCTATTTCTGTGAAAAATTATATTTGTATTTTGATAGGAATTGCATTGAATCTATAGATTGCCATGGGCAGTGTGATCACTTTCAATTAATATGGAAGATATTAATTATCCCAATCCATGAGCATAGAATGTCTTTTGATTTGTTTGTGTCCCCTTCAATTTCATCAGTGTTTTGTAGTTTTTTTCTATGGAGGTTTTTTATACCCTTGGTTAAATTAATTCCCAGGCATGTTATATTTTATATAGCTTTCTTTATTTCTTTTTCAGCTAGTTTGTTATTGGTGCATAGAAATGCTACCGATTTTGTATATTGGTTTTGTATCCTGCAACTTGCTGAATTTATTATCAGACCTAAGAGGTTTTTTTGTGAAGTCTGTAGGTTTTTCTAGATAGAAGATTATGTTCACTGCAAAGAGGAATAATTTGACTTCCTCTTTCCCAATTTGGATGGTTTTATTTTTGCCTCTTGACTGATTGCTCTGGCCAGGACTTCTAATACTATGTCAAATAAGAGTGAGTCTCTTGTCTTGTGTCAGATCTTAGAGGAAAGACTTTCAGTATTTCCACATTTAGTATGATGTTAGCTGTGGGTTTGTCATACATGGCCCTTATTATGCTAAAGTATGTTCCACCAATGTCTAGTTTGTTGAGAGTTTTTATCATGAAGAGATGTTGAATTTTATCAAATGGTCTTACTGTGTCTGTTGCAATAACCATACGTTCTTTGTCTCTCATGCTATTGATATCAGGTATTACATTTATTTATTTGCATATGTTGAACCATTCTTGCATTTTTAAGATAAATCCCCCTTGGTCATGGTCTATTATTTGTTTGATGTACTGTTAGATTCAGTTTGCTAGTATTTTGTTGAGCATTTTCACCTCTATGTTTACATTCAAAATTGTTATTGATATGTGAGAGTTTATTCTTGTCAGTCTATCAGTTGATTCATGGTTGTTTTGTATCTCCTTTGTTCCTTCTTTGTCTCATTGTTAATCACTGTGGTAACATCTATGATGGTAACATTTGAGTCCTTTCTCTTTCTTTTTCTTTTTCTTTTTTTCTTTTTGAGATAGTGTCTCACTCTGTTGCCTACATTGGAGTGGAGTGGATCAATTTCGGCTCACTGCAACCTCCGCTTTGGGGCTGAAGCCATCCTCCCACTTCAGCCTCCTGAGTAGCTGGGACTACAGACACCTGCCACCATGCCCGGCTAATTTTCTTTGTATTTTTAGTAGAGATAGGATTTTGCCATGTTGCCCAGGCTGGTCTCAAACTCCTGAGCTCCAGTGATCCACCTGCGTCTATCTTCAACAGTGCTGGGATTACAGGCATGAGCAAACCTGCCCAGCCTTTCTCTTTCTTAATTGTGTGTTTGATCTACCAGTAGGTTGTATACTTTTGTGTGTTTTCATGATGATACGTATTGTCCCTTAAGTTTTTGCTTGTCTAGGAAAGACTTTATTTCTCCTTAATTAATGAAGGATAATTTTGCTGCATATAGCACCCTTGGCTAGCAGTGTTTTATTTTTTTTATTTGTTTTGTTTTGTTTTTTAGCTTTTGGAATATGTCATCCCATTCTCTCATGACCTATAAGGTTTCTGCTGAGAAATACCCTGTTAGCATGATGGGGGTGTCCTCACAAATAACTAGACACTTTTCTTCATGTTTTTAGAATTTCCTCCTTGTCTTTGGCTTTTGACAGTCTGTCTATCATTTGCCATGGAGAAGAAGTTTTTGCATTTATCTATTTGAGGTTCTCTGGATTTCCTGTGTCTGGATGTCTAAATGTATTTCTAGACTTGGGAAGTCTTCAGCTACTCTTTTCTTAAATAGGTTTTCTAATGCTTTTCTCTTCACCTTCTGGGATGGCAAAATTTTGATTATTTGATCACTTTATGGTGTCTCATATGTCTTATAGGCTTTTTTCATTCTTCTTAATTCTTTTTTCTTTATTTTTGTCTGACTGAGCTATTTCCAAATACCTGTCTTTAAGTTCTGAAATTCTTTCTTCTGCTTGATCTACACTATTGTTGAAGATTTTACATGTATTTTGTATTTCGTTTAATGAATTTTTCAGTTCTAGAATGACTCTTGGTTCCTTTTTATGGTATCTAGCTCTTTGATAAATTCATCATTCTTATCCTTAATTATTTTTCTAATCTCTTGGTATTATTTTTCCTGTATTCTCCAGTATTAAACTGAGTTTCTTTAATATCAATATTTTAAACTTTTTACTTGGGACTCCATAAATTTCTTTTTGTTAGGAATCTGTTGCTGGAGAACTATTGTATTCCTATGGAAGTGTCATGTTTCCTTGATTTTTCAAGTTTTTTGTGTCCTTACACTGATATTGGCACTCAGGTATAACAGTCACTTCTTTCAATTTTTAAAATTTGTCTTCATGGGCAAGAATGTTTTCCTGAAGAGGTATCTATGATATTTATAGTGTTGGTTGGGTCAGTGCATTAGTTCATTCTCATGCTACTAATAAAGACATACTTGAGACTGGGTAATTCATAAAGGAAAGAGGTTTAATTGACTCACAGTTCCACAGGGCTGGGCAGACCTCAGGAGATGTACAATCATGGCAGAAGGGGAAGCAAACACATTATTCTTCACATGACAGCAGGAAAGAGAAGAGAGGTGAGTGAAGGGGGAAGCCCCTTATAAAACCATCAGATCTCATGAGAGCTCACTCACTATCATGAGAATAGCATGGAGGAAACTGCCCCCATGATTCAATTACCTCCCACAGCATCCCTTCCACCACACGTGGGGATTACGGAAACTACCATTCAAGATGGGATTTGGATGGGGATGCAGCCAAGCCATATCAGTTGGGTACTTTGACTTTGATTCTGGCTGTGTGCAATAGTGTAGTCTTCATATGATTTCTTTGGCTGTAAACAATGTCAGTGGTATCTGTGGTTTTTGTTTGTTTGTTTTGTTTTTTCAGTGGCTTGGGGTATGGTTGTTAATGGAGGCAGTGGTGAAGTTTTGCTAGAGACAGGGATGCCAGGTGAGTCCTTGGGCCCCAGTAGTGACAGCAGTGAGATGAGCATGCCTGTTCTTGGGCAACAGGTTTCATAAGTTGGCATTGGTGTTAGTGAGTCCAAGGGGATAGATTTTTGGGCTCCTGGCAGCTTGCTTAGGTGCCAGTAGTAACAATAGTGGACTGGGTAGGTGGGTGGGTTCTTAAGCTTCTGGGAAGTGGGTGTGTCATGGGTGATGGCAGTAGCAGTGGAGTGACTAACCTCTGGATCCCAAATGTTGGTGTTAGAAGTGGTTGTGATGGGTTGAGCAGGCCAGTCCCTAGGCCCTTAGGTTGTGCCTACAGATGGGAGCCCGCTGTGGTGGTAGTAGCAGGTTGGATGAGCCTAACCTCAGGTCCCTGAAGGGAATGCTCAGGTGCTAACAGTGGTGTACTGGGCTGAACAGTCCCCAGGCACCCAGTCCCCACTCAAGCACTGGAGAATGGGGAGAAAAGGGCAAAGCCAGCCCAGTCAGACCTGTCCTGAGGCCCCCAGGTGTACATGCAGGCACTTACTATGGTAGGCAGGGGAAGGTGAGCCTCAGGCCCAAGGCTAAATGCTTAGGTAGTGGCAGTAGCAGCTGAGCAGCTCTGCTACTGGGGAGGGTGGGGCTCCTTTCAGTGGCAACAGACTTATGCCAGACGTTTCGGGGAATGTGTACTTCATTTGAGCTTTGGCCCCAGCTGCGGTAGCGGTGGCTGCTGTGGGTGGGTGAGTTTGTCCTTGGTGCACATGAAAACATGCAGTGGCTACACTGCTGAAGGCAATGAAATCTTTACTAATGGTTCATGCTTCAGCTCTGAAGGTAGCAGCCAACCTTGGTGGTGACTGCAGGCAGGAAATGTCAATGGGGCTCCAGAGATGTGGAGATGCAGGTGCTGTTGTAGCCTTAGAGAATATGCAGTCTGGTGGGAGTGGGGATCTCAATATAGCCTCTTGCTGTGGCTGCTTAGGGCTCAGATAGAGTCTGGGACCCAGCATGAGTTCCATCTCTGGAGCAATGTCTTCACATTGTCTTGAGGCAACTCCCTATGTTAGTTATGAGGCCTGCTGAGGTCAAGGGGCTTTCCTGTGGCTAAGATGCAGTAGTGTGTGGTGGGAATATGGACCACTGAGGGTCACTCATCTACTTTTTCCCATGTTAGGGAGCCATTTCAGGACCCCAGCCAAGCCCTGTAGAGTAGGCTGCCTCTCTTCCTTCTCCTTCATTGCTTTAGGTGTTTGCTATCACTTTTCGGTTGAATTCCAATATTCTGTTAGGTGATCTATTGGAAATGTGATTACCTACCTGCTAATTCAGTTCTTATTTGTAGGGCAGGTGCCTACCAGATGCCTCTAGCTGGCCATCTTGAAGTCATGTGTCTCAGAAAAGGATTATATCTAATACTATTCACCCCATTCTGCCTCAAATATTTGAGGAGCTGGACAAGAAACATATACGTCTAACTCATATTTAGCTCCTTCTTGATAGACGGTTTGAAGTGTGACTTTCTCAGTATAACTCACCATCATCATTATCACTAGCATCAAAAACAGTATTATCCACCACCACTACCCCAACCAACATCACTCCTTCGCTACCACTACCATCAGTAACATCACCCCTACTGACAACATCACCCCATCACCACCAACACCATTATCAATAACATTACTCCACGCACTAACATCACTCTTACCCAACAACAACATCACCCCTCAACAACATCATCCAACAACATTACCCCACCATCAAGAACAATATTACTGCCACCACTATCAGGAGCAACCTGCCATCATAGCCCTACCCAAATGACTATAACTTTCCAACTCCCTGAGGAAAAATATTCAGAGGGGAGTCTTTCTTGATTGGTTTCTTGTTGATTTCTATTGAGAAAAAAAATATTTAGAACAGTGAAAATAATTCAGATAATTCAAAGAATCTTGGAAGTTCGAAGAGATATGGGGCTTTACCTCAACTACAGATGATTCTATTAAAACCGTCAAAGGGAAAATCTGACAAGCTATACTATGTGAAGGTAAATAAAAATAAACACATTCCCAGATTGTGGCTTTTGGATTGGAATGCAGTTTGGGGCTGAAAAAGCAAGAGCTTGCAAGACAATTGATTAGAGAAATATAGTAAATTCATAATTTTTAACAAGCAAAAAGCCAAGACTGATCACATTTTTGCATCAGGTTTTATATATATTCCTCAAAAATTCAGAATTCTTCTCTTCCTATATAAATTTTCAAGGACACCAAATAATTCACCAGTGCCTCACAATTATTTCTAATTCAGGAAATTTTAGTCTTCTCTTGTAATAGATGCAATACTGTGGCATAGGTTCCACTTTCACCTGTTTTAATATTCTGTAACCATTACTCCCACTAGGACACCCGCCACCATCTACTTTGGGTACCCATGTAGGCAGCTGGAAATAGCAACCTGATCAGCACAAATTACTGGATTCTGACTTTGCTTCAGAATCAGCTGAGAATTGTCAGTACAGAGAAATTCTTTCTAGAGAGGTTGTGTGGTACACGGGCAAGGGTGTTTGTGTGGGTATACGTGGACCAGATTTTTATTGTGGGTACACCATTGACTAGTTGGTAAGTGTAGGGGACAATGCAACAACCTACTCAGGTTTTCTTCAGCTGCCAGCCTCTATAGAGATTGCAGCAGCAGCAGAAAATTGGCAGACACAAGGTCACACAGCCTTCCAGGATCAGTCCACATCCAATGACCCATCACTGTGAGGTGATGAGGCTCAGCCTCCTGACGTACTCAGGGTCATTCTACCTACGGAGCTCCTGGGCTTGGTGGAGGCTGCCATTGAGCCTGCACCAAGCTTCACTCTTGCTTTTGCCAAACCCTGCTTCCTTCCTCTCCCCTCCATGGGTGCTGAACCACAACCTACTCCCTAATGAATGACCTGCACACTAACCTTTCCCTTAGAGTCAGCTCCCTGGAGGAACCAACCTGGGACAGTGACACTGGTCTTCACTTTCAGCCTGAGATTATTCTTCCAATTCAAAGGGCTGTTGTAAGGATCAAATGAAATAGTTCAATAAAATCTTTTTGAAAACCACAATGCAAGTGTTGTTTTCCTTTTATTAGAATGATGATTAAAGATAAAGCCTCAGTCAAGCCATCTAGTATGGAATTTTTAGAATATGGTCTCTGAAGGCAGACCAACTTGGCTTAGTATCTCTACTTCACTACCTATAGCTATATGACCTCAGAGAAGCTATTTTCCTTCACTTCATCTCTCCTCTTGCCTCTGTAAATTGAAGACAGTAGTAGTAGTTATTGAATTGTTTTGCTAATCAGATGAGACATATTATTTAAAGGGCTTGGTACAGAGGTTGACTTGGAGACAGTGCAGCTACAGTGTCTGCATCTGGGGGTAGCAATTATAAAACGCCAGGTGCCAACATATTTCTGGAAATGAACAATGCAAATCTTTGGGATAGGCAATTTTTCCATGGGAGAGGGATGGGAAAAATATTCAGGATTCTAGCTAGTTGGTATCCTTGATGTTATCCTGGAAATTTGCATGGGTTCTAGGGATGAAAGGAAGGCAGGAAAAGGTCTACACACATATGGAAGACAGAGAACTGATCAGGTCAAGGAGCAGTAGTTGGTAACAGATGTCTCCACAATATGGGCATGGAATCTTTTGGACCAGGATAAGCTGGAAGGCCACTTAGTGCCAAAGGCTGGGTTGCAGGATTAAAAGACATATTTAGCTTTCTGGAGTATGGAGGACAGTGAAGACTGGGCTAGAATGCCCTCCAATGTTATCTGGGAAAGTGTGAATAGAGAAAAACATGCCTTAAATGAGTGTTTAAACATAAGAGAGAGATGTCATAACAAAGGGGAAAGAGGGACTTTGAATTTTGAGTGAAGTTATAAAAAGGCAGAAGAATAATCACTTCAGATGAGCTTGACATGTAAGAAGGGTTGTTAAAGTAATACGTTGGTTATCTGACTTACTGATTGGGAAAACTTTGGGAGGTGAATTGAATACACCAATGAAGTAAATCCAAGGAAACCCCACCCCATCCATTTGGGTTTCTTCTACTCAAACTTCCCCTCTTTCATATCTTTCCTTTTACCTAACTCAGCTCTGGGCAAGTTCCAGGGTCAACAGGCCCTGACGTCACTTCATTCCATGTAGCATAACACGCTGGGATCATGTGCAAAGTTTAAAAAATCAATAGTCATTCCTCCCATATCAGTTCATAATCTCTTTCCCTGTAGTGCCAAGCACTCCCCTGGGCCTTGCTTCAGCAGTTTCTCTCTCTCCGTGTTTCTACCCTCTAGTCCACAGTTCAGTTTTTGGTCTTCAAGCACAGCTTCCAGGAATATAGCATGCAGTCACAGTGCTTACCAAAGATCAAAGATAGAGTGGTTGAGACAGATTGCTGAGAACACTGATGACTGACAGATGCACAGGAAGGCCACCCACTGCTCCTGAGGTCAATTTGGATGATATGGCTGGGTGCTGCCTCCCTTTCCCCCACCCTCTCTGTATCATATGCCTCAGGTTCTGCAGTCAGGCAGCCAGGATGATCTTCCAAAAAAGAAGATAATATTTCTTCCTTCAAGAGTGTGTAAACAGCAATCTTACCCTCTAACAAGCTAGTAATTCATTTGTAGAAATAGTTTCAAGATATATTTTAAATCTCACAGTCTATTAGGCTGACTAATAACTTATCATCTGAAAAGACTTTATTGAGTGATCAGAATAATGGAAATAATGACAATGATGATGATGAAAATCACTCCATGTATTGAGTGCCTACCATACATCATGCCCTGTCCCTAGCACTTTATATACATTATCACCTCTAAACTTTACAACAACCATGCAAGGTACTGTTGTTCCCATTTTAAAGATGAACAGTCAGGTCTCTGGAAACTTCATGCATTTGTCCAGTAAGACACAAGAAATATTTGCAAGGTTTAGAACAGTGCTTGGCAAGTAGGAAGTACTGAGTTTGCTAAATCAAAAATAAATAAAAATAAAATAATGTGTTGCAAGATTAAACTTTAAACCCACTTCTCTAACTGCAAAGCCAGTGCCATTTCGGCTGTACCACATTGCTCCCCCTCCCCCCATATAATGGTGCCGGTTCTGTGGGCTGCCCTGAGCCAGGTGCAGGGCAGGAAAGGGCAGGGGAAAGTATAAAGATTTATAAAGTCAGTAGCCTTTTCTTCTTTCTTCCCCCTTCCCTTCTTTTCTCTCTTTGCTTTTTCTTTCCTCTATTCCATGCTTTCCTTAGCAGGTACCAAGGACTTCCCATATTTTGGGCTCTAGGATGGGCAACTGGGAAGCATGATCCCTCCCCTCAAATTGTTGGTGGTTCCTGAATTTAACTGGAGAGTTGAGATGAATACACAGAAAAGTATACCATAATAAAATCAAATGAATTACAATTATCTTAAGTGATGTGATACCAACTAGAAGTATTATAGCCATTCAGAAAAAGGAGGAGAAAGGCTAGTCAAGAATTAAGAGGCAAGAAGAATGTGACTCTTTAAGGGCAATCTTTCCTATTTAGGTATCATTTTATATTAACTTCTCTGATTCTGAAAATAATCTAGTGCTATTTTCAAAAACATTTAAACCACATAAAAATATAAAGGAGCAAAGACAAGTCAAACAAAGAATGTTCTCGTAAGTACTATAAATATAGATATATATTCATATGTATCAAGGTTTCTTAACTTCAGCATTATTAATATTTTGGTCCAGATAATTATGTGTCGTAGGGAGGTGTCCTGTGCATTGCAGGATATGTAGCAGCATCCCTGGCCCTACCTGTTAGATGCTGTTATTACCACCCTGTCCAGTTGTGACAAACAAAATATGTCCTCAGATACTGCCTAATGTCCACTGATTGAAGAGCTAAATTGCCCTGGGTTAAGAGTGATGATCAATCTCTCTCCCTCTTTCTCTCTCATGTATGTATGTATGTACATGTGTACATATATACACACACACTTCTATTTTCATTCCATGCATTTTTTTATGCAAGCAATATACTCTTATATGTAAAAATTTGATCATGTTATAGACCACAGTTTTGTAGCCCATTTTTGTGTTTGGGTAATAGCACGTGAATAATTTACTAGGTATTTTGCATGAATGTTGCATTTTATGCCTAGTATTAGAGAACACTGCATTTTAATCCCATACCATTAACATATTTAGGTTATTTCTAAACATTTTCAAAGTATAAGAAACACAACAATTAGTATTCTTATGCAAAAAACTTAGTGATATTTTCTGATAAACTTCCAGAAGTGGCATTTCTTGGCTGATGACCTTTGTAGATTTTGCTATTTTTCTTCCAGAAAGGTCATGCCATCAAATGATGCTCCTCCTGGCTCTATATGACAGTGCTGAATTCTCCACATATCATCTTCAGCAGTTGGTGTTAGCAATATTTTAAATCTCTGATAATCTGACAAGTAAAACAAATAGTATCAAGTTACACATTTGAATTTTTATCGTGAGACTGATCATCTGTTTGAATATTTTTAACTATCTGCATTTCTTATTTTAGGAATTGTATTCAATGTTCTTTGCTTATTTTCATTTGGATGCCATTATTGAGCACCTAGCACTCATCATGCCCTTTATATAGTGATGTCTCCTTATCTGCCCCTCAGTAAACTTGATCCTATTTTTAGTTGTTTAGTTACTATTCAGTTATTTTATATTTTGTAGTTTTTGCGAACAGTCTTATTTCGGAAAAAACGAACTGTTATATAAGCATCTAACTAAGGCATTTTGACCACCTTTCTTAATATTGTCTCCTTTTTTTTTTTTTAGTTAACTTCATGAGGTTTTCTATCATGTCATCTGCAAACAAGTTTGCGTCTTCCTTTCTAATATTTACACACCTTCACATTCTTGAACCATTACATTGATTGTAATTTCCAGAAAATATGTTGATAACAGCTCTCATGGTGGGCATCTTCTCTTATTCCTGACATTAATAGATCTGAAACTAACATTTTACCAGTGGGAAGGATTATTGTAATATATTTAGATAAATCTTTGTTGTATTAAGAAGTTACTCATTCCTAGTTACAATATGGGCTTTTCTCAGTATTTTTAGAACCAGTAATGGACTTTCAAATCTTTCAAGCTCTTCCCAGAAGTGACACGGAAAATGCCAGAGCTGTCAGCTTTCCTGGTGGTGAGCTGTCTTGGCATCATTTGTTTTCTGCTTTCAATAAAACAACCATGTCTAGGAGGTTAGTACTAATGGGACCTGGCCTTTGTTTTGATCCAGTTTCCTGGGGCAGATACAGGCAGTGGCATTGCCTAGATTTCTTCCTTGTGCTGCCACCCTAGCCGGGACACAACTCCTGTTATGCCATAGTCAATTCCTGCCACCACTTTCATTGGGCATAAATTCTGAAGGCAGCGCAGGAATACCAGCAGTTTCCAATTGCACTCACTGCCCTGGAGGGAGAGCGCCATTTCCAGCATAGTAACTCTGAGTTAGGGCATTGCACCAAGATCTCCTGAACTTACATCCGAAGGTGCTGCTTATTTCCCCAAGATGAGAAATCAGGAATTGACAATGTCTCCTTCCAATGGTCTCTCATACTCTATTTCTGGCAGAAACATCTTAGTGTTTCTGTTATGGTGAAGACATTCTTTTCCAGTTTTCAGTGAGGGTGCTAGTCTCCTCACCTTTATTTCTGTATCATGTATGTGGTTTTAATGGGAGTTAGGAAAGATAGAAATGATCACTTGGGAACACATTGTCATCTGACCCGGGGTCCTCATCAATTGCCTGTTCATGGTAATTGGCCTAGTATTTCCAGTACAAAAAACATACATTTTGGTATACAATATAGAAATAAGTAAAAGAAGAATTCAGCTTTCTCTGTCAGCTGTCAGCATTAATAATGAGCAATGAACTCATTTCTTCCCTCTATCTTTTACACTTATATAGCTTTTTTAAAAAAATGCGCAGATTTTCCAGTGCTCTGGGTGTTGATCTTCTCTACTTATATATTGTGCATTCTTCAATTGTTCTTGCAACCATCTGAGCTCACAGGAGAGGGTCCTATGGAGTCTTGATGGTGATGTGGATACCTCCCTTTCTTCTTCCTGGACTGAGGTCATAGATAATTTTATTGGCAATATTTTGGTTTTTTTAGTATCACCTCTGGATCTTGGATTATTTTCAAGTTGGAGTTTCTGGCTTTGGGGTCTTAGCTTACCTTTTTTTAAAAAGCTGCCTTTTTCATATCTAAGCTGCTACTAACTTACAGTGAACTAATTCAGTCTGTAGGCTTTCTCAAAAGTCTTTTTTGAAAAGGACCAAAAAACAGAATATGAAA
The DNA here is from genome assembly GCF_000001405.40 of Homo sapiens. Taxonomy (NCBI): domain Eukaryota; kingdom Metazoa; phylum Chordata; class Mammalia; order Primates; family Hominidae; genus Homo; species Homo sapiens. The sequence continues at coordinate 103,125,133 of NC_000012.12, read as the reverse complement.
GAATGGTGGAGTCCAAATCACCATGAAATTTATATAAACAAAACATTTAGAAGATATTTTTCTTGAGCCTCTCAAATGACAGCTCATAGATGAAAACCCATTTTACCAACACATACTGACTCTCAAATATCAGTCTATATCTGTTAATATTCCAACTGTTTGAATATAATGCTTTCTGATAATGAATTAAAATGTGTGTATAAAGGTCAATAAAGGATCAACTGCATACTCTTAGCACTGGATATAACCATATATAAATAACTTCAGTCTGAAGTTACTTCTAAGTGCCCTCGGTGTTTGTATCTTGATTGTTTTCAGATACTGTATTGCCCAAAATAGTCTTTGAGAGTTCTGATAGCAGGGTCTGTTTATAGATATAAGATGTGTAGTGTTAAGTTTACCCAAGGATCTGGAGAGGCACTGGGAGCTGCCAATGTCCAGAGACTATATGATACCAAGGCCCCTCTCTGTCCTTCTCAACCTGCTGGTTGATGGTGATGAGTTTTCTGATCTGTATCCAGGCAGCCTGCTACCACCGCAGATCCATCTCTTATCCCAGCATAGGAATTCAATAAATTTTAGTTTCTTCGTTCCCACTCTGTGACCAGGCCCTGAGGAAATCAAAACCAGCTTATCATGTGAACAAGGATCTCTTGGAGTCCTGCAGAATTATAAACAACCCATCCAGGTTCTAGGGGTCACAATGGGTAAAAACCCTGTAGCCAGAGATACAGAGATGGCCCTATTGTGAGCAGAGCCACCATCAAGAAAGATCTCCATTTCTTCAGGGAGAACCTTGATGTCCCAGCCATGGTACACACTTTTCTGTGGACTTTCCTGTGCTTCAAATACATCTATAATGAGGGACACCAGATGTGAGGATGGAACAGACCTCTAAAGGACAAAATGTTACATCTGGGAGCAGGGCCACTGAAACCTGTTTCCATAAAAAAAAAAAAAAAAAAAAAAAAAAAAAAAGCTTATGTTTGGATTAGACCAAATGTGGATCAATTAAACTACAAATTAAAGAGCTTTTGAATATCCATGAATTACATTCTTGATACAGAGTCTTCTTATCATGACCACAGGGTAAGAGTTTCAACCACTTGCTGGGGATTCTTTGGCAGGTATTATTGGAACCTGGACTTCTTCAAGTAAAACGGAGATAAATTGGCATTTACCTTGAAGTGTTATATGGCTTAATGTCTGGGAAAGTGTTTTGCACACTCTAAAACAGTCCTACCCAATAGAAATGTAATGTGAGTACATGTGAGCCATGTGTATTATTTTAAATCTCTGATGGTTAATCTTTTAAATAAAAAGAAATAGGTAAAATAATTTTAATAATATATGTTAATATATTTAATATATATGCAATACATTATCACCTCAGTATGTAATCAATATAAAATTTATTAAAGTGATATTTTATAGTGTTACTATACTTTGAAATCCATAAGTAGTTTACAATTTCAATACATCTCAATCCATTTTTCAAGTGCACAATAGCCACAGGTGGCTAATGGCTACCATATTGGGAAACGTAAGTCTAAGCCTTAAACATAGGCTATCTTTCTTTCTTTTATGATTATGCTTTCTTTATCACCAAGCTCCTCAAATAGTCATTTTGATTAGGGAGTAAGGGTCTACTTTCTCAGGTCATGTTTTTTTTGCCTATTTCTCTTCAAATCAGATGCCTTTTCTGACCCAAAGTGGGGACAACCATGCATGAGATCACTCCAGAATTATCTTGGGAACGGAGTTCCTGCCATCTCCTAAAGCTCCCCAGCCTGCTTCTCACCCAGTCAGTCTGAGGATTTGAATGACATTGAAGCCTTCAGCACTCCCTACCTGCAATGGCTTGTCTGCAAACATTTGCCAACTGGCTGAATTTTTCCTTAGGTAACCTCTTCACTCTAGGATTGGTGTGGGTCACTAGCATTGCAAGGCAGGTGCTAAGCCCACACCGACCACGATAAATTCTCTGAAAATTCCAAAATTTTACTCTACTAATCTCCCCTGACTTGGATCAGTTTCTGTAGAAGCTCTTGTAAGCATCATTTCCAATTAAATATATCCAGAATTTAGCCACTTCTCATGACTTCACTACCAACAGCCTGATCCAAACCACCATTGTTTCTTTGTAGCAGCTTCATAATTATTCCCCCTGCCTCTGTAGCAGCTTCTTAACTAGTATCCCTGCCTTTTACCCTTGGCCCTCTTCATATATCCTCAACACAGCCATCAGACTGATATCCTGCTAGGATGCAAGGCAGCTCATGTGCCTCCTTTGCCCACATCCTCCAAGGACTCCCTAACTTATTCATAGTAAAAAGACAAAGTCCCTATATTGATCTGCAAGACTCTCCTGTCATAAACTCTCTGACACTCTTAATACCCAACTGCCCCTGCTGTAGACCTTGCTGTTCTTTAACCATACTGGGAAGGTTTCTAAGTCAGAGCCTCAGCCCTCACATTTCTCCTGCCCAAAATGTTCTTTCTGAAGATAGCTGTATGACTTGCTCTCCTACCTCCTTCAGATTTTTATAAAAATATTATTTTATCGGTGGGGTCTTTCCTGATAATCCTATCAAAATTGCAACTCTATACCAACACTCCCTATCATCCCTCCTTGTTTCATTTCTGTCTGGTTTACTCCTGAATTCCCAAAAGCTGTATAGTGCCTGACACATAGCAGATACTTAATAAATATTTGTCAAATGAATGAATGAATGAATGAATGAATACAATAATGGCTGAAACCTTACCCTAAATTGCCCATGCAGAAAGCCTATTGCTCTGCACATCAGGATTGTTAGCTCTCCTCCCTAATGAATTCTGAAATGCATTGGCCATGAACCCTACCACGTATCACTGCCTTTTCCTTTATAAAGTGGGGGAAGTAGTCACAGATGGAAACATGCAGAGAGAAGAGTTGGGGAAATGGAAAATCAAAGTTGTTTGCACCCTACTGACTCATTGCCTTGAGAGTTCAAAGCATTTCAAACTGCAGCCACAGTTCTTCCTCCAGCCTGGCCCCAACTCTGCTGTCTATTACCATCTAAATACTTTTTGCACTGCTGTTTCACAGAATTTTGCAGAAAAAAACAATAGTGCCATGGCTACCTTGAGCAGAGACAAGGGCTATGTCTATACATAACAAAATGAGGTAAAGGATAAGGCAATTTTTCACATAAGAAAAAATCAGAACCTATCATCTAAACTGCTTGTTCAACCTGAATAATCTCTAAAAAAATGTTAAAGTACTTGTGTTATTAGTCTTTCTTGCTGAGTTGAAATACAAATGACTTAGGTAACAAAATACAGTGATATAGATAAAGTCACAAAAACTAGCAGGGCCTAATCTTTTCATCTAGTCTGAATAGAATTTCAAACCCTTGGGAGTAGCAATTGTTGAACATCAGGGTCGTGTGAATCAGACTTCACACATGAGAAATACCTGAAAGTGAATGAGTGGAGGATCACACTCCTGTAGGATACTTGGGATGATGATAGCGTGGTCACTGGGCACAGCCCACCGGTGTTGGCCTACTAAGTCAGGTAATGAAGCTCTCTCTCTTCTCTGCATGCTGTCTATTCTTCCATGCCCAAATGGCACAGAAATCATGCAGACTAAGGACACTCCAATTTGATTCATCTCCGTGTTCCTGGATTTCATGGAAACTCCACTGAAACAACCTTCCTTTGCATACTGTCTTTCCTAAGACATTGCTGCCTCACTCCAAAGCCCCAAGGAAAGGCTTCTATTCAGCCTGCTGACCAGGACAAGTCAATGCCTCAGCTCTTCTCTTGTCTCTTCTCTGGTAAATCACAATCTGTAGTCATTTTTGAAATGAGAATTAAGCTTTTATTTTTAATAAATCAGTTCAATAACTGATTATTTTTACTTCTTTGAAGATCCATTGATTTTGAACTCTGCCTGAATGTGATAAAAAACAACATCGTCCATTATCATTATTTTAATATACATTTACCCTGGTTTTAAATTTCCACTCTATACAGATAAGGCATCTTGAGAACTATTTGAAAGTGGGATTTGAGTAAGTCTACATTTCTATCACTTTAACTGACTTAAATGATTTTGCCAGATTGGGTGTGCCAAGAAATTTAGGATTTTGACCACAGCACAAAGTATTTAATCCACTAATTCCAGAGCATTTGTGTTGGCTGAGGTTTTTGATGTAAATTACTTATACTTAGAAACCATCATCCTTATCTCTGTCAATCTGTGAGTATTCTACTATCTCTTCAAATCTTCAAATCCAGGAGTATAATAATAATTTTATTATAGTATATAATACATGTTATATGTTAAAAATGTATAAATCATATGGTATATATAATATACTATAATAGAATAATAATTATAGTAATAATCATTATTATAGTAATAACAGATATTATAGTAATAATAATCATAGTAATCATAATATAAGATAACTGATGTTTATTTCATTTAATTCTCACAAATACCCCATGATGTTGGTATTTTTATATCCCCATCTTATTGATAAGAAAAGTGAAGCATGGAGAAATAGATTTATGTTCCTTAAGTCAAGCAATTGACATATTAAGGCACCGGTATCTCCCTCCTCTTTCTCACCTCTGCCTCTGATGATTCAAGCATTCTTACCTCTAGCATGCTCTTGATCACTTCCCACACTGTTAGCACTGTTCATCCCATCCCTCTGCAAATGATTATCTCTTTACCTATGGCTATGTCCTTTTTGTTTATTCATTTTGCAAATCTGCTCTTTAGATTGATTCAAGTGTCTCCTCTTCCATAAGGCCTTCCACAATGCTCACATGCAGAAGTAATTATCTCTCCCAGTCCTCACTCTATGCTTCTATTATGTCTTATATGGGCTTCTATTATTGCACTTAACACATTGCCCCAAAACACTCCTTATCTGTCCCTTGAACTCAACTTCTCAACAGGGACCTTGTCTTATTCATATCTGTGTCTCCTATGCAGAATACAGTGCTCACCACATAGCAGGTGCTCCATAAAAGATTATTCATAAGTTAAGTATGTATGTCCTGGGAATACAAGAAATAGCTCTTCCATGTCTTTTTACTTCCCTGCCATCCCTTTTCCCCAGCCTCCAGTGCTGTGTGGACTCCTCAATTGATAATTCAGTGAGATGGCAGATTTCCTCAGAAGCAGAAGAAACCAAGAGTTGTACCACCATATCAAAGATCTTCAACCAACAGCAGGGCCAAAGGCCAAGCTTGGATTGAAATGGCAAAACTGACTGCCTAAGTCTTTATATCATAAAGGGCAGTGGTTGGCTTCGAGGTAAAAGACAAGAAATGGTGGCTTCATATATGTGCATAAATATATGTGAATTGAAGACTCTATCCCAATTTATTTACCTTTCCAATTAATATCTATTAAATGTTTCATATATGCCAGGTGTTGGGCTAGGTGCTCAGAATCTAATTTTTTAATGGTTAAAAAGTCAGATATAGTCCTTCTCCTCATGGGGCATATAGCTGATTGGGAGGAAGACAGACGCGGCACAATGATTCCATTCTCTGGAAAGTTATCTTGATCTGCCAGATCAGGAGCCCTTATCGCTTACAAGCCACTTACCACCACATTTTTGTCTGCCACCATAGCCTATTTCCTGAGCTCTTCCCCTAGGCATAGGTCCAGATACAGCCAAATACCTTTATTAGTGGATGTGCTCCAACTCAATGGGACAAAAATGAGGGGAAAAACTACATTGATAGCTGATAATCAACAGCTATTGAGTGGTTATTGCACACTAGGCCTTCTGCTCCTCCTTCTCATGTGTTATCTCATTTAATCATCACAATGACTGCTGAAGTAGATACTGTTATTAACCTCCTTTTAATAACAGTAATTATTAATAACATTTAAAAAGGTTAATAATGCATCCAAGATTACACAGCTAGTAAATAAAGAGAACAGTACTAAAATCCAGGCTGTTAGACCTCAAAGCCCATACGCTCCTAACCATTTAACTATACTGCTCCCTCCAGTGTCTAGTGGGAGCAGAGAAATCTGGCAAGTGATATCCGTGTCCATTTATCTTTAATTGTCTAAGACAAAACATTTTTGAGAGTGAAAGGAGAACTAATAATTACCGTAGGAGAGGAGATTAAAAACTTGGACTTTTTGGGCAACTTGGGGCATGTGGCTGCCCATTTTATAGGCTAAATCAAGGGCTAAATCTTTAAGAATGTGTGCATTTAAATCACAGAAATGTAAAGTATTAAAAACTTTAATTTCCATAAATTCATAAATCTAAGGCATACCATCTGATAGTATAAAACTAGTATTTTTTTTTTTTTTTTTTTTTTTTTTTTTTTTAGGCTGGAGTGCAATGGCGCAATCTCAGCTCACTGCAAGCTCTGCCTTCCGGGCTCACACCATTCTCCTGCCTCAGCCTCCCGAGTAGCTGGGACTACAGGCGCCCACCACCACGCCTGGCTAATCTTTTGTATTTTTAGTAGAGACGGGGTTTCACCGTGTTAGCCAGGATGGTCTCGATCTCCTGACCTCGTGATCCGCCCGCCTTGGCCTCCCAAAGTGCTGGGATTACAGGCATGAGCCACCGCGCCCAGCCAAAAGCTAGTATTTTCATAGTTTCAGGTGCTTAAAGAGATATAATACTTCCATATGTGAAAGGTCCATATGAATCTTGGACCATCTCTGATGGCTAATGGTGCTCATGCCATTAGTTAGTAGCAGAAGCTGAGTATGAGTTACCAGGGCTTGATGTTCCCCTCACACTCTCACCTTCCAATAGACAATTCAATTCATTCATCCATTCATTGTTTCATTCATTCATTCTTCAAAATATTTATTAAAGGTCTCCTTTTGGTGTGTGTACCAGGCACCGGAGATAGAAAGACATCAATAAGTCATGGTGCCTGTTCTCCAGATTTTTGCTGTCAAGTGAGGAAGGCAGGCACATACAGGATCATTGTAGTGGCAAGGAAAGTGCTAACAGTTCCCTCCAGGCATGAGCTGCCTTGAAGCTGGGGCCACGAAAACACTAGCTTACTTATTAGGATTATAAATTCATACCCCTCCTCTTACAAAGTTAAGGACACTTAAGTATCTAATGCTTCACTTTCCTCTTTGATTTATAATTCATAAAGCATTTTTACATAAATTATCTCATTTAATCCTTACAGTAACAGTGGAAAGTATGCTTAGCTTTCTTTGGTAGATGAGAAGAATGAACCTAAGTTTTCAAAGACTATGAGGCTAATAAGCTGGGGAGTAAGCATTTTAAACTTCAATGTTGTTATTTACAAATCAGAGCTATACTCAGGTTGCCTTCATTGAATATACTGGAAGGAAATAATAATCCAGAATCACATTACTCATCTTCACCTCTACCCTCCACCACTATGGAAAGCAAATCCAGTGTGCAAAATCAGAGAACTAGGTTTGAATTCAAACATTTTCACTTATTTAATTCTGGGGTTTCAGTTTCCTCACCTGCAGATGCAGATAGCAACAGGCAAAAACACTTCCCTCACTGCATTGATGTGAAGGTTAAACAAGGAAATGTAAGCAAAAGATCCATGGGGCCTGGAATGCAATAAGTAACCCATGCATAGATGGCAGCCATCGTTTAAATCCTGAGACAAGGTTTAAACAAAATTAAGTGCAAAGAGTCACACTGGATCTGAGACTGCTTCACTGAAAGAGTAGAGTTTGGAATTCTCATGGCAAAAAGGGCTAAACACTAAATATAGTTAGGGACAGCATGCCATTGTGAATATAATAGGGTCTATTAAACAAAATAAGCCAGAAACAGTATGTTAAAAACCGCACATTCTCACTCATGTGGAATCTAAAAAAATAGTGATCTCATGGAATTAGAAAGGAAAACAGAGGACACTAGAAGCTGGAAAGGCTGGAAAGGGTAGGAAGAAGGAGAGATAAGGAGATTTTGTTAAAAGATAAAACAAACTTACAGCTGGATAAGAGGAATAAATGCTAGTGTTCTATAGCACTGTAGAATGAGTGTGGTTAACAATAATATATTTTGTAGTTTCAAATAGCTAGAAGGAGGATACTGAAGTTCCCAACACAAAGAAATGATAAATATTTGAGATGATGGATATGCTAATTACCCAGATCTGATTACTATATATGTATGGAAACAAATGTTTCCCTATGTATCCCATAAATATGTACAATTATCATATGTCAATTAAAAGATAAAATTAAATTTAAAAAAGATTAGGCAAACCTAGATTTGAATCTGGTCTCTGACATGCACTCACAGTGTGATCATAAGCAAGGTACTTTATCTTTCTGAACCTCATCATTCTCAGATATGAAATGGGGAGAAAAATACCTTCCTACAGTGAAGACTACAATAGATAAAGAACCTAATGAGACTCAGTGAGGACGAGAGACTGAGATTTTCATATGTCTTGTTGAATCCCTAGCATGTTGCACAGTGCCTCCATGCAGCAGCAAATGTTCACTAGCTAAATTGGTGAGAGTACTTTGTTGGCACAGGGTGAGTACACAATGAATACTCACTGTTTTTTATTAACAACTCTTGCTGGAATTAGACATTTGGGAAACATGGCAGGGAGAGGCATATTGCAGTGTCAGTGAACGACTAAGATTGGCCAGGAATCTCTATGACACACTGACAGACCAAGGCAGGTTCCCTATCTTCCCAAATTTATATATATATATGTATATGTATACATATATATATATATATATTTTTTTTTTTTCTTGGTGAGATGGAGATTTACTCTTGTTGCCCAGGCTGGAGTGCAATGGCGTGATCTCAGCTCACCGCATCCTCTGCCTCCCAGGTTCAAGCGATTTTCCCGCCTCAGCCTCCCGAGTAGCTGGGATTATAGGCATGTGTCACCACGCCTGGCTAATTTTGTATTTTTAGTAGAGACGACGGGGTTTCACCGTGTTGCCCAGGCTGATCTCAAACTCCTGACCTCAGGTAATCTGCCCGCCTTGGCCTCCCAAAGTGCTGGGATTACAGGCGTGAGCCACTGCGCCCGGCCCCAAATTTATATTTCATCAGGAGGCAAAGGACACGTTGATCAGCTCCCCATTTTGGCAGTAAAAATTTGCTCCATTTGACTCTCCTTATCAGAGGTGCAATAATATGTTCACATATCGATCCATTGTTTCACAAATGTTCTTTGATAACCCAAACGCCAAGTCCAAAGCACCCCATGACTGAACTCATGCTCATGTGCTACTGTGCAGATGATCTAGACCAAATCAAGCTACAGTTTTATAAAACCCATCACTGTTTTCATGATTTCGATAAGTGAATCCAGTCCCTTACCAAGAAAATCCAAATGCTATGGGTAGAACTGGGAGAAGTCCCTTTTTGTTCACAAAAGCAAGCCTGGGTCTTTGAACTAACTTTTGGAGATAAATATCTATGTTCTTAAATGAGCACATACTATGTGTCAACTACTGCACTAAATCCTTTACATGTACTAAATATCTTACTATCTTATTAAATTCTCAAAACAACTCCGGGAAGTGGGTAACGAGATTCTGCTTTTATGGATGAGTACTAAGGCCAAAACTAGCCATGGATAAATAAATTACTACCTTCTCCATATGCCCTAAATAGAAATAACCTTTACAATGATTTTACTTTAGTGTCTACACAATTTTCTAAGATGCTCTTTTGACTTTAGTGTGACAGAGGAAATAAAATAGCTTAGAATTCTTAGCTTCCAGTATATGGTGGCTTTGCTAAGCTGTAATTGGGGTGTGGAGAAAGGCAAAGGCTCTCATAATATCATGTTAAAACTTCAACTGGAACACAAAAAGATGTCCAGGTTATTTTATGGTCGCAATAAAAAATAACCCACTGACTCTTTAGGGTTTCAACTGCAGTTCCACAATTTGAGAGCATTTATTGCATGGCAGCCTAGCAATGAAGAAGGAAATAATAGTATGAGAGATTAATTTTGAAAATATTTAGAGATTAACATAAAGACTTTATTCCCTTTTTGCAAGATGATGTGTGACCAGCCAGAACTCAATGCCGTTTTTACAGTGTATTTTTAGTTCTGAGACTTTATCAGGGAGACTGAAGTTCAGTGTACAATTGGTCACGGCAAAGACCAAGTACATTGAGACACAATTATGCCAGGATGCTAACACTCATTAGTTGTTTGGGCGTGCCTTTTTTGCATGGCTTGCAAGTTTTCTTGCTTGCCCTGGTAAACACTGAGTCATTTCCATGAATCCTCTATCTGATTGGTAAATGGCCTGAGCCACTGTCCCTGGGTGGATATGTCTGCTTTGGGGTAATAAACAGAAAAAGTCAAGGACACATTTGAAAATGAGGTCCAGGCCTTCTGTCCTCAACAGCATTGTTTCTAATTCTGATTTGTCATGGATTAATAATACTGCATTATGCTTTTCAGTTTACAAAGTACCTTTATATCCAAGTCTCCTTGCATTCTCATGCAAGGGGACAAATATACAAAGCTGAGGGGCAGAGAAGGTAACTAACTTGCCCACATGATAAAAGCAGAAGTGAAAGAGTTTAGGTCTGCAGTTCCCACACTCTGGTGTTTATCAGAGTCCCCTTGAGGGCTTGTGTGCTGGGCCCCAACCCAGAGTGTGTGAGTCTGCAGGTCTGGAGTGGAGCCTGAGAACTTGCATTTCTCACAAATCCCCAGGAAAATATTGATGCCGTTACTGCTCCAGGGACCACATCTTGAGGACCATCAGATTAAGAGACAGACCATCTGAGTCCTAACCCAGGGCCCTTCTCTTTAGGCCACGCTTCCCGTGCACCACAAATGGCCATAACTCCCACTGGCTTTCTATCCCCACCGTCTAAACTGATCTTTCTTTAAAACGTAAAACACAAAGTTGTATTTGAACATTTTAAACCTGTCAACAGAATGTCTCCCACTTTATTGAAACACTTTAACAATAATGGAAAGCATATATATGTATTTTTTTTTCTACTGGGAGGGAAAGAACAATTACTAGTCACGGTATTAAAGGTTGTTTGTTAGTTTTTAGAATTTTTCTAGTAGGTTTTCTGATTTTCAATAGAAAACGCCCCCATGAAAGTAAATCAATCAACCAATTGTCTATTTAAAGAAAAACTATAATTTAACAAAAAAATCTAAACTGTTGAGTGTATAGTAGCATTCATGTACATGGCCCCATTTGCCAAAAAGAAACATGTAAGAGATGAAATAAATGTGCAACCTGGTTGGAAATGGTATTTCTATGCCCTGAATCCTAGGTAACTGTTCACAAAACCATGTATCTGAGACATATATTGGAAGAATTCCACAGTATTTAGGAAAAGCAAATTATTTCCACTTAGAAGGGAATTAGCATATTCCAAATTTCCATTATTAAACTTTACTTACCTTAAACCAAACTCTCTCAAATTCAGCACCATTGACACTTTGGCCTGGATGATTCTTTGTTGGTGGGGTCAGGAGGTTAATATGTGCACTATACGATGGTAAGCAACATCAAGGTCCTCTACCCACTAGATGCCAGTAGCACCCCCTTAATTGTAACAACCCAAAATGTCTCCAGACATGGCCAAATGTTGAAAACCAAAACTTTAGGAGAAAAGAACTCAAATTAGTTGAGTTCCTACTCCATACCCCGGAATGTGGGAGCATTTTGCATGCAAGATATTTGGGTTATTTAACTTAATATCGGTTGAGAGATGCTGAGGAAGCCTCAGCCCCCAAACACCTTCCTTCTCTTCCTTGTTGCTAGATCTGAAATCCACTAAATATTTGTTTCCCTTTGGGCTAAACATGTTTGTTTCAGTGAAGTCCTTTAAAGATGGAAGGACGCCGAAAGCAGTAACCCACTACCACTCATATCTCAGTATGACTTTAGTTTAGGGACAATAGAAACAGGAAGAGAGGCTAGAACAAGGGTGCCCAATGTCAGGGAGAAAGAGTAAATAAAAAGCACTGAACAAATTTCACCATCTCCACAAGTTTTCCAGTATCTTTTCCAAAAAAAAAAAGATGGGTCAAGCTGAATTCCTCAAATGTGGCTATCACAATACGTTAGATGGTTGCAAACCTGTCATTTCATAGCCTTGGGACTCTACAAGTTCAAAAGTCTCCTTCCTGTCATTTATTCTTTCAGTCATTCAACAAATGCTTAATGAACAAGATTACATGACCAGTAAACGGTGAGGTGATTAGAAGTAGGCCAGCAGGTACAGCACTGTGTGGTGAGTGCTACGGTAGAAGGATGCAGTGAATGCTATGGGATAATAGAAGAGAAGTATCAATCTCAGCCATGGAGAGCTTGGCATACCAGGGAGACATGAAGTTAGAGCTGTAGAGACCAGATCATGAAGTCTGTGGCATTCCAAGTTAAGGACTTAGTTTGTATTTCATCTAGCAGCTTAGGGAAAGCAATGAAGTATTATTATTTTATTATTATTGTTTTTGAGACAGAATCTCACTCTGTTGCCCAGGCTGGAATGCAGTGGCACAGTCTCGGTTCACTGCAACCTCTGCCTCCTGGGTTCAAGCGATTCTCATGCCTCAGCCTCCCGAGTAGCTGGGATTACAGGTGCTTGCCACCATGCTCTGCTAATTTTTTTGTATTTTAGTAGACACAGGGTTTCACTCTGTTGGCTAGGCTTGTCTGGAACTCCTGACCTCAGGTGATCCGCCTGCCTCGGCTTCCCAAAGTGCTGGAATTACAGGTGTAAGCCACCACGCCTGGCCACAATGAAGTAGTTAAATCAGGGAATAATCTGACCACCTATCAAAATGAATGAGGTAAAATTTGAGATAGAAAGGAGCAAAGGCATATTCTTAAGCTGAATTCCTAATTTTCCTAAGCTAAATGCCTCATAACGCTTAACTCTTTCCTTCAAGTCCCAAGATTGCATCTTTGTGCTGGCCTCATCCTGGCCAGGCCTCCTACCTATCCCACATCCACAGGCTAGAAAACACGCTTCACTGGTTTTTGCACACAACCCTGTGGATCCCATCTATTTATTGTTAATGAAATTTAAGTTGGGCATTATTTATAAAGAGATGTTTTGAGTAATATGATACGCAGATAAGACCACAGACTAAAACTCATCAGACTCTTATCAGAAATTGGAGCAATTCTGGAATTGCCAAATCCTTCCATGGAATGTCAGGCTAGAAATAGAATAGACAGGGTTTGTTCTTATCATTGTAGATTTTCTGACTCTACAAGATTACCTCAGAACAATTAGAAATCATTTCAAATACTGATTCTTCATGTTCCTTTTTTCCTATCCTTGTGATAATGTAGGTAAATTCTGAAATTAGAATAATGGAGTCATGACTCTTAAAATTCTGTGTGAATTCTTAGCATGATGAAAATGTGCTTCTGAAGGGTGCTTCGAGTGAGCATTAGGGAATGAGAGACCACCGGATAACAAAAGTGCTACTAATGCTGTCTTGTATGCCCCTAAACTCGTACATGAGGAGCTGCCCTGAAAGAATCAAAAGGAATGCAATGCTTTTGAATCTGTCTACCATTTCTCAAGGGCCATCTTTACATGACACCATTACTTTCCTTAAGAGACCACGTTTCTGGTAACTTTTCAAATTTCTTCATGTGTGCTTTGAATATATGTAGTAAGCACTCACTAATATTCATCGAATCAATGAATGACCGAATGAATGGTAAATGATGTAAACCTCCACAGAAGGCTAAATAGAAGGCATAAAAGAGGTTGTTGTTGGAATAAACCAACTAGTAGGAATTCCAATTACATTTGTGCAGAAGTGAAATTTAGTCATTGACTTCAAAACATGAAAATTACCCTCAGACAGGAGAAAATAGAAATCATAAAAAGTTTTAATACACATCAATGAATAGTCACAAAATCAAAGAGAACAAGTGTTTTTTTTTACATTTCTATTATTTTTTAATGTTTCATTTTCATTTTGTATTGCTTTTGGAATTGGTTTAAAGGGAAATCACAAATAAAAGCTAAGTAATAGAAAGAATAAATAAATAAGACCCCAAACTAGGTTAAATTCACTGCAATAACAATAATTCAGTGAACTCTGAGTTTCCTGGCAGTTAAAACATGTAGAGTTTTGATTAAAACCAAGAACTGCCTAGTGCTGTCTGGCCCTTTCAGTCATTATTGGTGCTGAGAATGTGGGAAACATGACTTCTAACAGGTACCAAGTACCCATTTGGTGTCACCACTTAAAAATCTATGTGCATATTTACTATAGATGACTAACAATTAGTGGTTCCAGGATATATTCCTTGTTTGTAAATAAAACCCTTGCCAAATCTGTCTTCTCAAATGCACATACCAAGTTTAAAATGTAGCAAGTTATCCTTTTTCTATAATCTAGAAGGATTTTGAAAACCTGTAATAAAGCTGGGGATAGTTGTTTATTTGTATTATAACTCATAAAGATTTGGGGCAGCTTTATTCAGTATTTGCATTAGCCAGAAACTTTGTGTAGTTGTTTTTAAACTTTATTTTAGTTATAATATATTTCAAACCTTAAAAAAAGCTCAGAAAGTAACATATCAAACTTCTTTGTACCCACCACTTAGATTTTAACAAAAATACTTTGCCATAGTTGCTTCAGAGCTTTTGTTTTAAATGAAATGGATCTGAAGATAATCTTTCCCATTAAACTCTTTCTTCATTCCCAGAGATAACCCTTACTTATCCTGAGGTGGCTATATATCCTTCTATACTTTTAAGTTTACTGCATACATATGTTACCATTAGCAATATGTAATCTTGCTTTGTGTGTTTTGAGAATTTATATAAATGCCTTCATACTCAAGGTCTACTTTTGATAATTGCTTTGTTCATTAGACAAGTTTTTCTAGTTTCACCATGTTGATACTTATACATCTCTTTCTCTGATTTTTTTATCCTATATTATTTCAGCATGTAATGCATTTGTTTATCCTCTGCTGATGGACATGTGGGTTATTACTCTCCAAAGAGGTTGCAGCAGACTGTGTGGTTCTGATTCCCATGCAAACCTTGACACTGAACACCATCAAACCTCTGACGTCATCAGACTTTTATTTTTTATTTTTTGAGACAGAGTCTTGCTCTTTCGCCCAGACTTTTATTTTTATAAACTTGAGGCACTTACATTGTCTCACTGTTGCTTTACTGAAATTTTCCTGGTTACTATTGACGTTTTTTGATATTTTGACTCCCTCTCTGTGAATTACTTCATTAATAACCATTTCATTGTGGACATTGAGTGGGAGGAATTGTTTGTTACTTAATTAACAATAGTTGAAATTATTTATATGTTTTGGATGCTAATACATTGTCTTTAATCTTTTCATTTGCATTTTAAAAAATCTGTGGCTTCTCTTTTTTATTTGTTCATGGTGTCTATTTTGATATAGATATTTAAATTTTAATGTAGTGCCATTTCTAATCAGTCTTCTCATTTATGGCTTATGCTTTTTGCGTCTTATATATGGTATTATTTTTCAGAAATTATATAATATTTAATTATATTATATAAATTATATTATGTAATTATAATAAAAGCATTTTCTCTTTTCTCTTTCTAAATGTATTAAAGTTTCGCATTTCACATCTAGAGCTTTAACCCATCTGGAATGGCAAGCCGGATGTCCCAGAACATGTTGTCAGTGTTTCTCCCGTACACCACCGCCTCTCACTCTCCAGTGATCTACAATGTTACCTTCATCATATACCAGTTTTACACAGGCTCTGGCATGTGCCTACAGACACACACACGCACACCCGTGTGTGTAAATGGGTTCACACACACACACATTCTGTCTCTCTCTCCTATATGTGTAAATGGATTTGTTTCCAAGTTCTCTAGTCTGTTTCATTGGTCTGTTTGTCTACTAGTATGCCAATATCATCCAGATTTTATTAATCTAGCTTTATAATAACTTGATATCTGAACAAGAAAATTTCCCCTCCTAATTCTTCTTCAAATTTTTGTTGATCATTCTTGGCCCTTTACTCATCCATATTAATTTTAGAATTAGTTTTCTATCAAGCTCATGAAAAACTCTGTAAGGTTGTGATTAGTTGCATTGAATTTAGAGATTTATTAGATGAGAATTAACATCCTATGATATTAAGTCTTCCTACAAGGACATATGTATCTCTCTTCAAATATTAACATCTTCCTTGTGTGCCTCAACAAAATTTTATAATTTTATCGATAGGAGCTTTCACATCTTTGCTTGGATTTATTCATAGGTAATTTGTAGTTATTTATATATTCTGGAAAAGTTCTTTTTATATTGTGAATACAAGTGCTTTGTCAGATATGTGTTTTGCAGCTATTTTATCTTGGTCCTTGGCTAATTCACATTATTTTTTATTGCAACTAGCTAAGACCTTCCATACAATGTTGAATAGAACTTGATAACTGGCACTCTTGATTTGTTTCTGACTTTGAAGGAAATGCTTCTATCAATACTTATGTTTACTTACAGTTTGAGACAGATTGTCTTTCAGAAAGATTCCTTCAATTTCCATTTTGTTAAAAGTTTTTAAATAATTACTGGGTTGTATTTTCTCTGTTTTTTCAAATTACCATTTTTTTCTTTAATCTGCTGACATGATAAACTACATTAACCAATATTTCTAATGTTAAATACTATGTATAAACACACACATACACACATAGGAGATGGGTTCAATTAATTGCTATTTTATTTGTGACTTTTGCATTTATACTTCTGAAGGAGATAGGCCTTTAAGTTTTCTTTCTAATACTGATTTGTCTACTTTTGCTATGAAGAGGTAATTGGCCTCCTTAAGTGATTTGGGGAGTTTTTCCTTTTTTGCTCTTTTCTAAAACATCTTATATAACAGGACAATTGTTCTTGGAAAGTTTAAGAGGACTCTAGTAAAATTATAGTGGCCTATTCTTTTTTATAACAAAGAAATTTTGGATATAGATTAAATTTATTTATTTTTTCCTTTCTTTTTAAAAAATTATTATTATTTATTTTAATAGGTTTTTGGGGAACAGGTGGTGTTTGGTAGATTAAATTTATATGATGATTAAAAATAAATCTGCTCATGTCTTCTATTTTTTCTTTAATCAATTATAGTTATTTATATTTACCTAGATATTGTTCATTTTTATAATTTGTGTTAAATTAATTGATATTATGTTGTTTAAAATATCACTTAATACTTTTAAATATGTTCTACGTCTGTGTTTATTTGCCCTTTTAAACTTTCTAATTTTGACTATTTCTTTCTTCTCTCTTTTTTTTCAATCAGTCAAGCTAGAGAATGATTTTATTAGTCTTTTCAATAGAAAAGCTTTTGGCATGGTTGTTTTCTCTTTTTCTTTTTCATTAATATATTCCCTTCATTATTTCCTTTCTTCTAGTTACTGTAGATTTACAATGTTATTCATTTCCTAATTTCTTGATTTAAATGTTTAACTCATTTTTAATCTTTCCCCCTTTCTAATTTGTGTTAAAGATTATAAATTTTCTCCAAGTACTAGCTTCATTTTATGATCTTTAAAAGGTAGTGCTTATCTTGTCATTTGATTTTAAATATTTTGTAACTTCAATAACACATTTTAAACAGTAAATTATTTTAAAATGTTTTGCTAATTTTCAAATATATTGGCAGTTTCTAACTATAATTCTATTTTTTTATACTTACTCGTGCCAAGGTATAAGAAAACAGATGTGTATTTCGATTTTCTGGGGCTTTTTGACAATTGCATTGTGACTTTTTGTTTGGTCAAATTTGTAAATGTTAACGGTGTGCTTACTTCAATAATACTATTTTCTAATTTGGGGCTGTAAGTTTCCAATGTGTAACATATATAGTTAATCGTTTTTATTTTGTTTTGCAAAATTTTTCGTGACTTATAAAAATTATTTTTTCTGCTTAGCTGGCTTACTAATTTCTCAAAGAAGTATGTGAAAACTGCAAACCGTGTTTGTTAATCTGTCATTATCTATATCAAGTTTGCCAATTGCTGCTTTACATAGTAGAGTCTATATGATTTAGTTATTTCAGGTTAAGATAGTTTTCTAGTAAATTATTCCTTTTATCACTATTCTTAATAATTCTTTGTCTCTTAAAGGCTTATTTGCCTAACATCAATAATGCTGCATCTGCCTTCTTTTGGTGAATATCTTTTCTGGTATACACTTTTCCTTCTTACCCCTTTCAGTCTTTCATTATTATATTTCAGGAATGTCTCTTAGAAACAGTCTAAGCAAGATTTTATATTTTTATTCCATCTCAGAATATCTTTCTTTAGAATATGGAGTTAAATTAATTCCTATTTCTTGTGATTATTGATGAACATATTACTTCTTTTTTGTTGTTTGACTTCTAGTTTTATTTTTACCATGCTTTCTTTTGTTGGTGCTTCTTTTTTTCTCCTCTTTTCCTGCCTTCTTGAGACGATTCCTTCTTTTCCCCGACTATGCATTGATGTCATATATATTATTTTCATACTTTTACTGGGTACCCATAATTTTAAACTCTGTATTCACAGAGCTTAAAGTTTAACAATATCCCCACATTCCCTCAGAAGAAAACAAAAAACTTAGATCACTCATGCCACTTTTTTTAATGTTATGGTTGTCTAAAATTATAATTCCATATTTTTTTAAACAAACCCAAATTACTCTGTTTAAAAGAAAATAGTCAATGCTTGTTTATTTTTACCCACATGTTTATTTTATTTTTATTCTATTTTCATTATTTTATTTTTTCACCATTGCTTCTTGCAGCCTACTCTTTTCAGTTTCAGCCTCTTTCTTAGTCAAGCACATCATTTAGTAATTTTTTTCAATGAGGGTCTGTGAGTGATAAACTGGCTCAGTCATTTCATGACTGAAATGTCTTTATTTACTCACATTCTTAAGTGTTAGTTGAGTTAGGCATTATTTCATTATCTTCTGACTTCTATTTTTGTTGCCTGAAAGTCTTTTGCCACCCTACTATTCCACAGGAGGGAATATATTTTTTACTCATGATGAGGTAAAAATAAGTTTTCTCTACAGTTTCATTATGATGTATCAGGTATGGATTCACCGTTTTCAGCGTGCTTGGTACTAATGTTCTTCTTCAGTAGATGGATTTGTGTTTGTAATAAACTCTGGAAAATCTCAATCAATTTTTGAATATTTCCTCTCACCCATTCTCTAATCTCATCTTGTGGAGTGTCTATTAAAATCATCCTCTTTCACTATATCTTCCTTGTCATTAACATCTCTTTCAAATGTTTTATTATTTCATCCCTCTATGTAGCATTCTGTGAAATTTCTTCATATTTAGCTCCAGGTCATTATTTTTCTCCGAATTTGTTGTCAATTTGTGTATTGAGTTTTTAGTTTAAATGAAATTCTACATTTTAAGCCGTACCTTGTAGTTTTTCTTCTAATCTACTGTCTGAGTTTTCAGTCTATTTTACATTTTCTACTTAATTTCAACTTTTATTTTAGATATGGGAGGTATATGTGCAGGTTTGTTACATGGGAATATTGCCTGGTGGTGCTGAGATTTGGTGTACAGATCCCATCAGCCTGGTAGGGAGCATAGTACTTGGTAGGTGTATTTTTTTTAACCTTTCCCATGGACCCTCTCATAGTCCATAGTGTCTATTGTTTCCATATTTATGTTCATGTGTGCTCAATGCTTAGCTCCTACTTTAAGTGAGATCATGGAGTATTTGGTTTTCTGTTTCTGCTTCTGCATTAATTTGTTTAGGATTACGACCTCCAGCTCCATCCATGTTATATTATCTTTTAAATTAAGGTTCTTATTTTCAATTTTATTATCTCCTTTGGACATAATAATATCTGAAATTGTGGGGGTACTCATCTTTCTCTTTATTGTGTCTGCTGATTCTCCCTTACAGTGGATCATTCTCCCATATGATTGTAATTTTTGACATCATCATTATATGTATTTTCTTCTTTTGGGGTTCTACACACCAGGGTAGAAGAGTCTCTATACAGTGTACAATGGATTCATTTGCTTTTGGTGGTTGGCCCAGAGATTTCTGTATAAGACAAATCCTTACTTGTGTTTCTTTGCTTAGAATACCAGTGCAGTGTGGAAATGTGCATTAACACGCCACACCTGCAGGCAATTCAGGCTTGGGTTTTGATACTTCATGGGGAAGGTGGAGACTTTTTTGTCCTGCCTAGAGCCTCAAACAGAGACAAATGTCCTTGCTACTTCCATGACCTTGTGTGTGAAGATGACGTTCTTTCCTTCCCTGTGTGGTGGGGCAGCCCCACCAGGGTTAGAACCTTATGTGGATGCCTCAGGTTCAGCTGCACATCTTGAGTGGCCCAAGGCCATATCTTCTTTGTTTTCTGTTCCTGAATAAACATGGAAAACCCGGCCAGGCGCGGTGGCTCACGCCTGTAATGCCAGCACTTTGGGAGGCAGGTGGATCATGAGGTCAGGAGATTGAGACCATCCCGGCCAACATGGTGAAAACCCATCTCTACTAAAATACAAAAAATTAGCTGGGCATGGTGGCGCATGCCTGTAGTCCCAGCTGCTTGGGAGGCTGAGGCAGGGGAATTGCTTGAACCCAGGAGGTGAAGGATGCAGAGAGCTGAGATTGTGCCACTGCACTTCAGCCTGGCAACAGAGTGAGACTCCATCTCAAAAAACAAACAAATAAACAAACAACAACAAACATGGAAACCCTAACGCCTAGCTATTGGTATACAGATCCAAATCTGACATCCCCTGGATTGGTATTCAATTTGTTTGTTCAGTCTTCACTCTGGCTGTTTATGCTGATATCTTGGAGTATATCTTTCTTTATTTTGAACTTATGTGTGTTTAACTAAACCATGTTATATTTCATCAATACGTGTATGCGTTTTATCCAGGAATGGGCTCTGTAATGAGTCTGTCTATCATGTTGCCAGACTGCAAGTGCTCACAGGTAATCTTACTTATACAGATACATATGTTGGAGTACTGTTTTTTGCCATTTATTAGCTGTGATATGCCTTTTTTTCTGCTTCAGTTTTCTCATTTAAAATGCATTTATTCATAACTACTGCATTTGACTGTCATAAGATTTAAATAAAATGATGTATATAAGCTGGGCACAACGCCCACATATAGTAGCCACATAATAAATGTGAGCTATTGGGCGTGGTGGCACGTGCCTGTAATCCCAGCTACTTGGGAAGCTGAGGCAGGAGAATCGCTTGAACCTGGGAGGCGGAGGTTGCAGTGAGCCGCGATCGCACCACTGCACTCCAGCCAGGCGACAGAGCGAGACTCCGTCTGAAAAAAAAAAAAAAAGTGAGCTATTATATGAAATTGATTACTATCGATTAATTTAAATTATGTTGAATATTTATAACTATAGATTTTGGAGATTATTGTAATCGTTTTAATACGTTTTTAATAAGTATGAACTTATGTTTGTATGCAGTGTGCTTACATTTTATTTTCCAGAATCTTAAAGGAAAAAAAAATATTGGGCTCAAAATATCTTCCTTCTGATGATTTCTCAGGATCCATAGGGGCTATGATTAAATAAAATTAAAAAATCTAACAGATAGTGGTACATTTCAAGTTCAAATAGATCCTTTATATGCCTGTGACTTTTCTGCTAGCCTATCTACCTCTCTGATTCAATGTGCTACATCCAAAGCTGAGATCCTTTTCCCTGTGTCCTTGTTTATGTGAGAAATATTTTCAAGGGAGAGATTCAAACAGTTAAGGAAGATCCTTACCTTATAGGCAGTAGGGATCTAGGAAGGGATTAAAAGCCTAGGGATGGTGTAATCCAGTTTGCATCCTAAAGAGATGGCTGTTTTCAGGGAAGATGGGTTGGAGGAGGATGTAGTAGAATTCTGAAGTGGTTCCCAAGCTTTCCACTTCCTGATGTGCACACATTGTGTAATCCCCTATGCTTGAGCTTGGAAGGAACCTATGGATATGATGGCTCCCTTGATTAGGTTACATTATATAGCAAATGATGGTGAGAGAGTCACTCTTGTGCTTAGTTAGATTATGTCTAAGACTGTCTTAGCATACTAGGGTGGAGGAAAGATGAAAGTCAGTGAGATGTGTTTCTGTTGGTCTGGAAGAAATAAACTCTCATGTGTATGGAGAAGACCTGTGGCAGGAATAATAGGTGACTTCTAGAGCTGAGAGTGGTCTCCAGTTGATGGCCACCAAGAAAGCAGGCATTTCAGCCCTACAACTCTAAGGAACTGAAGTCTGCCAAGAGTCACATGAGCTTGGTAAAAGACCCTGAGCTCCAGAAAGGAGCATAGTCCAACTATCATCGTGAATACATCCTCATGAGACCCTGAGTAGAGAATCCAGCAAACCTCAACCTGACATCTGACCTACAGGAATCATGAGATAATAAATAGGAGTTGTTTTAAGCTGCTAAATTTGTGCTAACTTTATACATTGCAATAGACAAGCCTGTCCAACCTGCCTTATTTTGTTGTTGTCATTGTTCTGTTTTATTTTAAGCTTTTTAGCAGTGAGAAGCTATAGTTTTTAGTTTCTGTCTGTACCCATATTCTGAAGAGCGATGAGGAAGGGACTTTACTGGCCCAACCAGAAACAGAAACTAAGAACCCATGACTGCATTCTCTCCCTTGGACACCCTAGTAAGACAGAGAGATCAGTTGGGTTACTGTAACGGCTCAGTCCCAAATGAGACAGATCTAGATTAACACTGAGTGTTCTGGAATGGAAATGATGACAGTGTTGAATGAAGATAAATTAAGAAGGTAGACATGAACTTAGTCATCCAGTAAATGTCAACATGGAATGTCCCAGAATGGCCTTAAGGTTTTGGGGAAGATCTTGATTCTTTTAACCAAATTAGAGAAAACAAAGGTGAGGAAAAGTTTTACTAGGAACATAATGAGTTCAGTTTGGGACTGTTAATAAAAATGGTCCCAATTATTTCTCTCCATGTGAACATGCTTCTTTGCAATGGATCTTTGCAGTTCTTACCACCAAGAAGTGGAAACCCATTCACTCCTCTTCTCCCACCCCTTGAATCTGGGCTGGACTTGAGTCTTGTATTGGCCAATAGAATAAAGAGGAAGTAATGGCATACCAGTTCTAACTCTAGGCCTCAAGAGGCCCTGAACACCTTTGCTCTTTCTCTTGGTACCATGCAGCCCCATGTGAGCAACTCTAGTTTAGCCTACTACTGGATGGAAGACTACATGCAGCAGAGATAGGTCATCCTGACTTATTCTGGGCCAGGCAGGCCTCACCTTAGCAGACAGCTGACCACAGACACACGAGTAAATCCAGCCAACACCAGAACAACCACCTTGTTGAACCCAGCCCAAATTGCCAACCCACAGAATTATGAGCTAAATTAGTAGTTATTGTTTTGAGCCACCAGGTTTTGGGGTAGTTTAAAATACAACAAAAGCTGACTTTTACAGACATTAATTTTGAGGCACTTATGAAATATCCATTTAGGTATGTTCAGTGGGTAGTTTGGGTTCTAGACATGGATGATAGCAGAGCGGATGATGTTCTAGATAGAGATTTAGGAGTGATCAGCTTAGGGATGAATGTTGACATCAAGGATGAACATGAGTATAGTTTTTAATTTTCTGAACAAGATGTCAATTTCTTGATGATAATGGCTATTGTTAAATATTGTTCTTTATTCAGCTCTACTGCCATTATTTTTAAGGAAAAACTATCATGAGATGAACAATTAGGAGAAGTGCCTATGAGAATAATCAACTTTTCTCTTGAGCTTATCTGAGGTGTTAATGCAGCTTGAATCATTCCTCTCAGAATGAAATGTTTGGAAAACAAAGTTTAAATTTGCCCTTTCACTAGAACAGTTTTTACCTTTACTGTTCTACAGGCTAGTGGACCATTCTACCCAAGGCATATCCATGCATAATGTATGCTACTCAAAAGAGAGAGATCAGCAACAGTCAACCTAACTTGCAAGGTCTTCTTTTGATCCTTGTGATAACCTTGTGAAGTTGGTATTAGGATTATCCCATTTTCCAGGTGAAGAAATGGAGGCTCCCGAGTTTAAAATGATGCTCAAGATTACCCAACAATTATATTTAAGAGCCAGGATTCGAACCTGGTTTTAAATCAAAGTCTCTCACTCTTTCCACCTCACTACCACATCCCAGAAGACTTTTTGAATGTATAATCGAATTCAGTTCTCACCACTATCTTGGGAGGTACTCCTAGTCATCCAAAAACCTCTTTGCCTTATATATCTTTTTTTTGTCCTCTCCAACACACTATTATACAGATTATTTTACCCTATCTAAAATCCCTTGTAAGCCTCTCCACATGGCCCAAGAAATAGGGCAGAGCCAGACTGGGTTATGCTTCCAAGTGAGTCACGCTAACCTATCTTGTCATTAGAAATGGCTCTGAGTCTTTATCTGCCCACACACTCTAATTAATGATCATTTAACTGTACTGTCAACTCTGTTTAAATTTGAGTGATACCAGTTGTTTCTTCCTTGGGCCAACCAATAGCAACAGGGGAAGGCATTCATGCATGCCATTGTCCGGGTGGTTCTGGGCCTATAGCAGCCCAGTTTAATGGGCATTCAGAGCTCATTAGTGAGGAAACACATCAGGAGTGACCGCTCCGGTGCCACACGTTGCAACTAATAGCCCTGCCGAACAGAATCGTTTCTGTTTCTGCTCAGTTGTTGTGAAATTCTTTCAATGTCAACAAGTGGTCGTGTCGGCAGGAGCCCGCCATCCTGCCCAGCAGTTTTATCCGTTGCTCTCCTGAGCCAGACTTGTGTCCTCCTCCATTGTCCAGCCCCACAAAGGAGCCTGAGCAATCACAAAGCCTTCACAGCCATTCATCATCAGCTCACCGATTCTGCGGGCAAGATTGCCCGCCAAAGTTTGGGCCAGTCCTGTGGGGATGGCATGTATGGATACACAGGCAAGACACACTGGGCCTCTGCCCCCTGCCTTGGGTATCTGAACAGACAGAGAACAGTACAGACAGTTTGATTTCCTCATCCAAGCAAAAACCAAAATTACATGCAATATGGAGAATCAGACTAAAAATGCACTTTGAGCAAAACAAAAAAATTGCAGGTGTGGCAAGCTTGGGTAAATTATTCCATCTGGCAAAAATATTCTGTAGTGGAAAAGAGAGGAAATTCTAATCAAAGTGGGCATTTGGCACCAAGAGTCAGCAATAGGTTTATCTACTCAAGAGATGCATGTTCTCTTATTCACAAAAAACTTGGTATATTTGCTCAGTCCATAGAAATGAAAGTTGTCTATAAAACGTCATGCAAACTTTCTAATCTATATTAGGGTTTTAGAAAAAAAGGGTTTTTATCACCAGGTTGTTGAGAATTGGTCCTATTTGCTTGAAATACAGAAGCACTAGAAAATGGTTTCCCAAGTATACTATTTTAAAATCATAAGAAAAATGCCTTATATTTTAAGTAAGTAAAATAAAAATCTGCTCTCCTTGGATGTTATACTTTCTTCATTCTTTCAGTGTTCTCTGAAATAAATATCTGTTATAATTGGCTTCGTATTTGACAAAGTAGGCAATGGTCAAAGTGATAAAAATTCTTAACTCCTTAGCTCACCCTCCAAGCCCCAGTCCTGGCCTCTGAATGTCTTCAGTGTCCAGTATCTGTATGCTCTTGTAAATACCTCTTTCCTCCACTGGATTTTTAAATTATTGGTTTGTGCATCTGTATCCCTTGCTAGACAAAGAGCTGCTATAAAGCTATTTCTACTTATTGATAATTTTTGGTTGACTAAACACATAGAGATGAGTAAATGCTCAATAATTGTTCAGTTAGGTAATCCACATCACAAAGTTGTCAAAAAGTGAACTATGTGTTTGCATTTTCCATCTAGGAGTCCAACAAAATATGATCAGCTATTTAATATTTTGGAGCATTTAATATCCAGGTCATATTTCAACTCACAGCCCTTGCAAATGTGGAGCTTTAGGATACAGTAGTTAAATAAAAATTACTTCCAGATCAAATATTTATGGTAGGATGAACAATTTTTTTTTATTATCTACATTGTCATTGACAAACAATATCTAACTGAATTTCTTTTTTGTTTTCCTCTTAAGATGTGCTTTCCCTTCTGCTATATCTGTTATCTTTGTTACCATCACCTTAGCTTCCAGTTATTGAGAACTTACTATGTGCCAGATACTGCTTACAACTCCAGTCTTTGCTCAATCAAATCCACCCAGTTGCTTTTATTCATTCCATGAATATGTAGGATAGCATGATGGTTTTGCAGTCCCTGTAGGCATTATTATAGGTGGAACTCTTTGCAAAGCCTGCATTTTAAAAGATTCTGAAATACTTTTGTGGGTGTCCTGTTTCAGATGCTAGAAAGATGCTAATGGACCCTTCTGACTTTCTTTTTGGTGCCTCTCTTAGGCAGCATTTTCAAAAGATCACTAACTCATACATGGGCTTTACCTCTCTAGATGAAGCTGCACGATGTCAAGGTAAGCAAATGACCCTTGCTTCTTTTCAGGGTGAGAGATGACATGCATTGATTTCCAAAGAAGTTCCCAGATGATGGCTGAAACGCAGACTTTGAATTGTTTTTGCAGTTATTAAAATAAGAAAAACCAATAATATATGAAGTCTTTATTTTTTTAAAAAATAGTTTCTCTGGTATCTTTAGTAAGTTGGTTCTGACCTACACAAATGTCATTTGTTTGTAAGAGCTGTATATGAATTACTTCATTTAATCCTTCTAAGGATTTTATGAGGTAAGTCTTAATATTATCTCCATTTAACACATTAAAAAAATGATGCCTAGAGGAGCTAACCAATCTGCCCATGGTTAGGTACCTAATAGGCCACAGGGCCAGGTGTGATTCTCCTTTCAGGGCCTATGTGCTCAACAAGTGTACATATTTCCATTGGTTTCCATTCTGAGGCCATGGCGGAACCATAAATTTACCTTGCATCCTTTGGCAGTTGCAGATAGAAATTTCCTTAAATAACTTTCTTGTAATGCTAGAACTGCTTTGGCAATATTGACCCAATATTTCCAGAGGGATGTTGTCTAAGAAAGCCTTTCTAAATGCAACTTGCAATCTCCTGTTCTTCAGGTCATACGAGGACAGCTCTTCACCTGTATGACCACCTTGAACTTTTCACAATAGGACATGAAGGTGTTTGTTTTGTTTTGTGGCTTGCAGTCCCCACAGCGTGTCACAGAGGAAGTGATATGGAACTATTATCAAAAGCAGCTTTTGTGTCCCATCCGCATGAGTGGGGAATGAAGGGCTTTGCAGCGCATTTCTTTGGGGGACTTTAAAAAGGATAATTGAATTGTTTAAATCAAATTTGGGTGCCTCTGTCACAAATCATTACCTGTCTTTCCTCTATCTATCTCCTTGTTTTTCAAATTAATGGCACATACCACACACTGACCTCCATTAGCTTAATTTGGTTGAGACATTTTCCAGTCTGTATCATCAAAATGAGAGAGAAAATTATGTTGGCCAGGGAACCATCTGTACAGTGCAAAATGTTAAAGCAGCAGGCATTTTTCTATATTTTCTCATTTTTGAAAGACTCTGTAGACAACTCTAAATACTTAAAGTCACTAACTCAACACATTTCTCAGATTACTGATTTGGATTTCATAAATGAGACTCGTATTTCTGTTGCCTAGGATGAAATTCAAAATATTCTTATATTCGAATCCTAAGACATGCACTACATAAAGAATGCTAAAGCCTTTGTCTACTTAATCAGATGTTTCTCTTAATGGAGAGTGCTATATATAGCTCTCTGTATTCTCTAGCATTTCACAAGAAGTGCTATGAACTAAAATCATCTCCAAACCCACCGGCTCAACACAATCAATTTTTAATG
This sequence comes from Homo sapiens, assembly GCF_000001405.40. Taxonomy (NCBI): domain Eukaryota; kingdom Metazoa; phylum Chordata; class Mammalia; order Primates; family Hominidae; genus Homo; species Homo sapiens. Next base: position 103,097,226 of record NC_000012.12, on the reverse strand, counting down.
TGTTGACACATTAACTAGAGCTAATTGCTTTCTTTTGTAAACTAAGTGATACTCTAACTTTCCAGTTAGGTTAGTTATTTTCAATATATATCTGAGATTAAGAAATATGATCTGTAGATTAAATGGTCATAAATAATTCAATTTAGCATAAACTTTTAGTATGTCTTCCAGTAATTTTGCCAGGCTGTGAGGACACAACATTGAGAGGAAAGTACACTCTTTAGTAGAGAAAATGTACAGTGATTGTTTGCCTATCAACATCACAATATATTCAAAAATCTCTTTATAAACACCATATAGACACAAGGAGGAAGCCTGGTGAAGTACAGTGGAAAAGTGGCAAGACACTAGTTGTTGGCCCTGGTTCTTCCTTTACCAGCTGTGTGACTGCAAGCATGTCACTAAACTGTGCCAGGTCTCAGCTTCCTCATGTGTTAAACCAGGGCCTTGAACAAGGTGTAAGTTTCTCCACCCATCCTCCACCAAGGACCCTTTAAATATCTTTTCCTCAGCTTCCTTATGTTTTGAAAGAACTCTTTCAAATCTAAGAAGTATTTATTGATTATTTGCTATTGTTCATTAATAATTACTTTCTACCAAAAATCTTTATGGAATTGCCAATCAGAACTTTTCATAAATACGGGACCACAAGGTTGCCAAGCTAATTTGATATGATTGTAACTGAAATCAATAAAATCATACGTTAGTAAGTCAAGGCCAGAGGTGCTCAAATTTTTTCCTTTCATGGCACCCTTGAGGACTCAAAAATTTTTTCACAGTGCCTCAAGGCCAAAATAAATATCTAAAAGTTCTGTTTATTAAGTACTTGGGTCCGAACAACTTAATAGGCATTTATGTCCTACGAATTTTTATTCAAATGATAGCCATTTTAATAAAAAATACACCTAAATTGAAAAAAAATTATTCCATTCTTATAAAGCCATGATTATTTACTAACAAAAAATGTGTGCTTGTTGGGCACTGTATGCCTTTACAAACCTTGTAATCAGATAATTTCCTGTTCTACATTCACTTTCAGATGGCACCTGATTGCTTTTTACGGCAGCAATGGCCAAAAACTCAGTTTTACAAAAATAGATTAGCAAAAGAAACGGAGCACAATCCAATTTTGAGACCATGAACTACTTTGAGCTAGAAATGTGCCTGGTGTCTGACAGATGTTGAGTGTTGCTGTATTTTCCATAAATTTAGAATTATCCCTCAGTGCCCCATGAGTTCACTTCAGCACCCCACCTCAACCCCAGTGATCCCTGGCACACAGTTTGGGACCCACAGAACTGGGCAATCTTATCATGGTCAAATGTGTAATTTTCACTAGGTTTTCAGAAAATTGTTCTAATAAGACTTTTAGAGACCTCACATCAGGAACCACTAGACCAGAAGCTCTTCAAAGTCCTCCCGTTCAACTCTAATATTGTGGCATTTATTCACTCAATACTTACTGAGCACCTACTATGTGTCAGGAATTGATCTAAGCTCTTAGGACACAACAATTGAACAAAACAGATAAAAACCCTCTGCCTCCGTGGAAATTTTGTTCTAGCAGGGAAAGACAGAAAAATAAAATTCTCATAATAAATAAGTGAGGTGTATGGTATGTTGGAAGGCAATGCATTGTAGGGAATGAAGGGTAAGGTCAATGCAATTTTAAACAGGGCCATTGGGAGTAGATCTTATTGAAAAGGTAACATGTAGGCAGACTTGAAGCAGGTGACTCAGTCCTACCCAAATCTACAAGAGGAGTGTTTCAGGCAAGGAACAATGGGGCACAGGAGCTAAGGCAGAAGAGTACCTGGTGTGTTCAAGGGCAGCAAGGAGACCAGTGTGAAGGGATCAGAGCTACCAAGGAGTGGCAAGGTAGGAAAAGAGGTCGCAGATAAAGTGGGGCTGGAGGCAGAACAGGCAAGGCCTGGTAGAGCAGTATAAGAGCACTAGACTTTATTCTGAACCTGATGGGGCTACTAGAGGTTTCCAATGAGGGTATGACATGACCTGACTTACGATTTAATGGGATCACTTCAGCTGCTGTGTTGAAATAGACTATGAGGGAAGGGACCAATCAGGGGGCTATTACCATAATCCAGGTGATAGTTGGTGGCAGCTTAAAACAGAGTAGCAGCAGAGGTGGTAAGAAACGCTGGCGGGATTTTCCAATTGATTCTGGGATATAAAAAGTGAAGTCGAAATCACCCCAAGATTTTGGACCTGTGGTAAAATTAAATACTACAACTTTAAATTGTTTTAATTGATTTTATGCAGTCCATAGAATAATAAAATTAACTTTGATGTTGCATTTTTAATTGCTTCTAACCTTTTATACTCAACACTACTTAGCTCAGGAATTGAACAGCTTTACTAGATGATTACTTCAGAACACATTAACAGCAGTTCAATCCAACCGGACACATGACACAAACCACAGATATTTAATGAAGGAAATAATCTTTTTTCCAACAAATGTGTATCTTGAATTTTATGTGGCAGGCAACATCTAGGCTTTCTAGATGATTTAAAGAGGAATCTATTCTATTCCTACTTTCAAGGGTCACACCATTTATGAGGGTAAATAAAACATGTACATATAACGTATTTAAAGATAAAAGGGTCATAAATGAGGTGCTGATGAAGAGCTGTGGAAAGTCAGAGGAGGAAGAGATGACTCCCAGCTTTTTATGTGAAAGGAAGGTACCAGGGGAAAGAACTCATGAATTAAATGAACCTCTAGGAATGAATACCTAGAAATACCTAGAACTGAATCCTGTTGAGATAATAGGGAAGAATAGCCTCTGTGGTCTATGGATTAAGACAATTCAGGAATGGATTGTTCCCTTTAAGGCTGGTAGGAGGTAAGATTGGTTTTGATACCTATATAGTAAAGCCATAAATGGGATTTGAACTTCATTCAATATGAAAGGGAAGACCACTCAAAGTGTTTTAATAGGGAACTAACTTGAAAGAATCCAGACTTGAAGAAGGTTAGCCTGACAGCAAAGGGCAAAATAGGTGGGAGGAATGAGAAACCAAGGATGTAATGGCATAAGTAAGATGGTCATAAAAACCTGATATAGGCTAGTGGCAGGGAAAGTAGAAACAAAGTCATTGATTTAAGAGATTTTAGGGCAAGTTGTTTCTCCCACCACTGTCTTGACCAGGAGGAAAATCTTGAGCAGATCCCTCTCATATCTAGCCAAATACACTTTGGACTTTTCCTCCCACAGCACCACGCCCTCCCTTAAGTATACAGACCAGAGTCCATTCTCCAACTCAAGAGGTGAGTGGGAGAGGAGAAGTTAGCAAAGTCAGTGAAAGGAGGCTGCCGACACAGAGGACTGAGCAAAGTCTTAGGACTTAGGACATCTAAGTCTTGAGTCACTTCTGCTGGCTACTATCCACAGATTAGCACCAGATGCTACCATGAAGAACCATTAATAGAGCTGCCCAGCATGGCCATGTATATTGCTTGCTGAGATGAAGCTTCTGTGAGCAGTGAACACTGGCTTAGATACCTGCGGTTCATGGGCTTGGTTAAGGATGATGTCTGTCCCCAGGAATGCAGGCTGTGCAAGTCCTGAATGTGGTCAGTCCTGGTATCCTTGTCCTGGAGCCCACCTAATTCCCTCTTTATTCACATCCCCTTTGTTCCTCTCACCTTTCCCTCCAACCCAAGACTTCCTTATCTAGTGTATATGCATAAGGGAGCTGAAATTGACTACAAATTTCTCCACATATAATGTTTACACTGAGTTCTCTTGGAGTCTTGGCTTTCGAACTCAAAGACCAAGGATTGTTTTGTTCTGTGGAATTTCTTTACTGCCATCTGGATGGCAGTCATTGTAGGATAGAATGTGTAAATGGGCATGGCGGGGAAGGGACAATGGAATGTACTCTCCAGTTCATCACAAAAATATCCTGCTGCAAAATGCTGCAGAGATTGAATCTATGGACCTTAAAGCAGGTTTAACAACAACCAACTCAGACATGGTCAAGCTGAATTGGAGACTCATAGGACAATCTTGAAAAATAAGAAACCAGGTGTGAGAAATGAATGACTGCAGCAGCCTTGGCTTGAGATTGATTCAAAGTTTTCTTTATAGAGGAAATAGTAGGAATCATGGGATAGGATAGAAATGCTAAGAAGAAATGTTGAAAGAAAAGAGAAGGGATGCAGGAAACAGAGTCCTATGCAAGGCCAGAAAAGAGAAAAGATGCCAAAGTTATAGCCCTAAGAAAGGTCCAGAGATGTGGACAGGAAGTGGTGAGAGGAGTCAGAAGTGAAACAGGGAAGAGGGAGACCCAGGATGGTGGCGCATCACACAGGTGTCAGGCTAAGTGTTTCTGGACAGAGCGGCAAAGAATCGTTCTTGCTATAGCAAGGTTGAGGAAAAGGGTTTGGCCACTTAGATGTCCTGGCAATAGCCTTGACTGTGAAGTAATCACTTATTTCTATATGTGATTATCTCATGATACAGTCCTTAACAAATGCTGTAGCAATGGCTTGAAAATTCTTCAGTTGGTACTTCATGATATTCTATTAATACTGGCTGGATAGGGGAGGGTAGAGATTGGGTGATGAGTGTGGGGAAGGCAGGAGAATACGTTGCACTGAAGTCATTCAATAAATAAATAGCATTCTTAGAATGTCTCAGATGAATTGTGAATTACTGTAAAAGGTGTTATTCTGTTGTTATAGTAATGCAAGCAGCAGCTCCATGTAATTAAGAGGTCTGTTAACTTAGACCTCATGGTGAATATTTTCATGCTGTAACATCAAAAGGACTGGAACTCCAAGGTTACTCTCTGGTAGGTAAGTGTCACAAAATCCCAAATTCATATGCTGTTTTTTCCCCCCGTGCAAACTAACAAAAGAGTGTGTGTAAGGAATTTGAGATTAGTTCTGTCTATTGTTAGCTCCCTGCATCTTCAAAGCATATCCCCCGGAACATCCTACCAGAAAGCGAATGATAAACAAACAACTCGTTTACTTCCTGCTCTGTTCTCCAGTGACTAAGACTTATGGCTGAGAGGTAATAGAAATCTCTTGAGTCCTGTAGATATTGGAGGAAACTAACATCCTTTGTGGTATCCCCAAGAAATTTTACTAGTCAGAGAAAGCTATTTTCTAACAAACAAGAACATAGCAAACCAAACAAACAAACAAAAATCTGCTTTTCCCCATATATTGATCCTTCTCTGCAAGTGCTGTGATCAGTTACCACCACAGCATCTGTTACAAGTACTTGTGATGACAGTCAACCTGCCAGAGACCTTTCCTACTGATAGGCTCTTCTCTAATAGATATGACAAACCAATAAATTAAATAGTTTAAAAGAGACTTTTCCTCGTGGTGAGGACAAGATTTGGTCTTGTAAGAAAACAACATTGTGCATTCAATGTTGTTTCAATCTTGGAAAAAAAGGTGATTTCAAATGAAATCCATTATTGTTTAATGCGTTTCTAAAAGCAAAAGATGGATGAAAACCCCAAATGTCTTTTAAATGAAGGACAACAGATCTCTAAACTAGGTAACTGATGCATAAATAACAAGAATCTACCCCTTCATCATAGTACATGTGGCTGACAATCGAATGATCCCAGTTTCCAGATTAATTACAGACCTGCATTTTCTTCTACTAACATGAATTTTTTTAGATGGAACTTTACATGTTTTCTGTTTCTTTCTCCTGTTTCTATCCCAAACCAAAGAGAGAATAGCTTCTCTATCATTTTTCCATACCAGATACAAAAACAAAATGAGGAGAACGACAAGAGTGCTCTGTGACTCCAAGAAAATGTTTGTTCTTGTATCTTTTTTTTTTTTTATTTGAGGCAAGAGGGGGAAAAAACTTCACAGAGGAGTAAACCTGAGACACTGATTCAAGAGCCAGACAGTTCAATGAACAGGATAATCGGGGTAGTTTTTGACAGGTGCGGCTGCCTGCCTATAGCTGGCATATAATCATTACCATTTTAATAAAGCTCTAATAGGGGGCTGATCATTCAATGGGGTGTGAGGATCCTAATTCAGCTCCCAATCCCACATGAATGTGCTAGAATTTGCAGGCTTTGTTTTCCTCTTTTGTACCCCTGAATGCCAATAATTACTGGCTATAGATTCAAAAATTCTTAGAACTGGAAGCTAAATTAGCTCTCCTAATACTGCACAAGAATGTCAATACTCATAAAAAAGGAAGCAAGTGGTTTTTTTGTATTCTTTTTTTTTTTTTACACTTGTAGGCATTGTGAAGACCAGCAGTTGAAGTGGGCTGGCTTACAGCATGAATAATGACATTACTGTCTCTCTCATGAAGAGCCCTCCCTCTCTCAGGAACAAAAAGTTATCCATTGGTTCTAATAAAATAAGTCTTCTAAAATCATACATTGATTTTTAAGTCTCTGCTTTTCTTAATGTGAAAGAATCCACGTCCTCTCTCTGGTCTGGTTTAAAGGCAGAATTTGTAAATATTCTACAACTCCCGGTTGAAATGTAGGTATCTTCCTGGGGAAAAAAAAAATGCCTTAACCTCCCTAAAGCCTATCTCCAAAGAGAATATTCATAATCAAACCACTTGGATCATAGGTGGAATTGTAATTATAACTATTATGATATTGGAGATCATTATTTACATAGCTCAATGGGCAGAACCCCATGCTTAATGTCTTCTATGAGATTTTTCATCTGATCTCTCAACACCTCTATGAGGTGGATTTTTTTTAGGCCCATTTGCAGAGGGTGACACTCTGAGTGATTAAACATTTTACCCAAAGTTACACATCTAGTAAGTGCTGGAGCAAGGACTCAAACTTCCCATTTCAATCTGTGTTTCTTCTAAGGGCCATTTTTCTGAAGCTCCTCAAGGCTTCAGCATTTAATTCGGTGGTGACTGTGCCTCATCCCGAATCCCATCCAATGTCACAAGGTGCCATAGCCATTCACTTCCCCTGTGTCGCCAGAAACGTTTCCTCCATAAAACCAAAAAAACCTGATTGAGATCATGCTGTGGCTGATACTAGGAACAAACAAGTGCATTTGAATTTTCTTCCTTCAGGCATCAGACCACGCTAAACAAGTCATGGAGAATGAAATCTTAGCAAGAAAAATTTAATTGTTGATAGCTAATCTTCAGAATAGTTCATCTACACTGATGACTTGCTCCATTGCTATCCTTTGAGATCTGTGCAGGAGCTGCCCTGCTGGCTCTGGGTTCTAATACAGTGTGTGTGGGTAGCAGGTAGATAATATCACACACATGCTCACTTTAAAATCTTTTCGGTGTCCATTGCAGACAAATGGAGGTTTTCCAGGTAACTGTCTTTCAATTCCAAAAATACTGACCCTCACCTTCAGGCCCTGTTTTGTTTTTTAATATATTTTATTCATAAAACTTTTAACTAAGAGACACTTTAAGTTTTTCACTTTTCAATAAGCAAACTGACATTCAGAGAGTTGAAGTTTCCTGACCAATGTCACACAGTAGACAAGATGCCAGAATCCAATTTTCATGATGTTTCAGAATTAATTTCACTATGAATCAAGATGGCTGGGAATCTTTAACACACACACACACACACACACACACACACACACAGACACACACACCCTCTTAATAAAATCTCTACAAAGTACACCCACCTCATGTGAAGCATCACTAAGAAAAATATATTGTTAGGTCTAATTCTCATATGAAATATTGGAGTCTCATTACCGATTTCTTACGGGCCAGTATGAATCAGAAGAAGATACGCCCTGTAAAGAGATGTCCATTGACAGTACATATTTATTTTCCTAAGTGTTCTAGGCTGACTCTGTGTCACTCAGTGCCATTCTGTATTAGTTAGCTGTTGCTGCAAATGAATTGCCTCAAAATTTAGCAGCTGAATGCAACAATACATTTTCTTTTAAAAAATCTCACCATTTGTTTAGGCCAGAAGCTCAGGAGCTGCTAAGGTGAGTGGTTCTGACTCAGGGTCTCTCATGAGGTTTTTGTCAAGATGATAACCATGGCTGCAGTCATCTGAGGTTTGTTTAGGGCCAAAAGATCTGTCTTGAAGATTGCACACTCAAGGGGTTGCCGAGTTGATTCTTTTTTTTTTTTTTTTTTTTTTTGAGATGGAGTCTCGCTCTGTCGTCCAGGCTGGAGTGCAGTGGCGCGATCTCAGCTCACTGCAAGCTCCGCCTCCCGGGTTCACGCCTTTCTCCTGCCTCAGCCTCCCGAGTAGCTGGGACTACAGGCGCCACCACCACGCCCGGCTGATTTTTTGTATTTTTAGTAGAGACGGGGTTTCACTGTGTTAGCCAGGATGGTCTCGATCTCCTGACCTCGTGATCTGGCCTCCTCGGCCTCCCAAAGTGCTGGGATTACTGGCGTGAGCCACCGCACCCAGCTGAGTTGATTCTTGAGACTCTCACTGCACGGATCTCTCCAGAAAGCTGTTTACATGTCCTCACAGCATGGTGACTGCTTCCCCCAGAGCAAGTGACTTAAGTAATGGAAGCTACATTTTATGACCTAGCCTTAGAGGTCACACTTTATCATTGCTTTAATATCTTACTAAATGCATAGGTCAGCTCCATTGCATATAGGAGGAGACTCCGCAGGGACATGAATCCCAGGAGGAGAAAACCCACTGGAAGCTGGCTACCCCAAATTCCATGGCAGAGCACTTTTCTCTACCACTGATTTTGGTGGGAAGAGGAAAGAGGTGACTTCAACTCAATTAACATAGTAAAACCAACTGGTTAATTCTCCACATATCAGTCTATGCAAAAGCAAAGATCTCAGAGACAAAAATTGCCAACTGTCCCATAAGTGTCTTCTAATAAATGTTTAACTCCAGGCTGGGGAATATAGAAGTCCCCTATTTCTTATTTAGTCATCTATTCCTCCTTTCAACAAAAATTCACTGAGGGCTGCTACCTGCCAGGCACTGTGGTAGATGTTGGGAAACAACAATAACAAAATATCTAGAATGAACCTTCTAGAATTCAGCCATCTTCACAGAAGTGTACATCTGAAGCAGTGTTTCCTCATGGAAAATTCTCCTAACATTCTAGGATTGTGGCTTCTTATTTTTATCTTTAGGAAAAATTTGATCTGTTTGTAAGTTCTATCCCAGTTGCTTTGCTCCCTGGGAATCAAAATCTAATAGCCCTAGAAAAATGTTAAACAAATAAGATATATCACCTAATCAGTGCAGGCCAGAATGCTCTGGCAAAGGCCAACTGGTCAAGGATATAACTGCAAAACGTATATTTAGTACTGCAGTATTTACTACTGTCACAACAGAGATAATAATGGGTTCTAGTTTATAATATCAAACTCATAACATTACCTACAGTGTTTACATGTAAATTTGAGACTATCCATTAAACATTTTAATCATGTCCTGTTGAATAAAATGGTGCACTAATATTAGAGACAACTGAAACAGTCACACCTAGCCTAATAAACTTTCCCTCTAAACTGTTGAACCTCATGTTACTCATTTTAAAAAATGGTCATAAAAATAAGTCTTTACTTTATAGAATTATATGAGAATTGAAAGATTTTAATTTCGTATAGCACTTAGCACAATGCCACCTGGCCCATATAAGTGCTCAGTAAGTGTTATTATAAATCAGTATATTATTGTAAACCACTCTCAGATAACTGGCCTTACTTTGATATTTCTCAGTTATTATCACTCTTTTAGAGAACTGCAATGATTAAGTATTCAAATTTCAAACCTTGAACTTGCCCCTCAAAACAGTGACATCCCCCAGGTTTAACGGGCTCTGCTAGGATCCAAAGTGGATGTCTCTTCTGCTCCATGTTTCTCACTAGTGTTCTATGAGTCAGGATGGTTATATGACTCAGAGTAGCTGGTGTTTTTAGCAAATTATAGCATCTCTGCACCAAAGCAAACCATGAACCACTTTAGACTGTGACAGATTTTTGCATCTGTAAAATGGAATGAACATGCTTAAATTTTACAGTCATTTAATATGTGACAGTCAGGATCTTAGGAAACAGAAATGGATGATCAGTTCAATAGAAACCCAAACTCCAGCATTACATATCATATCCATGTGATAAACCTGCACGTGTACCTACTGAATCTAAAAAAACAAACAAACAAACAAACAAAAAACTAGAGAAAAAAAGAAAGCAGAAATATAGGTTTTGATTAATTACTAAATGGAATACTAAGTGAAATTAACTTATGGCATTTCCTTTTGATAATACCCTTGGGTTTTTCACTTGTTGAGTTTCTGCTTGCTTTGTGCTGTAACAGAGGAAAGCAACATAGTTTGCCAACTTCCAAACTTGTACTGATTTTGTGTGACCTTGAACCTAACTTAAGCCTTCCCTGCTTCCAATTCTGCTGAACATGAAGAAAACGTGATTTCTTGGAGCAAAATAAAAGGCTTAGAAAGAAGACTGAGAAGGCTTCCTAGATATCAAATAGCTCTTACAAAACACCGTTTTGATGAAGCAGTGTAAGCGAATCAGAAACATATGTATTAAATTTCCCTTGAGTTATTGGGGTTTCAAAATGAAGGGATTAAGAAAGCGGCAGGAGCTGCCCTTTAGTTGCACGGCACCCTCTGAAACCTCCAAAACATGTTTTCAGGGAGAGATTTAGTCAATCCCTCAAAACTTCAAGATATTTTCTACCCAACCAGGACACATCCAGAACTTATAAGATTATCTCGTATTGCCTGGTCTCCAGCTCCTTTCTAGATCAAAGAAGTAGAGTTAAGTACTCAGATTCTGGGAAGCTTATCTGTACTAAAGGAATGATTCTTTCCTTTGGTTTGCTATGAATTAGAAATAGTTCTCTCTTTTTTTTTCATCTTAAACCAGAACAAAATATTAAATACATTTTAATGACCTCTACTTCTGAAAATATTGCTCTCAAAAAAATGTGTTAAATTAGGAAGTGTTAGCAGCTCATCTTTCATCCAGATTAATTAAGTAAAGTAACTCTTTGGTGCCTAACACCTTAATTCTCTGATTGTTTTGTTATTGAAGGTATCAACAGTTGTCTCAAATGGATGTTGGGGAATGCTTAAAAACGCTCCAATTATATTATGAAACTACATTCTAAAAAGCAAATAGATTGTTTATATTATCATTAAAAAGGAGTGAATGTGGGAGAAGGAGTGAGGTGTCCAAAAATCTAACAAAAAAAGTTCTGCTCTGAGGTATTGGAGCTCCGTGTGCTGAACAAATTCAGATTAAATTGAAATCCAGCAAGGTTTGGAGACCATTCTGTATGGAGCTTGGCGAAATTGGCAAGTCAGCTATTAAAAATAGGACTGAAGTGTTTTATCTGTGTTGTCCTTTGTAATTAGGCTGCTGAATAACAGAAGTATTATCACACCAGGGTTAGTGCCAGAGGATTACCCAAAGTTTTACAAATGGGATGCTAAAGTGGCCTGAACAGGTGCACACACAAAGACCAAGGGAGGGGGAAAGTAAGAGAATGAAAGCTGAGGCCTACTACTTTCAGCCACATAGTAAAATTAATGGTTTCTGTAAATGAATGGCACGGTTAGATTACCATTGAACTTGTAAAATTAGAGGAAGGAGTCAGATTCTTCATTACACTCCTTTTTCTCTTTTTTAATTTGAGCGGAGGAGGTCGACCTTAATTGTCGTTTTACCTAAAAAAAAAAAAAAATCTTTTCATTCGAATAATTTTGCAGCAGGCACAGTGACTCCTCAAAAGAATTGTGCATTCTGAAATCTTTCTTTTCTCCTAGTCTACTCATATGACCCGCGTGCTGGAGAGAAAAGTGAGTTAGATTTGAATGAGCTCATATTTGGGAAATTGGTGAATTTAAAAAGAAGTGGGAGAGGACAGCTACTACCCTTAAAAGCAACAGTGAAAAATGAAAGACAGATAGGCTTCATGTAGGCAAATTAAGGATTAATATTAAAAGTAAACCTAAGAGACTCTCTTAGAATTAGAAGCAAATGTGTAGGAACTCGTGGGTTCTAAACATTCTCAGTTGGACTCAATTAATTTGCCAAAAATGTATCTATTTTCCAATGTAATGGTACTTCTAGTCATTTAAAACAGTTGCTTTTTCATTATAATTTCCTTGTAAAATTAAGCACTAGATTATTTATCTTTGGAAATTTAAATGTTCTGAGGCTGCTCTACAAAGATCATTCATTTCCCTCTCCACCAACTCTTCAACATTGTCTTACCCAGTTCTCCTGGAGATGAGTAGCATTTGTTTATTATTTGGCCCTCTTGGTAAACCTGTAGGCTTGACTTTGTTTGAATAGTTTTAGATTTCAAAAACTTGTAAGTACTACCAAGTTTCCAGGCCTTCCCAGGGCACCACATATATGTCTTTATTTTAGCCAATAGAATATATATATAAAATATAAAACTTAGCCCCTAGTAAATGACAGTATCTCAATGCATACTTGGTTGTTGTTGTTGTTACTGTCATTGTACCAAAACATCTTCAAACATATACCAATTGGCTTCCAAAAGAAACAAGCTAGTGCTTTAACCACAGAATGCAGTGTATAGGTTAATAACCAAGTCATTGACACCTCATTTTAAAAACTAGGTATACATTCTGAATTTCATCATGCACTAATCAAATGATCTTGCCTGCCATGTGGAGATTATTATTTATATAGCTATTTGAGAAATATCTCAAAACATTTATATATATCTACAACTGAATCTTAAAAGTTTATTTGCACAGAGATTTGGGTGCAGCAAACCACCATGGCATGTGTATACCTATCTAACAAACCTGCACATTCTGTACATGTACCCCAGAACTTAAAGTATAATTTAAAAAAAAGTAGTGTATAACATCTAATAAATTTTGCCAGCAGTCCCCAGCTGAAAACATGCAGTGGGGACATTGTTTTAAAGCAGCAATTCTTGTTCTAAAGGAGGGAAAACCATTTTGTCATAAAAATTGTTTTCTGCTAGAATATTGGCATGTGACTTAAATCTTGACAAGAAAGAGCAAGTCTGTTACAGAGGCAATTGAACAGATAGGAGCAATTAGCAGAATGAAAAATGCACAAGAAATAGTCAACAAGGCCATGTCCCTTTTATATCACAGAAATACTACATAAATATTTAGGTGCCAATTCTCATAAAATTTTAATTATGTTAAGGAAGTGCATCTTAAAAATGTATGTTTTAAAGACAAAAAAAGAATTGAAAACTGCAGTTATCATTTACTAAATACTTACTATACCAAGCAGTCTGCTAATCACATTATGTACAACACTATATGAATTTTCCAACAGGCTGTTGATGGAGATACAGTTTTTTCATTTTCTGTAGTTGAGGAGTCTGGAGGTTAGAGAGGTTAAGAACTTTCCCAGAAGACACACCAAGTGGCAAAATCACAAGACTCATTAAGAATTGTCAGGCAAATAAAAATTTTGCATACTTCATTGTTTATATTCTATTTCAGTACAATATATTTACTGACCAAATCAAAAGACTCTGTTCACATGTTTGCTGAAAGCCACAGAAGACCTGATTTTGGTAGGTAGAAGTTTCAACTCAGTTTTTTATATGAAACTACCAACTACAATTTTGTCCATCTAAAGAGCGATATGCTTTAAAGTCCATCATTGAGATGAAAAGCAAAAGCTTTTTAAAAAAACTGATAGCAATAGCTTGAGAATTTAGGTAGTGTTTTCACTATACTTCTAGTACAGAGATGAACTAGTTTGGCCTTGCCTCACACATTTTTTGGGGAATGAATTTCTAGTTTGTATGGTTAATGATCAAAACAGAAACTACCTTGAAAAATAATTCTGGGCATCAAACTGTGTGCTTAGACTTTGTATTTTTTGTTTTTGTTTTGAGACAGAGTCTTACTCTGTCGCCCAGGCTGGAGTGCAATGGCGCGATCTCAGCTCACTGCAACCTCTGCCTCCCGGGTTCAAGCTATTCTCATGTCTCAGCTTCCCAAGTAGCTGGGATTACAGGCACCCACCATCATGTCTGGCTAATTTTTGTATTTTTGTAGAGACGGGGTTTCGCCATGTTGGTCAGGTTGGCCTCAAACTCCTGACCACAGATGATCCACCCGCCTCGGCCTCCCAAAGTGTTGGAATTACAGGCGTCAGCCACCGTGCCCAGTCATATATTTTTTACTTTAAGGTCTGCACTTGCCTATAGTCTACCCGAGGCTTCACTTCACATCTCCTTTCTTGGTTGGCATGCCTCCTGAAACTTGCTATAAAGCTCTTCCTGAAACTCCCACTAAAGATGTATGCCACTGCCTTCACAGAAACCTGCTTAGCCACCTATGTATGCTATGCTAGCTAGCTGTGTGTCTAATTCAGAGTAAGAGCTGATAAACTAGCTTGTTTGTACTATGTTACCAAATACTGCCAAAATTCACCTACCTATTTACTTCTTGAATAAAATAGCGCAGTAACAGCTTCTTTGATCATTTTCTAATATTGTTGCTGGCTTTGTACATATAAGGTATTTTAAATGGAAGGTAATAACTAGTCTTTTTTTATTATTATACTTTAAGTTCTAGGGTACATGGGCACAACGTGCAGGTTTGTTACGTATGTATACATGTGCCATGTTGGTGTGCTGCACCCATTAACTTGTCATTTACATTAGAACTAGTCTTTTTTAAATGACAGGTATGGCTTTAAGAATCAGAGGTCAAAGTAGATGTTCAACAGATATTTATTGAATAAATCAAGGAGCATATGAATCAATTAAAATGATAGAAGAAACTACTAAACAGAGATTGGTTGTCAATGAAGTTAGCACAAAGTAAGGAAATGGGGGAAAAACACTGGAGACAAGACTTTTAGGATTTGGTTAGGCCATAATTATTGTAGCGTAATCATACATTCCAGTTTTCCCAGAACTGTCCTGGTTTGTCTGGTTTATACTTGCTACTCTGGTATAATTAACAATTTCATCCTCTTTTACTCTCAGAATTGCCCTGATTGAGATGATAAATTATATGGTCACTTGACACATTAGCATGTGCCATTGAACAAATCCTTTAAACACTTCCAGTTGGTTTTTCTCACCAGAAAATAAAATGATTAACCCAAATGGACTCTATCTCTCCTTAAGCTTTGTTATGAACTGTTCCCTGTTTTAAGTGTCTTTACACACTAATTCCCCATCTTCCTGGCAACCTGTTCTCACTTTCCACTGGAAGAAGAAAATTAGTGACAACATTAAAAGAGCTTTTTGTAGAAACAAACTGAATTTTGGGAGAGAGGAGAGACAATACATTTGTGTTTAGTAATAAGAGTGAGAAAGATTCATATTTGAACCACAATGCAAAACATATCCACGTTATAAAATTATAAGCCAAAGATAAAAATGTTATAACTATGCAGCAATATTCACTGTAAACAAAATAATCTTTATCAAATTAATTTAGTAATAAAGAAAATTATTTAATAATTTTACAAATGTCTGATTCACTTACTACACAGGATCAACAAACAGAATGGAACTAAACCACTCAAAAGCAACATTGAAAGCTAAGAGGATGGAATAATGCCTTCGGAATAGAGAGAAAAAATTATTTCCAATCTAAAATTCTATACCCAGACAAACTATCTTCTAAGTACTTGTGTAGAATAAAACACTTTCAGAAATGAAACATTTTAATAAATTACCTTTCATGCATTCTTTTTCAGGAAACTACAAGAAGATGCATCTGTCTTAACAAAAAATAATAAACCAAGAAAATAAAAGATATGGGATCCTAGAAATAAAAGGTGCAACACAAGAGAGAGATAAAGAAAAACATTGACAGCCTCTCTATGAAGAAAGACCCAAAGTAACAACTTTGCAACAGCTCTAGGGAATAATTTGTTCAGATAAGAGTAACTCAGGAGACTCCAAGAGCGATTTTCGAGAAGATTAAATCTATAGAATACCTAATATGTTTGCACTTGTAAAGAAGAGTTTTATACTACTTGGAGAGAATTTAGCAGTTCATCTATCAGTATCATTTGCATAGATATAATGTTCGCTAAATATTTCTATAGCCTAAGGAAGATGGTGAATGAGAAGTGTGCTTATGTGTGGCAAGGAAGAAGGGGATTTACCAAGTGGGAAGTCCATGGTCAAATGCTTAAGACTTAGTAAGGCATTTACCAAGTGGGAAGTCAATGGGCAAATGCTTAAGACGTAGTAATCAGAATGCAAATACATAAGTACATGTAGAGGCAAAACATAGCATTGTAGTTATGTGCGCAGATGCTGGAGTGAGACTCTCTGGGTTCAAATCCCAGCCCTACCAATTACTAGTCATGTGACTTTGGGCAAATTGTTGACCTATTTGAAACTCAGTTTTCTCGTATGAAAACTGTGATTATAATTACTCATCTCATAAGATTTTTATATGAACTAACTTTCTAAAATACTTAGAATAGTACTTGTCACAAAGCCAGCAGTATAAAAGTGTTGACCATTAAAATAATGTCATTAGAAACATGGAGATAAATATTAAAAGAATAAGCTAAAACAGAAATTGGTTGTGACAGGAGGAGAATGATGCACTGGGAATATTATTGCTTTTCATAACTTGGAGAAATTTGATTTTTTAAAGTTTGTGTTCACATATAATTAAAAAAATAGAAAACTAAATTTTAAGTGACAAGAATTATATTCTTCCATTTAGTCAGGTGCTGGATAAAGTAGCTTTTTTTTAGGTGTCTGCAAATATTATGACAATTAGGACAAGAAAAGTGCATGCTATTTTCAACCAGTTTGTATTAATGATGATCCTTAGATGTAAGCAACAGAAGTTGATGAAGCTGATTTAAATACAATGGTTTAGTTGAAAAGATGTTGGGGAGATCACAGAATGAATTGCAATGCTGGAGAACCAGTTATGAAAACATACAAGCATGAAGGGAGGCTGCATAGCCATAACTATGTCCTGAATCACACCAAATACCATCAGGTGAGGATTTCACATCTATCGCCATTGGACTCGCCATACCGTAATTTATACATTTACTGACCTGGCCGCCCCAACTCTTCCTGGAAATCAGATGCTGCTGCCACCACAGCCATATCAGAAAGAAGCCTCCTCTCGTGTTGTTTTATGTCACTAGTCCCACTTCAAGTCATAGCCAAGTGCATAAATTGATCAGGGAGGCTGGGAAGACAAACTACTTGGTGTATATATAATGTCTGTGGTAGGAGGCCAACTCTACCGCCGTCCCAGAGCCATAAGATAGGTAATTTTCCAATTACAGACTAGATGGAATAGACTATATTCTTATATTAATTGCTTCTTCATAGAAGTACATTTATTTACCATCATTGATTCAAGTTAGCAATATGACTAACTTTGGCCAATTAAATATAAGTAACAGTCATTCTTCACTTCAGGACAGAAATACTAAGAACCAGGATATGGTTCTCCCAATCTACTATTCCCTGCCAGGCAAATCTGAAGGCATGTTGAAAGGATGCTTCTGTCAGCCTGAGTCCCTAAATGACTATGATAAGCAAAGCTTCCTTGCCAACTTGTGATGGACATGTATTATGAGCAAGAAATAAATGTGATTGTTTAAAGCCACAGAAATGTGCATGTTGTTTGTTACTGCAGTTTAACATACCTATCCTAACTGACAAAGATGACTCAGCCACTGGACAGTGAAAAACATGACAAATGCATACCACAGCACATTTTGTCTGTGTATCACATGTCTTGAAACTTGTCCAGCCATACACAAACCTTCTAATTATCATCTATTAACTGTAGGTTTAGCTTCTCTTACATTATTCTAGAAAACTATCATCAGTTGTTCCTTGTTTGCTTTTGACCTATACACTTTCAGAACCTATTTCTGTCTAGTTACTATACCTTATCTCTGTTTCCCACTCCTATACTATTGAACTCAGCCCTGATAGCTTATTTCACCAAAGCTTGACTCTGTTCAGAGTCAAGACCAAGTATGAGTGCCTTGGGATTTTACCATACTGTTTTGTCCATTTGGTATTACCTGGATTGGAATACTCAAACCCCATTGGCTCCTTAATCTATAAAATTACATGATGTAATTTTTAAACTTTTTGATATCAAAAGTTTTTGGTCATCTCTGGCTGTCATGGAAGATGTTTAAGAGCTTGGGTATCTGATGGACATTTTATAAAGAGTAAATAATACATAGCAATGTGGTGTCTTCACAGATATCTTCAACCCATCTGGGAGCAACATGAGAAAGCACACTGGAGCTGGCCTCAGTGTTCAAACCAGATATACATTCCTATAGCTGAATAATTTGAAGTGCACCGGTGTGGTTTAGTGTGCAGTATAAGACGTCAAATAAAGCATAGTATAGGATGTCGGTGTCCCTTTGGACAAAGCAATGTCTGAATTTTCTGCAGAGACAAAATTACATTCATAAGAATGGAAAACACCCACTGCCAAAAACTAGTCCTTTCTTGTCTTTTGACCAAGTCTTTTCAAATATTTCAAGATTAAAATAGACCGTGCAAACAATACCAATAATCAAATTTTCTTCTGTAATACATGTCACTCTCTAGATATAAGTTAACCTCCTAAGGGAAATTCATTCAAGGTTTCACCTTAATGGATTACCATAGATCCACTATATGAAGCATAGTCCATTCAGCCA
Organism: Homo sapiens; assembly: GCF_000001405.40. Taxonomy (NCBI): domain Eukaryota; kingdom Metazoa; phylum Chordata; class Mammalia; order Primates; family Hominidae; genus Homo; species Homo sapiens. The sequence goes on along the minus strand of NC_000012.12, from coordinate 103,078,576 downwards.
TCATACAGTTGACTATTATGTTTGACAATTAAATCAGAATCCAAGGAGAACTCTCAAGAGATAAAGATAAGTTGATGTGGTGGTCCTTTAGGTGGTAGCTCTAGGGTTTATAGAATATAGTAGCAATGACATCATATCCCCCTTGTGTACTTCTAAAATTCTGGAATTATATGTTTGCAATGATAAAAGGAAGATAAAATGCAAAACACAGACAAACAACAGCAAAGAAAAAAACCATAAACTTTGATGCTTTGAATCCCACTTGCTGGGTGACTTTAGGTAAATTCTTAAATTATTTAAGCCTCTATTTTCTCAATCTTGAAAATGGGCAGTAACCTATCAATTATTAAGATGGTGAGGATTAAGTTAGTCAACATATGCAAAGTTCCTAAAACAAAACCTTGTACATAAAAGGCAATTAATACCTGTTAGTTTCTTCTCCCTTTATTTTACAAATGATTAAATGAAGATCCATATAATGTCAGATAATTGGGTAAAGTCAATCATCTAGGGAGTGACAGAGCTAAAGCAGATTTTTTTTGGCCTTAATCCAGTGCTGCTTTAATATTGAGCAAATGATTGTCCTAAACTCTTTCTTGTCCTTTTAGCTTTGTCGAATTAAATTTTAATTTGCTGCCCTACAAGATGAACATGAGACTGATTTAAGTTGTGACTGCTGAAGAATGAATGTCACCAATGAGGGCAACTATTGTGGACTCTAAATTCAGAATTTAGATTCCTAACACTGACTTTGGGGATTATGGTGCTAATGACCCAGATGGAACCCTTCCATAACGCCAGTGACACACCACAGAGCAACGTCCTCACCTTCATCAAATGTTATTGAGTCCTGAGTGTGAACAGTTTTTCTTTCATATCTTAAAGTGACTGCCTGGCACCAGATCTCTCCAGGAATTCTATTAGCTTCCTGTAGGCCTTGTCTCCAAGAGGCTCAAGCTGAGAATGCCAAATTCTCTTCACCTTTATCACTGCCTGCTCTGTGTCCAGCTTGGATTGCTCCAGCACAGGGTCTGGGGGTCAGCTGCCTGGTTCAAGCTCAGTTTCACTATTTACTTGTTAGGTGATTTTGGGCAAGTTATTTAACTTCTCTGTGCTTTGGTTTCCCCATCTATAAGCTTAGTCTCTATGCATAAAGTCTTTAGAAGAATGCCTGGCATACATTAAGTTCAATGTGTTTTTGCTTACTACTATTATTAGGCTCCCTCCAAAGTGTAGGTCTATCCTGATTTTATAATCTCCAATTTTTAAATATTTGCACTTTTCTGTTGGCTGGCATTTTATATTGCTTAATGGATGTTTTCTACATGAGGTAATCCAACTAGCAATTTAAATTCAATGCTTCCAGATTTGTAAAACATGTTAATTATATCTTCAATTATCTTTAGAAGGAAAGAGGACATGGGCAAACAGACAAATCCATTTCTTCATATTAACCTTAATAATTTGGTATTAAATTGAACATAGAGAAAATGGGTCTAGAACAAAGTCTCAAGATTTTATTGCACACAGTTTATATACAGGTACAATTTTATTTTTTCAATCTAGAAACTCAATTTTAATTAATTGACTGGCTGATATGAACATCAATATAGCATAGGCTTCCTCAGAGTTCATTGTTTCAAACTGCATGGTTTTGAATCCCAATTTCACAACTTACTACCTGTGTGACTTTGGAAAATTTAATTAACCTTTTTGTATCTCAGTTTCCTTATCTAGAAGAGATACATAATAATTATACCTAATTATAGGGTTGGTATAAGAATTAAGTGAGTAGGTATTTATAAAGCACTTAGCAAACAATCTAGTACTTGGTGAATGCTATATATACATTTCTTTAATTATATAAATAAGTGTTAGGTATCACTATAATGGCACTGACAGTGACTAGAAAAGAATAGTTTCAGTTAGATATTTTACAATATGATTTTCACTGGGCTTTCATCAACATCATCCTTCAAGATCAGAAGAGATTCCACTTATTCACTGGAGTCACTGAAAAAGTCCCCCTTGCGACTTTGTAAAATTGGCCCTGGAACCAGTTCTAGTATGAATCTGAGGAAGGCTTCTCTGGTCCTAGAATGACATTAACAGGCCTCATGAGTAAACCTATAGGTGCACAATGGGTTTGACTGGCCAACATGATGGTGGTAGGCCATATTTCTCTGCCTCTTGCCCTCATCATACAGAGCATTAACCCCCTATAATACCCAACAAATGTCCTAGAACGTTCTGACACAAGGCCTTACTTATTTAAAAAAAAAAAAAAGGCTTGGGTAATCATGCATATTTTAAGCATGTTGATTTCTTTATTATTATTATTATCATTATACTTTAAGTTATGGGATACATGTGCAGAACATACAGGTTTGTTACATAGGTATACACATGCCATGGTGGTTTGCTGCACCCATCAACCCATCTTCTATATAGCATTAGGTATTTCTTCTAATACTATCCCTCGCCCTAGCCCCATCCCCCAACAGGACCCGGTGTGTGATATTGATTTCTTAAAGACAAATTGACCTTTGGAAATCACATAGATGTCTCAAAGCATTTCAAACTCCACATATCCAAAACCAAACTCAATTACTTTCCTTCTGTTCACTAAACTAGCTCCTCCTGAGTTTTCTAAGCTCCCTCACCCAACCTAAAAAAAGTGTCCCAGTCAACATCTTACTCTTTCTCATTACCCCATCACCCATGGTCATGTATAGAGTCTTAATAATTATGGTTCTGAAGTGTCCTTTCATTTTATTCCTCTCCCATAAACACTACCCTGGTCAGACCTTCCATTGTTCATAAATGAGAAGGTGCTATCCAGACTTCATTCTTACTGGACTGGTTGGGTGGTCAAAAATATTGGCTGAGGCTAAAGGAACATAATAGAAATAGCTGGTTTAAAGACTTAGAAATACAATTCCAATGGAATAGTAGGGGACTCATGAAATGAATTAAGAGGTATAAATTAGCACAGGCCATGAAATAAGACAGATTTTGATTAAATTGAAATATGATCTATGGTTATATTGTGCTTAGGCTCTTAGTGATTATTGGATCAGTGGCATCACTGCTATGATCCTGACAGTAAAAATACTCTTGGAAAATGTAATCACTCAGGCAATGTTGGCAAGTGTCTACTATTTGTAAGTACTTACAATGCTTTTGGAACCAACTCTTGATCTACATCGAATTCTAACAAACTTAATTATCTGGTTTCCAAGCTTACAACAAATTAAGATGATTTCATTAAAAGAGGAAAAAAAGGGAATAAATATTGATGGAGGCCAAAAGTAATATCTAACAGCAAGGAAGAGAGAACTGTCATAAAAAGTAGATATGAAAACTAAAAACAGTACATTTCTGGAGCATTAAACCTGGGGAAAAGTAAAAAAGAACTTTTGCTATTGAAAAAAATAATGCTTCAGATCCTTTTCTTTTCTGTGTGTGTTTGTTTATGTTTTTTTAGTTTTGAGACAGTCTTACTCTATCATCCAGGCTGGAGTGCAATGGCATGATCACAGCTCACTGCAGCCTTAACCTCCCAGGCTCAAGTGACCTCCCACATCAGCCTCCCAAGTAGCTGGGACCACAGGCATGCACTATCAAGTCCAGATAATTTTTTTTATTATTTTTGTAGAGACAAAGTCTCCCTATGTTGCCCAGGCTGGTCTCAAACTCCTGGGCTCAAGCAATCCACCCACCTCAGCCTCCCAAAGTGCTGAGATTAGAGGCGTGAGCCATTATGTCCCGAGTGAATGTTCAATCTATCTCAACTAATGTTGTAGAAAGTACTACTTGCCATAAAGCAACCAGCCCCTTACTTTAGTTTTAGATTTTTGAGAGGTCATATGCATTCTAACTTTATAGGTATCACTATATATTATCTACTTTCATTCCAGGGCAGAATCCTAATCATATTATTTATAGACAATTCAGAAACTATTTCATGCTTAGGCATTTTGGTTTCCCTTAATAGGAGTCTTTTTGTCCATTTTTTATCTAGCATATAATCAGGAGGGGTGCCCTATCTTTGCACAATGACAGGGGTAAGGTTTTCCATCTTGCATTCAGTACTCTTTCTGTTTGATAATATTTGGAGGCTTACCTGCTTCCTTGATGAGGTATTCCCCAGGCTCCACTTCATTTGCCAAGCTATTTGCAGACAGGAGCTATCTACTCTACTCCATGGTACGCTTTTCCAGAGAAAGACCTATGTTCAATTAAGCTCTCTATTAACCTAAGTATTTTTTATGGTGCCCGAAAAATAAGCGTTTGTAAATTAAATGAATGTTGTGACACTTGAAACTGCTGTCTTCAAGAACAAAGTTTCTTCCTGACATAAGATTTTTCATCCTCAGCCCTCTGGATCATTTCTTTGGGTCTATAACTTTTAGTTCACAACTCCTCATTATTCAGTTTTACTTAGGTTAACTCCCCGTAAACATGTTTCTTACCTTTTATTTGTCTGTAGAGAAGCCCATTTATCTCCATTCTACTTGCTTTTGAGGCTTTGGGAAGCTTCTGATTGGAAGGTTGTGTGCTGTAGGGAGAGGTTATAAACTATGGTATTGGCTCTCATTGGGTTCAAATTCGGCCATGAGGAGAATTAGCTGTGTAACCTCAGGCAAATATGTTAACCTCTGCAATCCCCACGTATGACGTCTCTTAAAATAGGCATGAGTAAGGACCTTCCAAAAAAACCTGCATTAAGAAGCTAGTGATACACTCTGATGTCCTTATCCCACATTTGAGACTCAATTAACATAAATTCCTTTCCATGTAGTCAGGTTGGTCAGTACTTATTTTCCATGAATATGTGTTTTCTTGCTTATTTTTTTATGGAGCAACCTGTGCTTTCTTTTTGCAGGCATTTGGAAGCTCATGCAAGCAAAACCCCTCCTATCACCCCTAGCAGCCATCTGCAAGTTTGAAGGGGTCATATACCGTGACCAAGAATAATATCTCTGCAAATTCTCTCAGCTCTCCTCTCTTTTGAAAAAAACACATTTGCCTTTTGAATTTTTATGTTTCCCTTTCATATTCTTAGAAACAAAATGATAATAGCTAAGCTCTCACACTTAATTTTAAGCAAATCAACCAAATTATTTCACAGAATGTATGGTCTGGGAGTGGAGACAGAAAGAAGAAAAATAGCTGCCATTTGTTGACTGCTGGCCACTGAGGGAGCATTTTCTTTTTCTTTTCTTCTATTATTTGTAAACTTCTATTTTAAATTTGAGGGTACACATGCAGGTTTGTTACATAGGTAAACTTGTGTCATGGGGGTTTGTTGTACAGATTATTTCATCACCCAGGCATTAAGCCCAGTACCCATTAATTATTTTTCCTGATCCTCTCCCTCCTCCCACCCTCCATCCTCCAATAGGTCCCACTGTGTGTTGTTCCCCTCTATATGTCCGTGTGTTCTCATCATTTAGGTCCCTGTTATGTGAGAACATACAGTGTTTGGTTTTCTGTTCCTGTATTAGCTTGCTAAGGATAATGGCCTCCAGCTCCATCCATGTCCTGGCAAAGGACATAATCTCATTCTTTTTTTGTGGCTAGATAGTATTTCATGATGTATATGTACCACGTGTTTATTATCCAGTCTATCATTGATGGGTATTTAAGCTGATTCCATGTCTTTGCTATTGTGAATACTGCTACAATGAACATAAGTGTGCATGTGTTTTTATAACAGAACAATTTATATTCCTTTAAAAATCATAATGAGATACTCTCTCACACCAGTCAGAAAGACTATTATTAAAAAGTCAAAAAACAACAGATGCTGGTGAGGTTGTGGAGAAAAAGATACGCTTATACACTGTTGGTGGAAGCGTAACTTTGTTCAACCATGGTGGAAAACAGCATGGTGATTCCTCAAAGATCTAAAGACAGAAATACCATTCAACCCAGCAATACCATTACTGGGTATGTACCGGGGGTGGGGGCACTTTCTAATAGCTTAGATATGGGAGGGACTCTCATCTGCTCCAAGTGTACTGCTATTGTAGAATTGATGAGTTGATGACTAAAATTGCCTATTTCAGGAGATGATACACATGGGAATTCTTATATTTGTGGCCATGTATTTTCTTTTTTTTTTTTAGCTGAGAACAAAAAATACAAGAGAGTTTTTATTTGTTAAAGAAGTTTCCGAGATTAATGAGAATAGATGGTATAGGATCTGTTCTTCTGTCTGTTTAAAGGGACTTGTTTTAAATAAACCAATATAGACATTTTGAACATTATTATTATTTAATTCTCACAAAAGAGAAGAGAAGCATCTGACTCTGTTACTATTTTTTAAAAAATAGTTAAGAATGAATGATGAACTCTTACCATGTGTGCATTAAGAAGCAAATGTTCAAAGCCTTGAAAAGTCATCCTTGCCAGGTCAGCTGATGCTTAAGTAGCACAAAAGTGATGGCACTTGCTTCGTGAATCAGACTGGGAAATAAAAGGAATTTAGACAAGAAATGGTATCACTGACTTGCTTTATCTCTCATTTTTGGGAGCTCTAGATGTTAGCAGGAACAGATAGAGATGATGCTGTAAGCACCTACATGCTATGTACACTGTTTGGACCCAAGAAACAAGGGAGATACGTAGCTGGGATGGATCATGACACATTTTTTCATCAGGTTTCTTCTGCCTTTACCAAAAGAAAACACTAATTATCCTATTTTTGGTCTGGGTGGAAACCACAGGTTGATGTCTGTATTAGTCTGTCCTCATGCTGCTAACAAAGACATAGTCAAGACTGAGTAATTTATAAAGGAAAGTGGTTTAATTGACTCACAGTTCCACTTGACTGGGGAAGTCTCACAGTAATGGCGGAAGGTGAATAAGGAGCAAAGTCACATCTTACATGGCAGCAAGCAGGAGAGCTTATTCAGGGGAACTCCCATTTATAAAACCATCAGATCTCCTGAGACTTATTCACTACCATGAGAACAGTATGGGAAAAACCGCCCCCATGATTCAATTATCTCTACCTGGCCCCACCCTTGACACATGGGGATTATTACAATTCAAGGTGAGATTTGGATGGGAACACAGCCGAATCATATCAACATCAATGTTAGGGATGCTCTCTGATTGAGGGTGTGATTTCAACCCCTAAATCAGAAGTAGCAGAGTTGTCAATTTTACCACTTTGGAAGGTGGGTGTTGCTAGGAGGAGCAGTAATAGAAAAAGAGTCTCTGCGTGTATTTATTTTCTCATCTTTAAGGGGTTTTTCAGCCTTTACTCATTTAAGAAACATTAAAAATAAACTTTTTGTGTAGTTCTGTAGAGAGGGACCATAACTGAGAAAAGGGATGAAGGGTTTATGGTGTAGTTTCAAATTTGGAGATAGTTTTTTAAAACGCAGCCCCATGACATGGGTAGAAACTGCAATTTCAAATCCAAGCAATTTGAGTGTGAATTACCAGTTCTTACCTTGGGTAACCATGGAGCTATTTCTTTCATGATTGTTTCCTAATGAGTTGGGAAAAAAATCAGGAAATACAGCATCACTGGCATTTTACTTCACTCTGACATGGTACAAGCATTAAAGCAAATACAGTCAGACACAGACTTAACGATTCACCACTTGAAAAATAAAATTATGATATATTTAGGAAATCTTATTCATGATTCCTGTTTCATTAACAATTCTCTTTCTTGAAGATATATTTTCAGTGTCGTGACAATCACATGTTGACACTCACTTTCATGAAATCCTTGAGAAGTTACCCATATTTACAAAGAAAATCATAGCAAGACTAGATGGAGATACAGAAACAAGTCATAAAGTCACTACCTTCCTTGACCACTCAATCAGAATAAGACATCTTCTCTTCCCTACCTGCATTTCTGTTTTCTTAGTACCCTGTTTTCTTTATCCTCTTGGCACATAGAACAATTTGTGGTCGTATGAGTACATTTGCATATATGTATGCAAACCTTGATAGTATATTTTTGGACACTCCTACTAAATCAGTGGATTAAGAGGCTGTGTCGGGTGTGTGTGTGTGTGTGTGTGTGTGTGTATGTGTATGTAGGTGTGTATATATATGTATATGTGTATGCTGAAACAACTGGAATTTGAAAGTCAACATTGTGGAGAAAATGGAATTGCAAAGATGAAAGGCTCTCCTTTCTACCTGAAGGAGACAAGTCTTGGCATATTGCAGGGTGGGTGAGGCACTGAGAAACTGAGCTGAAAACCACCACTAAAAAGAGAACCCAAATAGAGCTTTTACCAAACTCATAGGGATACAAACACAAAAATTAGCCTGTGGAGCTGCCAAGGAAATCACAACTTAAGGGTGCAAAATACTGGAGAGCAGTGAGGTGCAGAGAAATGAGCTGGACATTCTGGAGTTTTTCACTTCAGACGTGTCATATTTTAAAGCTTCCCAGGACAAGAGACCAAGAAGCTAAGAACACCCATGAGAAGCAGTATAGAATTTTTGTCTTACAGTGGCAAGGAAATAAAATTGGAGTTCAGAATCCACCAAAAAGAGAAGATGCATCAGTAAGCACCCCAGGTGTTAGCTGAAGCTCCCAAAGAGCTACCTGCTAGGATCAGGGAGGTGAATCAGTAAGACTGAGCCTCATTAAATTATTTCTGCACTCTGCCTTGAGTCTGATAAGTCCCTAAGTGTATCAGGAAACCTGCCCTTATTTAGACTATTTTCAAAGGACATGGTGAGACCTCTCTGGAGAAGGAATACTTCAACCGCAATTCTATAATTATTCATGCATATTACTGAGTAATCAATGCTAATTTGCCTGGTATGCCAAGAAATATAATTAAGAGAAAAAATATAGAGAAAGAGACCTAGCTAGTTGGTCTAGTTATAGGAGATATCAAATACAGACAGCCCCTGACTTACGAAGGCTTGACTTACAATTTTTTGACTTTAGACTTTACAGTGGTGTAAAAGCAATACGCATGCAGTAGAAACCATACTTCAATTATCCATAAAACCATTTTGCTCTTTTGCTTTCAGAACAAGATTTAATAAATGCCATAAAATATTTAACACTTTCTTATAACTAGAGTTTGTATTAGATGATTTTGCCTAATTGTAGGCAAATCTAAGTGTTCTGAGCATGTTTAAGGTAGACTAGGCTAAGCTATGATGTTTGATAGGTTAGGTATATTAAATGCATATTTGGGTCATGATAATTTTAACGTATTATATACATTTATTGAGATGCAACCACACCATAAGTTGAGGAAAATCTGTATAAACATTAAAATAACTGTGATTAAAATATCCAAGGAAATATATTGCAAGATAAAGAAATTACAAAAGAGAATCAGAATCTACAAAAAAAAAATCAAATGGGAATTCTAAAACTTAAAAATTCAGCAATTGAGGTTAAAAATTCAACTGATGGGTTAAGAGCAGATTGAAAACTGAAGAAAAGAGGATTAGTAAAATAGAAATTAGGTCAGTAGAAAATATCTAAGCGGAGTCAGAGAACAAAAAGTATCTTTTTTAAAAATACATAAATCAGCATGTATTAGTCAGGGTTCTCTTGAGGGACAGAACTAATAGGATTATATATATATATATATATATATATATATATATATATATATATATATATATATATATGTGGAGAGAGAGATATATATATCTATATCTATCTATCTATCTATCTATATATATATATAGAGAGAGGAGTTTATTATGTAGTATTAACTCCCATGATCACAAGGTCCCATAATAGGCCATCTGCAAGCTGAGGAGCAAGGAAGCCAGCCTGAGTCCCAGAGCTGAAGAATTTGGAGTCTGATATTCGAGGGCAGGAAGCATTCAGCATGAGAGAAAGATGTAGGTTGGGAGGCTAAGCCAGTCTAGCCTTTTCAATTTTTTCTGCCTGCCTGATGCTCTGGCCATGCTGGCAGCTGATTATATGGTGCCCACTCAGATTAAGGGTGGGTCTGCCTTTCCCAGCCCACTGACTCAAATGTTAATCTCCTTTGGCAACACCCTCACAGACACACCCAGGATCAATACTTTGCATCCTTCAATCCAATCAGGTTGACACTCAGTATTAACCATCACAAGTCCACCTCTTGTCAACCTGAACCCATACACATCTCCTGAGATCATATATAATCTTCAAGTAAAGACAATAATAAGGTCATAATTACCTCTAACAGAATACAACTATCCTTTGTACAACCAGATGCACCAATCCCAAACCCAAATGCTATTACATATTTAAGTAACAATACTTAAATGCTGAAGTCAATAAATCTGATGTCACATGATAAAGGAGAAAAAAATAAAATGAAGGTATTTTCTTAGTACAAGTGTATATATGCACAAACATGTTTTTAACAAAAGAAGGAGGAAATACTCATGACAATTGCAGTCCCCACTTCTGCAGCTGATCATGTGGTCATAGCTGGTATTGATGACTACCTTCTTCTACTACCCACTCTGTATTATCTTTGCCTTCAGGAAACACCTCAGCAGGTCATGCTTTTTTTGCTGGTGGAGTGACACAAACCTTCATTCCTGAAGGGTCTGGGCCATTTGTAGTCCTGCCTGAATTGGGCTGTTGTAGTTTCCCATTGACCTTAATCACAGGGCAGGGCAATACTAAGAGACGCCCTAATGAATCTCCTGTATTCCATGCATTCTTTTCCTTGCCTCTGTTGTGGAGTAGTAGACTAATTTCATCTTGATAGTCTGGGTCAATCACCACAACCAACAATCTAATTCCTGTTGACTTAAAGGTAGGGAGAGCCCAAAGTGTCCAGGTGGCAATCATAACTTCTAGTTTAATGGAATCATTGTTGTATCTCCTAGTGGCAGTGTTCCTTCCTCTGGAACGAAGACCTCTAGGCCAGCTAAATGCTGAGGGAACAGGAACTTAATGCTGAGGGAATAGGAAGCAAAAATTTTGCTAGTGGATCACTAGGGATGATGGTGAGTGGTGCCACTTCCACTTCTACCCCTTCATTCCTGGGCCTGTGTATCCTGGCTATGGGAGAAACAGAAAGTACCATATATTGGACGCTGATTAAGAGCATACACAGCCTTCTGGAGAACTCTGTCCCAGCTCTGCAAAGTATTGTCACCTAGTTGGCATTGTAACTTCAAAAGACCATTCCACCATTCTATCAATCCAGCTGCTTCAGGATGATGGGGAGCATGGCAAGACCAGTGAATTCCATGAGCATGAACCCACTGCCACACTTCTTCAGCCGTAAAGTGAGTGTTTTGGTCAGGGGCAATGCTATGTGGAATACCATGACAGTGGATAAGGCATTCTGTGAGTCCATGGGTGGTAGTCTTCGCAGAAGCATTGGGTGCAGGATAGGCAAACCCATATCTGGAGTAAGTGTCTATTCCAGTGAGGACAAACCTCTGCCCTTTCCATAATGGAAGAGGTCCAATATAATCAACCTGCCATCAGGTAGCTGGCTGATTACTCCGAGGAATGGTGCCATGTTGAGGGCTCAGTGTTTGTCTCTGCTGCTGGCAATTGGGCACTCAGCAGTGGTCGTAGCCAGGTCAGCCTTAGTGAGCGGAAGTCCATGTTGCTGAGCCCATGTGAAACCTCCATCCCTGCCACCATGGCCACTTTGTTCATGGGCCCATTGGGCAATGATAGGGGTGATTGGGTAAAGAGGCTGGGTGGTGTCCCACAGAATGGGTCATTTTATCCCCTTGACTATTAAAATCCTCCTCTGCTGAGGTCACCCATTGGTGAGAACTCACATGGGATACAAATATTTTCACAGTTTTTGACTCAAGAGAGGTCCATCCACTCTTCCCCAAATTTCCTTGTCACCAATTTTCCAATCATGCTTCTTTCAAGTTTCTGACCATCAGGCCAAACCATTGGCTACAGCCCACGAATCAGTACATAATCACACAGCTGACCATTTCTCCTTTCTTGCAAAGAGCACAAACAGTGCACTGCTCAAAGTTCTGCCCACTGGGAAGATTTCCCTTCACCGCTGTCCTTCAAGGATGTCCTAGAAAGGGGCTATAGTGCTGCAGCTGTCTGCTTTTGAATGGTGCCTGCATATCGTGCAGAACCATCTGGGAACCAGGCCCTAGTCTTTTCTTCCTCTGTCAACTGATCATAGGGAACTTCCCCTAAGGCCATTGGTGCAGGATGGGGGAGATAAGGCAGGGTGGCAGGAGTGGAGACCACGGGCATTTGAGCCACTTCCACATGTAACTTACTTGTGCCTTCAGGACCTGCTCCAGCCCAGTCACGTGTATACCACTTCCATTTGATGATGAAATGCTGCTGTGCACAACCCACTTTATGGCTAGATGGGTCAGAAAGCACCCAGTTTATGATAGGCAGTTCAGGTCACATGATGACTTGATGACCCATAGGCAAACGTTCAGTTTCCACCAAATCCCAGTAATTGGCCAAGAGCTGTCTCTCAAAAGGAAAGTAGTTATCTGCAGAAGATGACAGGGCCTTGCTCCAAAATCCTAGAGGCCTCCGCTGTGATTCACCTAGGGGGGCCTGCCAAAGACTCCAAACAGCATCCCTATCTGCGACTGACACCTCAAGCACCATTGGATCTGCTGGGTCATATGTCCCAAGTGGCAGAGCAGCTTATACAGCAGCTTGGACAGAGCTTGAACAGAGCCTTCTCCTGTTCTGGACCCCACTCAAAACTGGCAGCCTTTCAGGCCACTTGATAAATGGGCCAAAGTAACACACCCAAATGAGGAATGTGTTGCTCCCAAAATCTACATAGGCCCACTAGGCATTGTGCCTCTTTCTTGGTTGTAGGAGGGGCCAAATGCAGCGACTTATCCTTCACCTTAGAAGGAATATCTTGACAGGCTCCACACCACTGGGCCCCTAGAAATTTTACGAAGGTAGAAGGTCCCTGAATTTTAGTCAGATTTATTTCCCATCCTCTGGCACACAAACGTCTCATTAATAAGTCCAGTGTGTTTGATACTTCTTGCTCACTGGATCTAACCAGCATAATACCATCAGTATAATGGACCAGTGTGATATCTTGTTGAAGTGAAAAGCAATCAAGATCTCTCTGACTAAGATTATGACACAAAGCCAGGGAGTTGATATACCCCTGAGGTAGGACAGTAAAGGTATATTGCTGGTCTTGCCAGCTGAAGGCAAATTTCTTCTGGTGGGCCTTATGGACAGGAATGGAGAAAAAGATATTCCCCAAGTCAATGGCTGCATACCAGGTACCAGGAGATGTGTTAATTTGCTCAAGCAATGAAACCACATCTGGCACAGCAGATGCAACTGGAGTCACCACTTGGTTAAGTTTATGATAATCCATTGTCATTCTCCAAGATCCATCTATTTTCTGCAGAGGCCAAATAGGAGAGTTGAATGGGAATGTGGTGGGAATCGCCACCTCTGTGTCTTTCAAATCCTTGATGGTGTCACTAGTCTCTGCAATCCCTCCAGGGATCCAATACTGTTTTTGATTTAGTATGTTTCTAGGTAAAGGCAGCTTTAATGTCTTCCATTTGGCCTTTCCTACCATAATAATCCTCACCCTACCAGTCAGGGAGCCAATGTGGGGCTTACACCAGCTGCTAAGAATGTCTGTGCCAATTATGCATTCTTGCACTAAGGAAATGACCACAAGATGAGTCTGGGGACCCACTGGACCCACTGTAAGTTGGACCTGAGCTAAAACTCCATTAATTACCTGACTCCATAAGCCCCTAGTTTAACTGGAGGATCACAATGATGTTTTGTGTCCCTTGGAATCAAGATCAGCTCAGAGCCAGTGTTCAGTAGTCCCCAAAATGTCTGATCATTTCCCTTTCCCCAATACAGTTACCCTGGTAAAAGGCCAAAGGTCTCCTTGGGGAAGGATGGGAGAAAGATTAACAGCATAAATTGTTGGCAGTGTAGTGGGGTCCTTCCCCAAGGGGACCCGGCCTCCCCTTCCTTCAAGGGGTTCTGGGTCTGTAAACTGGCTCAAATCTGTAAATTGATTGAGGGGCCATGATTTTCTGTTTTTATAATTCAAATTAGTCTTTTGTCCATTTGACCTGGAAGTTTTCTGCTTATATAAATTAAGTAGGAATACAGTAGGCTTCCTGTCAATTTCACTTCTAGGAAAACTGTGATTAATTAGTCAATGCCAGAACTCTACACAGGTCAGGCTATTCTGATTGGTGCTTTGCCTCTGCTGTCCATTACAGTAGCTACAACCACCTTGGCTTTGATGGTTGAGTGCTGCCATTTGGCCCCTGCCACCTTGGGATCCAATTATTCCTGTTGTATTTAAATTTTGTAGTTGAGTGACTGTGGTTCTCACCCTTTAGAACTGACATACAGAGAAGAGCAATTACAGGGCTCTGCAAAGATGCAGGTGCTGCCCTCACAAATCTATGTCACAAAGGATTGGTAAAGGGTATATCTTCTGGACCCTCCCAGCTGGGATGAGTAGGTCCAAAGTGACTAATACATTTCACCATCCCAATCTCCCTAAGCCTTTGGATCCTTTTCTCTACAGTAAACCAAGTGAGATCAGGCATTTCCAGCTGGCTCACAGTGGGCCACATTTTTATTCATATTTCAGCTAACCAAGCAAATAAACTATTAGAACCTTTTTAACTCCCTGAGCTACAACATTAAATGCAGAGTCGCTACTTAGTGGACCCAAATTAACACAGCCTGATCCAACTCTATGTTCCTTCCACCATTATCCCACACTCTTAATATCCATTCCCATGCCTGTTCTCCAGATTTCTGCTTATATAAATTAGAAAACTCAAGCAGTACTTTATCAGCATAGCATATCTCCTCATGGGTCACACTCTGAACCTCACCACTAGGGGCCTGCTGGGACTTTAGTCTAGTTGTAGGTCTAGAAGAAAACAGGGGTGTTCGGGTAGCTCCTGAGGAAAATCAACATTATCTTGCCTGGCAACTGCCTCAGGGAAGGCCATCACTGTTGCCTCAGGTGGCACAGGGTTTATCTCCTCATACAAAGATGGAAAGGCTGATGGCAGCATGGGTCAGGGAGGGGATGTTGTCACTACTGGGGATGGGAAGCTGTTTCTTCCAGCAAAAAAGTTTCATCAGAGTTTACAAGCTCAGTGTCCCCAGCTTCATCAGGGTCCTCCCACATGTCCCCATTCCAAGTTGCACGTCCCATTCTTTTTCAATCAATGCTGTCACTTTAATACTAAACACCTGGTGAGGGTGTGCATGCACCTTTCATTGCAGGTCAGTCAGTTGCATGATAAGAGCTTATGTCTGTTTTTCCACAATTTCAGCTCTTTCTCTACAGGGGATAAGGTTCTTACTAAGGGCAATATTAGCAGATTTAAGGCTCTGTATCTGCTTCTGAAGCCGGGAATTAGAATCTCTGAATTCATCATTTTCTTTCGTCACTTTGTCAAGTGAATTTAGGAGAAACCAAACAAAGAATCTTTGGTTCTCCACACATAGTCAAAGGTATTATGTATAGAATCACCAAACTTCTTGCCTCTCATGAGCGGTGTTTCAGGAGTGCCAAATGTATTTATTCTGCATAACTTTCTAAACAATTCATGCCAAGGACTATCAGTGTTCTCCATTCTTTTAGAAGTAGACTCCTTAGCATTTTTCGGTCTAATCATATTAAGCAGCCAACGGCATAAAAAAACGCAGGAGACATGGTGAAAATATTTAACATATGTGTGCTTCAAATAATAGAAGAGAGGGAGAGATAGAATGGAATAGAAGTGATATTTGTAAAAAAATTATTAGAAATGTAAAAAAAAAATCCAAAATTAATAGACTTCAAGCCGCAGATTTAAAGAATGCTGCAAACTCCAAGTAGGATTAACAACAAAGAAAAATACATCTAGCCTCAAAACACTACAATTGCTGAAAGCAAAATTCAAACAAAAATTTTAAAAGCAGCAAATGAACAAAGACACGTTATATTAGGTTGGTGCAAAAGTAATCATGGTTTTGTCATTAGAAATAACGGCAAAATAATTAGAAATAATGGCCAAAATCATGATTAGTTTTGCACCAACCTAATATTTAAAATAACATTACTAAGACTAACACGACTTCTAAACAGAAACAAAAGAAACCAGAAGAAAATAAAATGGTATCTTCAAAATGCTAAAAG
Organism: Homo sapiens; assembly: GCF_000001405.40. NCBI lineage: Eukaryota > Metazoa > Chordata > Mammalia > Primates > Hominidae > Homo > Homo sapiens. Next base: position 103,062,437 of record NC_000012.12, on the reverse strand, counting down.
ATAATATTTATTGATATAGAATTTAGTATCAAGTAAAAATATTATTTAAAAATAAAAATGACATACACATATGACTAAGCAAACAAAAACTAAGAGAATTTATCACCAGAAAGCAAAATTTTAAAAATGCTAATCAAGTCCTTCTTTAAGCAGAAGGAAAATATATCACAGATAAACACAGAAATGCAGAAAGAAAGAAATAGAAAGGGAAAGAATAAATATATGTATATATATAAATAAATAATGACTTTATAAAACAATAATAGAACAAATAATAAAATTTAAATTCATGATAACATGAAATCTGAGATTGGCTAATGGAATACTAAGATCATAATAAGCATTGACTTGGAAGTGGTGAAACCATTCATTTATTTTAGGCTATAACAAGTCAATGATGCATGTAAACATTGTAATTTACAGAGTATCAACTGAAACAATGCTAAATAAATGTAAAAACAATAAACCAAGGGGGAAATGGATAATGAAAAATATTTGACTAATCAAAAGAAAATAAGAATGAGAGAAAGGAGTATAAAACAGGAGAAAACTAACAAAATGATGATATATATAAAATCAACAATATAAGTAAATATGAAATATATGTGTACTAAATGCCTCATTAAAAAAAATCAGGTAAAAACACAACTGTGTGTGCCTTATAAGAGATACCTCTTTGATATAATGTCACTTGAGATTAAAAAGAAGGAAAAAGACATATATGTAAACACTAACCAAAGAAAGCTGATATAGCTATACCAATATCAAAGAAATACTTTATAACAAAAAAATTATTAAAGATTAAGAAAAATACTTTGTATTAATAAAAGGGCCAGTCTGCCACTTATATAAAACAATTCTAAATTTATACATACCAAGTAAATAGTTTAAAAATGATCATAAAGCAAAATTAAACAGAAGCCAACAGAGAAATAGAAAAAAAAATCATGATGGGATACTAACATACTTTATTTAATAATGATAAAGCAAGGAGAAAAAAAAAGTCCTTAAGGATATTAAAGATGGAAACAACACAGTGAACCACTTTGACCTAATTGACATGTATAGAACATTATATCCATCAACAGAATAAACATTACTTTCCTATACCCATCCTAACCTAGTGATGAGGAGTCATACCACCTCCCTAAATGGGAAATGTCGAAGAAGACCAATGGGAAGTTAAGACTTTCAACACCACCCAGCACTAAAGGGGTACCTCTGCCTATGGTGTAGATGGAGGCAATGTGAGAAGCAGTAATGAGACACTCCTACCTCCACCAACCAAAAAGGTATCAATAGAGGCCTAATGGGACCCAAACTCCCAATCCCACCTGAGAGGAACCAGAAGCATCCCCCTCAAGCATTAACAGAGAATGAGCAGGAAACGTGGACTGCTATTCCACCCATCAGTAAAGAAGTGCTGTTCTCTTGCTGTGCCAGATCCTTAATTTAATTAGATCCCATTTGTCAATTTTGGCTTTTGTTGCAATTGCTTTTGGTGTTTTAGTCATGAAGTCTTTGCCCAAGCCTATGTTCTGAATAGTATTGCATAGGTTTTTTTCTGGGGTTTTTATGGTTTTGGGTTTTACATTTAAGTCTTAGTCCACCTTGAGTTAATTTTTGTATCAGGTGTAAAGAAGGGGTCCAGTTTCAGTTTTCTGCATATGGCTAGCCAGTTTTCCCAGCACCATTTATTAAATATGGAAACCTTTCCCCATTGCTTGTTTTTGTTGGTTTGTGGAAGACCAGATGGTTGTAGATATGCAGTGTTTTTCTGAGGTCTCTGTTCTGTTCCATTGGTCTATATATCTGTTTTGGTAACAGCACCATGCTGTTTTGGTTACTGTAGCCTTGTAGTATAGTTGGAAGTCAGGTAGCATGATGCCTCCATCTTTGTTCTTTTTGCTTAGGATTCTCTTGGCTGCATGAGCTCTTTTTTAGTTCCATATGAAATTTAAAGTAGTTTTTTCTAATTCTGTGAAGAAAGTTAATGGTAGCTTAATGGGAATAGCATTGAATCTATAAATTACTTTGGACAGTATGGCCATTTTCACGATATTGATTCTTCCTATCCATGAGCATGGAATGTTTTTTCATTTGTTTTTGTCCTCTCTTATTTCCTTGAGCAGTTTTGTAATTCTCCTTAAAGAGGTCCTTCATGTCCCTTGTAAGTTGTATTCCTAGGTATCTTATTCTCTTTGTAGCAATTGTGAATAGGAGTTCACTCATGATTTGGCTCTCTGTCTATTGTTGGTGTACAGGAATGCTTGTGATTTTTGCACATTGATTTTGTATCCTGAGACTTTGCTGAAGTTGTTTATCAGCCTAAGCAGTTTTGGGGCTGAGATGATGGGGTATTCTATATATAGAATCATGTCTTCTGCAAACAGAGACAATGTGGCTTCCTCTCTTCCTATTTGAAAATGCTTTATTTCTTTCTCTTGCTTGATTGCCCTGGCCAGAACTTCCAATACTATGTTGAACAGGAGTGGTGAGAGACGGCATCGTTGTCTTGTGCCGGTTTTCAAAGGGCATGCTTCCAGCTTTTGCCCATTCAGTATGACATTGGCTATGGGTTTGTCACAAATAGTTCTTACTATTTTGAGATATGTTCCATCAGTATCTAGTTTATTGAGAGTTTTTAACATGAAGGGATGTTAAATTTTATCAAAGGCCTTTCTGCATTTACTGAGATAATCCTTGACATTGGTTTTTGACATTGGTTCTATTTATGTGACGGATTACATTTATTGATTTGCATATGTTGAACCAGCCTTGCATCCTTGGGATGAAGCTGACTTGATCATGGTGGATAGCTTTTTGATATGCTGCTGGATTCAGTTTGCCAGTATTTTCCTGAAGATTTTCACACCGATTTTCATCAGGGACATTGGCCTGAAGTTTTCTTTTTTCGTTGTGTGCCTGCCAGGTTTTGGTATCAGGATGATACTACCCTCATAAAATGAGTTAGAGAGGAGTTCCTCTTTTTTTATTATTTGGAATAGCTTCAGAAGGAATGGTACCAGCTCCTCTTTTTACCTCTGTTAGAAATCAGCTGTGAATCCATCTGGTCCTGGGCTTTTATTGGTTGGTAGACTATTAATTACTGCCTCAGTTTCAGGACTTGTTATTGGTCTATTCAGGGATTCGACTTCTTCCTGGTTCAGTCTTGGGAGAGTGTATGTGTCCAGGAATTTATCCAATTCTTCTAAATTTTTCTAGTTTATTTGCATAAAGGTGTTTACAGTATTCTCTGATAGTAGTTTGCATTTTTGTGGGATCAGTGGTGATATCCCCTTTATCATTTTTATTGTGTTTATTTGATTCTTCTCTCTTTTCTTCTTTATTAGTCTAGTTAGTGGTCTATCTACTTTGTTAATTTTTTCAAAGAACAAGCTCCTGGACTCACTGATTTTTTGAAGGGTTTTTCATGTCTCTATCTCCTTCAGTTCTGCTCTGATCTTAGTTATTTCTTGTCTTCTGCTAGCTTTTGAGTTTGCTCTTGTTTCTCTAGTTCTTTTAATTGTGATGTTAGGGTGTCAATTTGAGATCTTTCACACTTTCTGATATGGGAACTTAGTGCTATAAATTTCTCTCTTAACACTGCTTTAGCCGTGTCCAAGAGATTCTGGTACCTTGTCTTTTTGTTCTCTTTGGTTTCAAAGAACTTCTTGGTTTCTGCCTTAATTTCGTTATTTACCCAGTAGTCATTCAGGAGCAGGTTGCTCAGTTTCCATGTAGTTGTGCAGTTTGAGTGAGTTTCTTGACCCTGAGTTCTTATTTGATTGCACCGTGGTCTGAGAGACTGTTATAATTTCTGTTCTTTTGAATTTGCTGAGGAGTGTTTTACTTCCAATTATGTGGTCGATTTTACAATAAGTGCCATGTGGCACTGAGAAGAATGTATATTCTGTTGATTTGTGGTGGAGAGTTCTGTAGATTTCTATTTGGTCCACTTGATCCAGAGCTGAGTTCAAGTCCTGAATATCCTTGCATCAGAGTGAACAGACAACCTACAGAATGGGAGAAAATTTTTGCAAGCTATCCATCTGACATAGGTCTAATATTCAAAATCTACAAGGAATTTAAACAAATTTACAAGAAAAAAACAAACAACCCCATTAAAAAGTGGGCAAAGGAAGACATTTATGCAGCCAACAAACATGAAAAAAAGCTCATCGGCCGGGCAAGGTGGCTCATGCCTGTAATCCCAGCACTTCAGGAGGCCAAGGCGGGTGGATCACGAGGTCAAGAGATCAAGACCATTCTGGCCAACATGGTGACACCCCATCTCTACCTAAAAATACAAAAATTAGCTTGGCCTGGTGGCACGTGCCTGTAGTCCCAGCTACTCAGGAGGCTGAGGCAGGAGAATAGCTTGAACAAGGGAGGCAGAGGTTAGAGGGAGGTGAGATCATGCCACTGCACTGCAGCCTGATAACAGAGTGAGACTCTGTCAAAAAAAAAAAAAAAGCTCATTATCACTGATCATTAGAGAAATACAAATCAAAACTACAATGAGGTACCATTTCCTGCTAGTCAGAATGGTGATTATAAAAAGTCAAGAAACAATGGATGCTGGCAATGCTATGGAGAAGTGGGAATGCTTTTACACTGTTGGTGACAGTGTAGATTAGTCAACCATTGTAGAAGATGGTGTGGTGATTCCTCAAGGATCTAGAATCAGAAATACCATTTGACCCAGCAATCCTATTACTGGGTATATACCTAAAGGATTATAAATCATTCTACTATAAAGACACATGCACATGTATGTTTATTGCAGCACTATTTACAATAGCAAAGACTTGGAACCAACCCAAATGCCCATCAATGATAGACTAGATAAAGAAAATGTGGCAAATATACACCATGAAATACTATGCAGCCACAAAAAAGAATGAGATCATGTCCTTTGCAGAGACATGGATGAAGCCGGAAGCCATCATTCTCAGCAAAGTAATATAGGAATAGAAAACCAAATACTGGATGTTTTCACTCATAAGTGGGAGTTAAAAAATGAAAGTACATGGACACAGGGAGTGGAACAACACACACCAGGGCCTGTTGGGAGTTGGGGGGCAACGGGAGGGAGAGCATTAGGACAAATAACTAATGCATGTGGGGCTTAAAACCTAGATGATGGGTTGATAGGTGCAGCAAACCACCATGGCACACGTATAGCTATGTAACAAACATGCACATTCTGCACATGTATCCCTGAACTTAAAGTAAAATTAAAAAAAAAAAAAAAGATGTGCTGTTCTCCCCTTCCCTTGTCAGCACAGTGTCAGAAAAAAACAGCTAAAACCAAAGGTTTACATGAGTGCAGAGTCTCAGAACACAATGCATGAAATATTCAGCTTTCAATTAAAAATTAGGTTATTTACCACCAACCATGAGGACCTCAAAGTGAAGGGAAAATGACAATCACTAGATGCTAACCAAGATGATAGAGATGTTAGAATTAGTTGAAAACAATTTAAAAGCAGCCATCTTTAAAATGCTTCAACAAGCAATTATGAACGTGCTTTAAGCAAACAAAATAAATAAAAAATCTTAGCAGAAAAATAGAAACTCACAGAAAAGAAATAGGGAGTCTCACCAAGGAAATAGAAAGTATATGGAAAAACCAAATGGAAATTTTAGAGCTACACAATATAATAAATAAACTTTTGAAAAACTCAACGGATGTGTCCAACAAAATAATTAAGGGAATAGAAAAAAGGATCAGTGATCTGGAAGATAAAACAATAAAAAACACTCAATCAGAACAGACAGGATAAACAAACTCAATAAATAAACACATAAACAGAGCTTCAGGAGCCTATGGGACTATAACAAAAAATCTAATATTCATGTCTTCAGAGTCATGGAAGGAGAGGAAAAAGAAGATAGAGCTGAAAATATGCAAAGAAATGATGGCTGAGAACTTTCAGAATTTGTCACAAGACATAAACCTACAGAACCAAACATAATCTAAACAAGATAAATCTTAAGAAATCTACACCAAGGCACATTATAGTCAAACTTCTAAAAACTAGAGGCAAAGAAAAAATCTTGAATACAGTGAGAGAGAAATGGCACCTCTAGGGAGAAAATGATGTGAGTACCACATTTCTCATCAGAAACCCCAGAGGCCAAAACTAGCACAATATTTTTCAAGTGATAAAGTAAAGATGGCATAGCAAGCCTAAATATGTAGGCACCAAATAACAGAGCTGCAAAATTTGAGCAGCAAAATCTGATAAAAGTAAAAGGAAAAATATACCAATCCACAATTAGTATTTGAGACTTTCGACATACTCCTCTCAACAATTGATGGAACAACTAGACAGAAAATTAGCAAGTGTATAGAAGAACTCAACAAAACCTTCACCAAAAAAATCTAATCGCTATGTATAGAACACTCCACCCAACAAACAGAATACAGATGCTTTTTAGTGCCTGAAGGATCTATACCAAAATAGACTATATCATGGGTCATAAAACAAATCTCAACCAATTCAGAAAAGTTGAAATCATACAAAATATTTTCTCTAACTATGGTGGAATTAAACTGGAAATCAATGACAGAAAAAATCTCTAAACACTTGGGAACTAAACAATACACTTCTAAATATTGCATCGGTCAAAGAAGAAGTCTCAAGAAGAATTTAAAAATACATTTAACCAAATGAAATTGAAAATACAGTATGTCAAAATTTGTGAGACACAGCTAAAATAGTGTTAAATAGGACATCAATGGTACTGAATTCATACATTAGAAAAGAGGAAACATTTCAAACTAATAAAGTCATCCTAAAGAATCTATAGAAAGAAGAGCAAGATAAGCCAAAAGCAACAGAAGGGAAGAAATAATAAAGATAATTGCAGAAATCAATTAGGTAAAACACAGAAAAGCAATATAGAAAAATGAATGAAACAAAGAGCTGGTTCTTTGGAAGATAATAAAATTGACAAACCTCAAGTAAGACTGACAAAATGAGAGAGAAGACAAAAATTACCAATATTAGGAATGAAATGGGATATTATCACAGACCCTTCAGACATCAAAAGGATAACAAAGATAACTATGAAGAACTCTACACACATAAATTTCACAATTTAGATGAAATGGACCTATTCCTCAAAAATCACAAACTACTCACAACTCAATATAAAATCATTTGTATAGCCCTATAATTATTAAGACAACTTATTTTATAATGTTGAAACTCCCAAAAAAGAAATCTCTAGGCACAGATGATTTCACTGGAGAATTCTGTCAAATGTTTAAACAAGGATTAACATCAATTTTATAGAACTTCTTCCAGAAAATAGAAGAGAAAGGAATGCTTTTCTAACTCATTTTAAGGAGTATTATCCAAATGTCAAAACCAGAAAAAAGCCTGTACAAAAGAAGAAAACTATAGACCAATAGCCCTTATGAATATAGACGCAAAAATCTTCAAGAAAATATAAACAAATAGTAGTAATACATAAAGAGAATGACACACTATGACCAAGTGAGGTTTATTCTAGAGATGCAAGGCTGGTTCAATATTTGAAAATCAAGCAGTATAACCCCAAATTATTAACAGGCTAATGAAAAATATCACATGGTCATATCAATCGTGTAGAAAGGCTTTTGATAAAATCCGATGCTATTTATAATAAAAACTCTCAGAAAGATAGGAATAGAGAGGGACTTCCTCAACTTGATAAAGAACATCTACAGAAAAACCTACCACTACTTAATACTTGATGCTAAATTGGTGAATATATTCCCCTTAATATTGGGAACAAGGCAAAGATACCTGCTTTCACCACTCTTGTTCAATATAGTGCTGAAAGTTCTAATCAGTACAATGAAGCAAGAAAAGGGAAGCCAAATCAGAAGTGAAAAAACATGTAACAGTCCCTATTTACAGGTGACATGATTGTCTACATGGAAAATTTTGAGCAATGTGCAAAAAAAAGCCTCTTAGAACTAATAAGGGAGTTCAGCAAGGTTGCAGGATATAAAATAAGCATTAAATTATCAATAGTATTCCTATATGCTAGCAATGAATATGTGGAAACCAAAATTAAAAATATAACATCATTTATAATCACTCAAAATATTGAAATACTTAAGGATGAATCAAATAAAACATGTATAGTACTTATATGCTGAAAATTACAAGATGCTGACCAAAGAAATCAAAGAAAATCTAAATAAACTATATACCATGATCATGGATTGAAAGACTTAACATTGTGAAGATGTCAGTGCTTCCCAAATTGATTTATAGGTTCAATGCAATCACTATCAAAATCCCAGTAAGATTTCTTATATATCTAGACAAGATTATTCTAAAATTTATATGGAAAGGCAAATAAACTGAATTAACTAAAATGATTTTGGAAAGAACAAAGTGGAAGGAATCAGTCTTTTGGATTGGAAGGCATTACATAGGTGCAGTAATCAAACTGTGTGGTATTAGAGGGAAAGGCACATAAATCAATGAAATAAAAATTTTGAAAACAATAAATAGACCCACAAAAATATGCCTCACTGATTTTGACAAAGTGAAAAAGAGACTGGATGGAGAAAAGATAGCCTTTTCAGCAAAAGGTACTAGAGCAAGTGGACGTTCACAGGCCATCGTAAAAATCAATCTAAGTCTCACATCTTGTACAAAATTTAACTTAAAACAGATCATGGACTTAAATGAAAACTGTAGAAATACAAAACTTCTCTTTAAAAAAAAGTAGGAGAAAATCTTCAGGATTTGAGACTTGGTGGAGTTTTTAGATTAACATCGCAAACACAATTCAGTTTTTTAAAAAGTGATAATTCAGACCACATCAAAGCTAAAAACATTTGCTTTTAGAAAGATCCTGTAAAGAGGATAAAACTTAAACTACAGACCAGGAGAAAATATTTGTAAACCATGTATTTGAGAAAGGACTAGTATCTAGAATATGTGAAGAACTCTCAAATCCAACATTAAGAAAGAAAACAATCCAGTTTTAAAATAGGCAAAAGATATGAACAGACATTTTATTTATATAAGAGGTTATATAATTGGCAAATAAGCCCATGAAAAGATGTTCAGTAATTAAGGAAACACAAATTAAAGCCACAGTGAGTTTTAATGTCAATATCCTGTTTGTGATATTGTGCAATAATATTTAAGATGTTATCACTGGGGAAAACTGCATAAAAGTTCCACAGAATCTTTCTGTAGTGTCTCTTACAATTGCATGCAAATACACAATTATCTCAAAATTAAAATAAAATTAAATATAAAATTTAAAAACAAAGTATATGGATATGCAAAGGGCAAAGATTTGTCATGATAATCTTGTAGAATAACATCACAGTGAGGGAACCTAAACTTCAGAATTTCAGACATATTATAAAGTTAAAGTAACTAAGATATTGTGGCATCGGCAAATAAGTGACCGAAGATAAAGGGGATAGAGTCTATAAATAGATGTTCTCATAAAAGCCTACTGAATTCATCACAAAGTTGCCACTTTAATAAAGTTAGGGAAGAATTGTCTTTTCAATGTTCGGTAATGTTTCAACTGATTATCCATATGGAAAAAATATTGACCCCCTATTTCAAACCACACACAACAAATCAATTCCAAATAGTTCATAGATCTAAGTGTAAAAGGTAAAATAGTAACGCTCTGGATGATATCACAGGAATATATCTTCATGAGCTTGGGGTACACAAACATTTTAAATAGGATATAACAGCACTAACTACAAAATAAAAATTATAGTTAATAAAAATGAAGAACTTCTATTCGTCATAAAGCATCATTATGAAAGTGAAAAAAGTCACACGTAAAGAAGTTTGCAATATAAATATTTGATAAAATGTTTATATCCAGAATATATAAATAACTCCTTTGAATCAGAATAAAAAATCCAGACAATTGAATAAATCATGAATAAATACTTTCAAAAAGCTCCTAAAAAAAGGGGATCCTAAATGGGTAATAAAATATACAAAGCTATTAAACATCACTAGTTATCAGAGAAATGCAAACTAAAACCACTATACTTCCTTTAGAATGTTTAAAATAAAACATTAAAATACCAAGAATTGGTGAGAATTTGAGTCACCTGTACTATCATAAACTGCTGATGACAATATACATTTTTAAAGCCACTTCAAAAAGTCATTTGGCAGCATCTATAAACCTGGTTATCTGTGTATCCTGTGACTTAGTAAATTCACTCCTGGATACACAGCCAACAAAAATGTATACATATATACAGAAAAAGACACAGAAAATGTTCAAGGCAGCATTATTTTTAATAATTTACAATTGGAAGCAAGTCTACCAATAGTAAAATAAAGAAACTGTTAAATATTAATGAACAATATTAGACAGCAAAGAAATAAACAACTATTGCTACACAAAACAACATGCTAAATGTCATGTACCAAATAGTGAGGACAAGAAGACTGTTATGGAAGAATTTATACTATCTCATTTCATTTAATGAAGTTTAGAAATAGGCAAAATTAGAACCATGTTTTGTCATAGTGTAATAAGTGGGAGGAAGACAAAGAAACAGGAGAGAAAGAACTGGGTTTGCTCAGGATGAAAGAGACTTGAGTATGTCCCTAGGCTGAGGAGAAGGAGCAAGACAGACTGGCAGAGACTGAGTGGCACAATAGTAGGAAGCAGACTGATGGAGCAAGGTCTCAGAGGGGCAGAAACAAGTGGGTTCAAGGGCTTACACTCCCCAAAACCCTGCTCATGGATTCCTGGATGACCTGGTCTGACACCCATGGTCAGGAAGCTGGCCTATTCACATAAATGCGGATGGCTTTTTATAATTGGTTTTGGCTGCTCTCCTTTGGTGTTTAAACAAAGATATCCCTAAAAGAAGAATATTTACATTTTATGTGACAATAGTTAGGCCCTAGGGAGTTCAGAAAAGTAAAACCAGCAATGTATTTCCAGATTTCTGGGGACAGATTACCATGATGGTTGTCATTACCTCTCCAGAGATAATCTCTCCAGGGCCTCCTCGTGCTCTGGGCTAAACAGCAAAAAAAAGAAATGTTGGTCCTTATCCTCTTAAGGCTTATATACTCTCCTTCTAAGTCCTGAACTCTAATATAACCGAAGAGAGAGGTGCTTGTGCTTCTAAGAAATGCATAATCTAATGACCACTTCCTCAGTTGATGGCTGAAGCATGGTTCAACTAGAACTAGAAGCACAGTTGAGGTCTAACTTATACCTTATTAGTCATTTGATGGTTATCTGGCCTCTTTTAGCATAAATTTGCTGGGATTTTTTAAATTATGATTTTCTTAAGATTTGCTTACCTCATCCCATCACTGATCATTACAGAACACTTTTAGTTTTATCTTCTTTCCAGAAAATTGTTCTTTTCAAATCTCTGAAGGAAACTCATTAAGTGCCCTATAAAAATAGTAAATGGGCCGTTTAGGAATGTACACAGAATTGTTGATTGTCGTATAGGAAAGAAAGCTGCGTAAGGAGGAAGGTAATTGTAAAACAAACAGAACAATTTTTAAGCCCTTCATATTTGAAAAGTATTTTTGAAAGCTGAAAAAATTCACATAAATTAATTACCTAGAGGTTTGAAGCTGGCTCTTCTAAGCTTCAAAAACTGTTTTTATAAATTTTTAATTGTTTGGTATGTAAAGTTCCCTAAAATATATATCCCTGCCATAATATCTAGTATACCAGGACCTCTAGCCTTTTGTTAATGGCTAAGTTTTGGTTATCTGGGTCTCTGCAATGGTTGCTCTGAGCAGGTGAAGAGTCTAGGGCTGCTTGTCCTGGCACGAAATGACATTAGGTGACTCTGCTGGTTGTACCATATGGCTACTCTGTATAGGATTTATCTCTTATATAAAGCCACGAGAACACAATAAGAACATTTACTCTTGCATTAAACATGATTATAATTACTTGGTCATCTGGATGTCTAGCCTACAACAGATAAGAAGCATCTAGATGCTTCACTGTTAGAGCAAGCTGTGTCTGTCCCAGTGTCTGTTTCCTGCAGCGATCCTATCTAAATCTCTGCTCAAAATTCATATGGGCTAAGTACAAGGCACTATGGTAAATGCAGTAATACAGGTAGTAGTGATTTAAAACTGTGTAGCATTTTATAGCAATATATCGTGCCTTATTCAATATACCATTTGATACACACACACACACACACACACACACACACACACCTGTGAGAAAAGAAAATAACATTTATTAAACACCTGCTGTGTGCCAGGCACAGTGCTAAACTTGTGGTAGTCATTGTTTTGCTTATTCACTCAACAAAGTTTCACTGATGGGCTACTCTGTGCCAGGCACTGTTCTAAGCTCAAGGAATACCTCAGGAAACAAAATAACCAAAGTCTCTCCTCTGATGTAGTTCATTGCTTAGCGGGGGGCAACAGATAACAACCAACCAACCAAGTAAATAAATACATGGAGCATCCAATGGAAGGAGTGCTTTAGACACAAATAAAACAGAGAAGGAGGTAGAGGATACTGGGGTAGAGGGTGGGAGCTGTTTTAACCAGGGTGGTTGGGGAAGGACTTGCTGAGAAGGTGACATCTGAGCATAGAACTGAAGGACACCAGGAAACCATCTAAGCAGATTACCTAGGGGAAAGGCATTCTGGTCAGAGGAAACAGCACGTGCAAAGGCAATGAGGTAGAAGTGAGACTTGTGTGTCCCAGGGTCAGCAAAGAGGCACTGTGACTAAAAGAGAGTGAACAAGGGAAAGAGTAGTAAAAAATGAAAATATAGTTTATCAAAGGCCATTGAGAGGATTTTGACTTTTATTCTGAAAAAGAAGAGAAAACGTTGGGAGATTTTTGAGCAGAGGAATGGTAAGACTGTCTTACATTTAAACAGGAACACGCTGATTGCTGTGATGAGAACAGAAGTATGGGGCAAGGACAGAAGGGGAGAGAATAATTAGGAGGCCATCACCTTAATCCAGGTGAAAGATGACGCTAGCTTGGACTAGGAGGGCTGTGTTGGAGATGTGAATGTACAAATTCAGATGCGTTTTGAAGACAGAATCAAGAGGACTTGCTGATGGATCAGCAGTGGCGTTTAAGAGGAAAAGAAGATTCAAACATCACTCCAAGATTTGTGACCTGATCAATTAAAATAATGAGCTTGTTGTTCACTGAAATGGCAAAGATCATGAGAGGAGCGGATTTGGAAGGAAGGCACACGATTTTTGTTGTGGACATGTTGACTTTGAGATGGCTTTCACACATTCAAATGGATATGTTAAGGAGGTAATGGCTACTGGAGTGTAGCTAAGAGGTCTGAGCCATAGATATATGTTTTGGATTTATTAACACAGAAATTGCATTTAAAGCCATGGGAATGGATGAAATCATCAGGAGAATGAGTTAGAGGTGCAAGGACGAAACCTATCCTGTGCAGTATGGTAGCCACTAGTCACATGGGTGACTGAGCACTGGATAGGTGGCCATTGTGACTTGAGGGATAAAGAAGGTTAGTGAGAAGAATATGTGCAGAGCCATATGAAATGGGAGGCTGAGGGAAGAGGCATATCCTGAGATTTCTGGGCTTCTTGTGAGAACTGAGAATGAGGGATAAGGGCGCAATATAATTAATCCTGATTTTCTTAAGACTAAAAGAAGTGGGGAGGCTACAAGGCGAATCCAGAAGCATGTGGAATCCTGGGACCTTTATTTTATTTCTGCTCATACTGGGTTAAAGGTCAAGGCTAAGCTCTTCTCCGGAGCACACAGAGAGCTCTTTGGTTCCTTTCTTGAACTCCTCAGGAGACTTATTTTGAGGTTGTTATTATTATCCCCATTCAACAGATGATAAGACTGAAGTTCAGAGATTTAAGTGATTTGCTCAGACTTACTAGATTATAAAAATCAGATCTGAGATCATGCCCCAGGTTTTGACTCTTGGTCAGACGTTCCACACGTGTAATTATAATATGTGCATGCGTGGATGGGGTTGCATATATGGGGGAGGGTGTTGAATCCCCCCATGTAGGCTAAATCTTTTATGCATTGTATTTACAATCTCACAACCACCTTGTAATCCAGATGTTATTATTCCTATTTTATAGGTGAAGAAATTAAATTCTAGAGGGGTTAATTCCTTCAACTACATCATGATTGCCGTTAGAGGTGAGTAGTTTTATTCTCTGCCCCCTACTTTATTATTCTAATGAACTATTCCCCTCCTTCCCCCATTCCTTTCCCTATCTTGCTGTTGGCCCCCTTTCCATTCTCACGGCCTCATCTCCGTTTACAAGGCCTCATTTCCCCTCCTTTGCCTTCCTGCACATCCTAGTCAGTCACTTCAGTAAATGACTGGTAGATTGTTTGTAAAAATTGCCCTAGTTATTTCCCTCCTGGTAAAAGGCTCCTTTGTAATGTGACTTTATAGCTCCTCCTGGTAAGATGGAGCCTTTGAATCTGGGCTGGCCTCGTGATTTACTCTGGCCATGACAATATGGCAAAAGTGACATTACGCCATTTCTAAGCCTGAGCCTCAAAGAAACCTTACCGTGTCTACTCTTTCTAGGAATCCTGCCCTGCTGCCATGTGAACAAACTGGGCTGGTCTTCTGGATTACAGACCATGGGAATGAAGATGAGCCACCCCAGCTGAAACCATTCTAGATGAGCCAGCCCACAGCTGGCCCAAAGCTGATGTCAGCCATAAATAAGCCCAACCAAGATCAGCCAGGCCTGGCCTAGGTCAGGAGAACTGCCCCATCAAACCCGAGGCCCAGAAACCAAATAAATGGTTGTTTTAAGCCTCTAAGTATTGAGGTGGTTTGCTAGTAACAACAGCTAATGAAGTTCCCTCATTTTATTCTTTTATTGCCACCGTCAATGGTCTTTCCACTCCATTTTCCCAAAGCCTGAACATTGCTAAATCTAAATTTTGTAAAAAATCAGCAAATGGGTTTATACTTCCTTTAGGTCCCTGCAGCTGCTCAGCATTTCATCTGCTTAAAATATTTCTCGGAGAACCTATTATAAATTTTCTAAACATGCTGTAAGGAAATGGAGGAAGTTTTTCTTTTTTAGATCTGGGCAGATGGGAGGTGATTGGAGCAAGGACAATTTCTCTTTTTTAATTAATTATTTAATTGAAAAATAAAAAATGTATACAGTCAACCTCTATATCTGCATGTTGCACATCTACAGATTCAACCCACTGTGGATCAAAAATGTTCAAAAATAAGAAAAGATAGCAATTCAACAATAAAGACAATACAAATAAACAACATAGCATAACAAATATTTACATGAAATTTGCATTGTATTAGGTGTTATAAATAATCCAGAGATGACTTAAAGTATACAGGAGGATGTACATAGGTTATATGCAAATATGACACTATTTTATATTAGGGACTTGACCATCTGCCAATTTTGGTATCCACTGGGGGTCCTGGAACCAGTCTTCTGTGGATACAAAGGGATGACTATTTATATTGTATAACATGTTATTTCTAGAAAAAAAAATCTTTTTCTCTTAAGATGGTTGCTCAGTAGGAAAGGCAAGGCAAGATACCAGGAAATAATGAAGTAGAGCACTGGTGCCCAACTTTTTTGGCACCAGAGACCAGTTTCATGGAAGACAGTTTTTCCACGGACTGGGGAAGGGGATGGTTTCTAGATGAAACTGTTCCACCTCAGATCAGGCATTAGATTCTCATAAGGAGCGCTCAGCCTAGATCCCTCGGATGCGCAGTTCCCAATAGCGTTCACACTCCTGTGAGAATCTGTGGCTGCTGCTGATCTGCCAGGCGGTGGACCTCAGGTGGTAATGCTTGCTCGCTGCCACTCACCTCCTGCTGTGCAGCCTGATTCCTAACAGGTCATGGACTAGTACCAGTCTGGGGCCCAGGGTTTGGGGGTCCCTAAAATAGAGAAGAGACAACTTGGGGGAGCTCGTATTAGTTGGCTCCAACTTCTAGATGAAATACTAAGCAAGTGTTAGGAATACACTACAACCTCCCAGACAGGGTTTGCAACTATGTTACAAAACTGCAACCACTCTTCTTTCTAGTAGGCACTACAGGCATCACTCATCAACCACAGCACTCTCTTCTGCTGTGCCTAGATGCAGTCCCAATCCAGCAGTCCCTCTCAGATCCATCCTTCTCAGTCCAATCAGTTAGATCTTGAAATGAAACCCATTATCAAATCTGCTCAAGGGTGGGCTCGGAGCTTCTCCTGCTGCTCGCTCCATCCTGATAAAAAGCAGTGGCTAAGAATCAAGTAGAGAATGGAGTCATCATGGACACAAAGCTAGGCTTCCTTAATAAGGAGTGGCATTTACAGTGGGAGGGTGGAAAACCTGACAAACAGAACTAATGACAGCTCTTTTCCTTTGCATTATATAGTCATGCTCTGTTCTCTCTTATGGAAGTGAGGCAGAGGGATGGCCTCCCCTTGGAAACTCCGTTGGAAATCTCTTTTTCATTATTTTCTTAACATTACTTTTGTCCCTATTTTAAGTAGCTCCACTTTAAGATGCTTTTGGTCTGTGGTCTATGATTGGGCTTGTAAAAACTTGTACATATAAAAACCAATAGTTAGAGGAGGCAGGGGATTCTTCTGGGCAGGTCAAGGAGGGCTTTCTGGAGGAAAGGTATGTTGAGGATTTATTCACCAGATGGACAAATGAGGGAGGAAAAGGCTACAGGGAGACAATGCATGCATGGAGGCCAGGAAGCGTCAAGGAGCCCATCACTGTTAGTGGATCACAAAGTATGATGTGGAGGAAGGGAGTGGAGAAATGAAAGCAAAACCAGAAAGGTAGGTTGGAGTCAGATTATTAAAAAAAATACCAAGGCTCTGATCTGGCTTGTAGTAGGATGCTGTCACCTTTTTAAAGCTGAAGAATGGGCCGGGCACGGTGGCTCATGCCTGTAATTCCAGCAATTTGGGAGGCTGAGGCAGGTGGATCACCTGAGGTCATGCATTCAAGACCAGCCTGGGCAACATGGTAAAACCCTGTCTCTACTAAAAATACAAAAATTAGCTGGACATGGTGGTGGGCACCTGTAATCGTAGCAACTCGGGAGGCTGAGGCAGAAGAATCGCTGGAACCCAGGAGGCAGAAGTTGCAGTGAGCTGAGATTTCATCACTGAACTCCAACCTCGGCAACAGAGAGAGACGCCATCTCAAAAAATAAATACAGCTGAAGAACGGCAAAAGCACGCTTTATTTTCATATAATAAAAATATCCACCCATTTAATGGCTTCCTATAAATACTAAGCACTTCACATACACTCATTTAATCCAGTAACACCCCTATGAGGTAGGTAGTTATAATCCCCATTTTACAGATAAGGAAACAAAGGCACTGACAGATTAACTGATCCAATGTCATTCCTAACTGATTGAATCAGGGTTTATAGCAGGGTCATCTGGCTCTATAAATTCCTTGGGGACAAGATCCATGTATCCATGTGGCATTTATTATTTTATAATAACCTATCTCCCCCCAAAAGGAATCTATCAAGGTACCTGATATACATTAGGCACGTAATCATTTTTACTGATATCAGTCAAAAAGCTCTCTGTCTTACCTTCACATGTTAAATCCTTTTCTCAAATTTCCTGAAATAGCCATAAAGCACCGTTTTATCATCATGGTTAGGGATGACAATCCTAGCAAAATCTGACTGTTTAGTGTGTCCCAGGCACAGTGTTAATCTCTTGATGTGCATTAACACACTCAGTCATCACAACAGCTTGTCCACAGCTGGGGCCCAGAGAGGTTGAATAAGTTACTCAGAGTCACAGAGTAAGTTGTTGGGCTCGATCTCCTCCAAGTTCTGGCCATCTTCAGCACCCACACACTACCTCCCTCTGACCTTCTCACCTTCTCACCTTGTCCGTGCAGAGATTGTAGGCCTCCAAGGACAGCTAGCTTCCTGACGGCTCCCCAACAGTAAAGGATGGATTTGCTAGGCTCTGGCTGGGCTGTTTTGTGCAGTGACTAAGGACACACATTTTGTTAGACATTTGGCCTGAATAAGGGGCTCAGGCCTTTAGTCTGTGGCTGTGGAACAGAGAAAAGCTAACTGACCCAGAAGGGGATTGAACTTGTGACCTAGGCTTCAGAGCGCCAGGCTCTAACATCACGGCTACAGACAGAGCACCTCCAGAGGGTTGTCTGATGGGAGACTTGCCTTGCATTTTAAATCTTGTGCCGCTTCTCCCCAAAGCCCCCCTCCCCATTGCTGAAGATTAAGAAACTGAGGTTCATGCAAGTGCAGAGCGAGAGGAAAATAAATCGCGATTTAAATTCATGCCTCTGGACGCATAGCTTAGCCCGCGTTGAACCCCTCTCGCTTCATCTCTGCCACCTCCTTTCTGTGATTTATTTCAGGCGATGGCCCTCCGTGTATGTGTAAAAATCCCCCTGAATGCTTTCCCCTGAGGGCAGTCAATGCGTCCCTCTGAAGTTTAGCGCCAATGCTGATGTGTGCAAAGGGATGAAAAACGTACATTTTCAAGTCTCCCCAAAGCTTCGAGCCAAAAGGGAAAAAAAGAAAAAAGAAAAAAAGTTGTCCATTCCCCTTTTTCAGCCCTCACACTTCAAATGCTAATGAAAAGTGTGTTGTCTTGGGCCTTGAATAGGTCTAAAATGCTCTGGTTTGGAAGTATTTGCATACCCTCCTGAATAGGGAGGCAGCCAGCAGAGAGGATTAGGGCTACACATCAACTCCTCCGAAAAGGGGCTGACAGGGCTGAAAAAAACTGAGTATCAGCAAAAGCCTGACTGTAAGGTGAAGGGGGAGAAGTATCTCCTCCAGATACTCATCTTTTTCTTCTTTGTCCCTTGAAAAAGTTTTTGAGTTTTTGCTATTATTTAGGGAAAAAAATACATAGGATAGGTGAAATAATCCAAATACGGGGATTGGCAAAAAAAAAAAAAAAAAAAAAGAGGGAGGGAATCTTAACCTATTACTCTAAAGCAATTTGCATGTTTTTAACTTTGTAAATCACCACATACATACAGTTTTTAAATAGCTGGAATTGTTTTGCATTTTCGATGTTCATTTAATATTATATAATTACTATTCTTTTAGATTTCTATGTAGTTTTGTAACGTATTATTTTTATTGGCTACTTAATCTTCTTTTACTGTTTAATAAGTTTTTCTCCTTTAGTTACAATAAATATCATCATACATACAGCTTTTTGACTCTATTATTTCCTTAGGATACGTCCCTCCATGGTTTTTCAGTCCCAAATAGTATGGATAGCTTTATAGTTTTATCTGTTTGATCATTATGTGAATTTTTGTTTCCCTTCGAACATGCCATTTGTTTGAATGTTAATTTTTCATGAATGTTTAAGTTTCTAAGATCTTAGTTTTTTAGTACAATTTAGCATTTCTAAGTTGATATTTTTACTATCAATTTCTTTAATTTCCATTTCTTTGATCAGTATTGAGAATTAAAATATTTTCATTTGCTTGTTTCCTATTTGTATTTCTCTTGGATGAACTGCTTGTTCATTCCTGTTCATTCCTATTCTTTGCCAATTTATTTATGGAGGCGTGGACTTCTATAAACTTTAATGAGCCTTTGCAAATTATAATATGAACACTTTACATGCAAATATATTGTCCCGGTACATGGCTGTTTTATTGTACTTTTGTTCTTTATCATTGTATATGTTCATGTGAATCTTTATATTTTCCAAACAATCTGTTTTGTTTTGTTGTTTGTGATCCCCACAAATATTTTGTATGGAACAAAATTTTGTATTGAGCTGCAGCTCAAACACAAAACAGTAGATCAACTTATCCTGAAGCTGAAGGTGGAGGAATTAATAAAAGGCATCAGACAGCAATGAGGAAAGAATTAGATGGACATCCCCATGCTTGACATCCTTGATTCCCTGACATACCTGTATCTCTCTGTTTTGCTATAGAACTCAACACTCACCAGCCCATTGAATAATTGCAGGAGGATCTCATTTACAGCTTTCAGGGTTCTAGACCAGAATGGCAAGGACTCCTTTCTCCAGCCATCATTTCACTAACATAGTTTGGACAAAATAAATCAACCATACTGCACTAAAAATTTATTTTTTTGTGTGTAGCAAACCTCAGATGAACTAATCAAAGATCCGTTTGCTCTTTATTGCCTTAAATAAGGCTGTTATCAGCTTGCATGAAAAATGCATTAGATTTACAACATTCTGTCACCATTAGAGCTTCAAAGGTGACTTGAGAAAACACCCAAATCTAAAAAGGTGAGATTAGACATCTCACCTTTGTCTTTTGCTCTGAGTTGTTTTAGTGTTGAAGTTTTCATCAGGAAATATAAGAAATAAATTTACCCCTTTTGAAAATGGCATATATGGGTTTGTTTTTTTTAAGTAATGTTATGCATGATTAAGACAGTAAAGGGAATTTTAAAATTTCGATCCCAGGAGATCTTTAAAAACAAGACAGCTACACACAAGTCTGTCAATGTGTAGATGCAACTTTTCTTTTAAAACATAGAACTTATGTAAAAGCTTTCTAAAACTATTATTTGGTGACTTGGTGTGCATATAAACATTATGACCCTGTATTCATTTTTTCTTGATTTTGGAAATTTTCTAAAGAGCATTCGTTCTTTTGTTCCCTTGTTAAAACTCTCAAATTTTGATCCATGGAGTAGTATAAATAGGAAAAAAAAAGTTAAGGTTTTATAAAACCCTATCCAGATATCTATCTAGAGATATCTATTATACAGATAATATAATATCTATATCATAAAGCTAGATATGTATCTATCTACCTACCTAGTGTATATGATACATATCTAGTAATATGTGTAGTGTTTTATCCTAGGAACTTCAAGGACACAAATAGATATCTCTTGCTCTCAAGGAAATAAAAAGATAAATCACAATAAATGGTAGTATACACTACATACTAAATTAATGGTGAAGGCAAGAGCAGTACTGGTCAATAGGTAGCCCACAAGTTGGAGCCAGTCTCCAAACTGTTCCAATCTGAGATGGCATAAATACGGCATTAAGAATAGGCATTTAGGCCAGGCGCGGTGGCTCACGCCTGTAATCCCAGCACTTTGGGATGCCGAGGCGGGCAGATCACGAGGTCAGAATATCGAGACCATCCTGGCTAACACAGTGAAACCCCGTCTCTACTAAAAATACAAAAAATAGCCGGGCGT
Organism: Homo sapiens; assembly: GCF_000001405.40. Lineage (NCBI taxonomy): Eukaryota > Metazoa > Chordata > Mammalia > Primates > Hominidae > Homo > Homo sapiens. The sequence goes on along the minus strand of NC_000012.12, from coordinate 103,041,221 downwards.
GGTGGTGGGCGCCTGTAGTCCCAGCTACTCGGGAGGCTGAGGCAGGAGAATGGCGTGAACCCGGGAGGCGGAGCTTGCAGTGAGCCGAGATCGCGCCACTGCACTCCAGCCTGGGCGACGGAGCGAGACTCCTTCTTAAAAAAAAAAAAGAATAGGCATTTAGAAATTTTTAAAGAAATGTGACAGAGTGATTTTATGCTTGTTGAGTGCAATAATTAAACATGTGACCTTGTATTTTGTATGGCTTTGTTTTTTAAAATTTCTTTATTTTAGTATAACATTTCTTTTATTTAGTAGTATTTCTTGATTTTATTTTTATTATAACTTGCAAAAATGTAACTTTGTGAGTGGTTATTTAAAGAAAATAAGTGTGGCCCTTCACGCTGAGCAATACTGAGACAGGGATATGAAGAATATATAATATGTATATGTGTGCATATATGTGTGTGTACATGCACACAGATATGGCTAAGTATCCTCTCAACAGAAGAATAGAGAAATACCTTATGGAAGACCATTCATATGGATTCCCCTTGTCTTCAGTTATTGTCAGAAAAGGAAGAGCTCTTCCTTGGAAAAGCCCTTACCTCTTCTGCCTGTCTCAGAGGAAAGTTTCTTCTGTCTTTATACCTTTAGAAATGGTTATCTCTAGTGTCATTGAATCTTGAAGTTATTCAATCTTCAGGGTTTAGTACCAAAGAATGAAAATCACATTTCCTGCTAAAATACAAATGTCTTGCAAAAACCTTAAGAAAAATAAAGCAGAAAAAAATGCAAAAAATTTGAAAGATATACTGTCAAAGTATATTATATAATTTTCAGACTTACTTGGATAGAGAAATTACTCAAAGGGCTAATTCCTGTTTTCATATTTGCATGGCAAACTTCCTATAAAGCAAAAAAAAATGACTAAAGGACTGAATCCTTATGGGATATAAAAGCTATATATTATAAATGTATTTTATTAAATTACATATATTATCTAAATGTATAATGTAAATTTTAATATTAAGATACAATTATATAATTTTATAGACTATTAATAGTGATTTGAGCATAGACTTATAAAATTTTTGAAATAGTTGAAAGATGTATTTAAGGTTTTGCCAGGCATTTTACAGAATGCATTACATAGAAATATTGTGAATGGTACTATAGAAGAAAAAAGATTTATGTGCTCAAATAAATTTGGATAGCTTTGAGTTAAATTAAGTTACTACTGCTGGATTTTTCAGAGTCTTTGTTAATATTTCATAAACAAGAGGTCCCTGCATTTTCATTTTCACTGAGCCTCATAATATATATAGCCAGACCTGCTAGGAAGATTTAACTGTGAAAGTAACTTTTGCACAAAAACCTAAAGAACATAGCAGGGAGACTGTGTCTGGGCAAAGAATATTTTAGGTAGAAGAAAAAGCAAGTGCAAAGTCCCTGAAGTGGAAGCATGTCCAATGTCTTCTAGGAACAGCTAAGAGGACTAAAGAAAAATGAGCAAGGAGGAAAATAGCAGCTAAGGTCACAGTAGTATGAAGTTGGGGAAGAGGAGACTGGGAATAGCGCAGGGCCCTGGAGGCTATTGTAAAGACTTTTAGCTTTTCTCTAAGATGCAAACTTGTAAGAGGAAGTTTTGAAGAGAAGAGACATGATCTGACTTACCTTTTAACAGGCTCACCTTTACTATATGCTTGAGAACATATTTCAGCAGGGGTATGAGGGTGGGGGATAGGCAGGGACATTAAAGCCAAAGCCAGGAGAGACCACTTAGGAGATCACTGCAATAATCCAAGCAAGAGAGGATGGAGGCTTGAACCAGGGATGTAGCAGTGGAATTGGTGAGATACTGTCTAATTCTGAATTGATTCTGAAAGGAGCACAATCTATGCTGAAAGATTGGCTGGGGGGGGTGTGAGAGAAGGTGAAGATGACTGCAGAATTTTTGTCTTGCTACAGTGGGAGGAATGGAATTGCCATTAAGTGTGGTAGGGAAACATGTAGGAGGAGTGAGTTTAGAGAAATGATTAGGGTTTCATTTTGGACACATTAAGTTTGAAAATACAGAATAAACACAAGGAAAGAGGCATCCAAAGCTCAGAGGAGATGTCGTGGCTGAAACATGATTTTGAAAGCAGTCCATTTAATAGACGGTATTTAAATCATGGATTGGGTGAGATTCCCAAGGGAGGAAAATTGGTAGAGAAAAGGCATGACACAAATCTGAGCCTTGGGATATTCCGAAGCAAGGTAACCAGGCAGATGAGAAAATACTTGCAAAAGAAGCTAAGAATATGCAGGATACCAAGGATTTGCATCTTTTCAACAATTATCACCCTCGCTCGATATCCATTATACTGTTTTCATATTGTAGGATTTATAAAGCTTTCATAGCATAATACAGATATTTAGAAAATCTTGGCTCACAGCAAGTATTCAATACAGTATAGATATTTATTATTAATACTTAAGGATTACTGCCTTCATTTCACCAATGAGAAAACAGTTTAGTAATAGAAGTTCCCTTAGCTAATAACTGACAGAACCAGAGTCGCACGCAAGTCCTTCTGTCTCCAAAAATCTGTGCTTTTCTCCACTACTTATCCTATATGACTTTTGCTTTCAAATATTTTTACCTAAACCAACTACATAATAAAATTTAGAATTCATAATCTCCAAGCACTTATTGAGCACTTTAATATCCAAGAAACAGATTGGAATGGAAATAGTTAGTGCTATCATTTACTGAGCACTTAATACGTGGCAAGCCTTGTATTATTTAATATTCACAATAGCCCTGTGAAATATAATAGAGTATTATAACCCCTTTTTACAAATGAAGAACAAGAGTTTTGAAGTAATTAAATAAGTGTATCTAGAGACATGTGCTTAGAGTGCAAAAGAGGATGATCATTAGGGTGACATGTGTGGCCCTTTGCAGGTGTGTGGTTTCAAGTTTGGATCTTGGTGATCCTCAATTTTGGTATTTAGCATTTACCAATTCACCTGGAGATAAGAGCTGTTGGCCAAAACTTCTTAAGAAAGGCACGCCGGCAGAGAGAGAGCTTACATGTTATCAAGAATTCTCCCTGGCATTTTTCTCCTCCTTCTTTCCTCCTGTCCTCCCTTTCTTCCTTTTTTCTTTCTTCTCTTCCAGAGAGATGTCCTAAATTCAGATTCAAGGCAGCTTTGTGCAGGGTTAGAGAAAGCTACAAGGTGACTCACCTCAGGGTTTATATAAGACAAACACAAATGACTCCACCAGAAGTAGCAGTGGAGTTTCAAGTGTTCCTTTGTTTAGTCAACTTTCTGTGTAAAATTGTGCAATTTGCCTTTGTCCCTACAGACCCCTGTTATAACCTCCACTGCATTGTATTGCAACTTATCTATTCATATGACCATCTGTACTACACTGGTCTTAAGGGTAGGGACTTAAGGGTTGGGACTAGATCTTCAACAATTGAAATCATACAGAATGTTTATTTTTGAAAAAAAAAAAAGGTGATGAATCCAGTAAACAGATAATACAAGTTAAGAGAATGGGGTCTGAAGATGACAGGATGCCAAGCATTCAAACTCGGTTCTGTGGCTTATCAGCTTTACGACCATAGACAAAGTATTTAACTTCCCTGCCCCTCAGTTTACACATCTGTAAAAGAGAGATAATAGAGCCTCTTTCTCGATATTTTTTTGAGAGGATTAAACATGTAGCCCTTGATATGTGTAGTAAATGATGCTGTTCTCTCTTTCTGAAACACTGTTCCCCCAGATAGCTGCAAACAAATTCCCTTATCTCCTTCAACAATCTGCTTGGATGTGATCTTTTCAATGAGCCATACCCCAATCACCCTACCTAAAATTGCAATGCCCTCCACCCCTACTTGCCCTCCCAATTCTCATTACCCTATTCTGATTTACTTTTTTTACAGCACTTATCATCTTCTAACACACTACCTAATCCATTTATTCATTCTGTGATACTGAGATATAAATTTGATATTTGAGACTTACAGAAATTTCAGTTTAAAACAGTTTATGTCTGATTACCTGTTTAAGGACTTACTAAAGTGTGACATTAGCATGCAAAGACTGAGGCTGGCTTCATCTGAAATAAGTTCTTCAACACTAAACCTTCTAAATATTTGTTCCTGTAAATCAAAAAGACTATTTCCCAAGAGGTTTGTGTGCAGGTTTATTTGGAAACATTAGTCCCCAAAATTCCAGCTAGCCTGCCACCTTGTGTCATGGTTGACTAGCTCCTATATTATCTGAAAATAATAACCATAAACTCTGGGAAAAAATATAAAAAACAATACCTGAAGGCACTGAAAAACCACGCAAATCAGGCAAATTTTGGTGGGGGATTGACAGTTGAAAAAAGGAAATGGCATTTGGTGAGTGCTTGCTTTGAAGGCAAGTCATAGTGTTACTGGCTTGAAGAACTAGGAAACAGATTTCTGAGCAATTACTGCAACTGGAAGGTGAAGGGGGATTCCATGTATGAGGAGAGCAGAGAATGGAGCCCTGAATTCTGCATATAAACTCTGAAGAAATCTCTAGTCTACTTCTAAAATATGCATGTGGCAGGCAAACTCTAAAGAGCACATCCAAGGCTAAAATTTCAGCTGCTGCTCACTGCAGGGCAACAAAAGTTTGCAATTTGAGCTCAGTTCAGTTAACTGCTTAACAAACCAAACAGAAATCAATATTCTTCAGAGAAATATAACACCATCCAGAGCCTAGACAATGTATCATTAACAATTTCCAGAATCTAGTTAAAAATTATTTGGCATTTAAAATATAGGAAAATTTTGACCCTTAGTGAAGAGAAAACCAGTGGATATTGACTCTGAGATTACTCAGATTTTGTAATTATTACACAACAATTTTAAAACAGCTATTATACTCACAATCAACTAAAAGTCAAAATCTCAGCAAAGAAATCAAAACTCTCAAATTCAAATGGAAATTTTATAACCTAAAAATATAATGTATGCAATAAAAAGCCACTGCATGGGTTTGACTCAGATTAAAGATGAAAAAAAAATCAATTAACTTAAAGATAAATCAGTGGAAATTTCCAAAATGAAGAACTGAGATTAAAAGGTTTTGAAAATGAACAAAATCTCAGAGAACTGTAAGGCAATATCAAAAGGTTTAACATACATGTAATTGAAGTCCCAGAGGAAAAGAAGGATGGAACAGGACATAACATATTTTACATATATAGTGGTTGAAGTTTTTCCAACTTTGGGGAAAGGCACAAATTTACAGAGTCACGAAACTCAGCAAACACTAAGCAGAATAAATGAAAGGAAAATTATATCTAAAGTCATTATTGTCATACTGATGAAAACCAAAACTAAGGAGAATATCTTGAAGGAAGCCAGATGACAATGACACATTTCAAACAAAGAACATTGTGTAATTTGAATTCAAATGGCCATTGACTTCTCACCAGAAATAATGAAGACCAGGAGACAGCAGAACACCTTTAAAGTACTAGCAAAGAAATCAAACAAAAATTTCATATCTACCAAAAATATTCTTCAAGAGTTAGGGCAAAATAAAGGCATTTTCAGACAAAAGAAAACTAAGAGAATATACAGGAGGCACACCTGTACTACATAAATGCTAAAGAAAATTCTTCAGGGTTTAGGAAATAATTAAGAAGACTGAAAACAGTAAATTTGGGGGTAAATATAAAACACTTGTTTTTACTTTTAAATTATTTAAAAATAACATACGACTAATCCCAAAATTATAACATTGTCATTAGAGTTGGTAGCATATGTACTGTATTATAGTACCATAACTACCATAAAGCATGACAGGAAAAATAAATGTCTCTTTATGGTTGTACACATTCCACAAAAAGGCACAACATTAACTCATAGTAGACTGTAAAAAGTTAAGGATATATATTGTAATTCACAGTGAACAATAAAAAATAATGCAAAGAGATATAAGTTTAAAGCCAATGAATGAATTAAAATGGGATTCCAAAAACTACAATTAATTCAAAGAAGTCAGGATAGAAGGAACAGATATGAAAAACAGAGGAACAAAACAGAAAAAAAAACCAGTAAGATGGCAAACTAAATCTAACTATATCAATAATAATTTAAATATTAATCAGCTAAACACTTCAATTAAAAGGCAAAAACAGTAAAAATAAATTTTAAAAGACTCAACTACTGAATTTTAGATATAAAAATGTAAATATGTTTAAAATAAAAAGATGGAAATAAGTACACTATGCTAACAATAAGCATCAGAAGACAGAAAGGGCTATATCAAACACCCCAACTAGAATCCTTTTACACACTCCAGAACTGGCTTGGAATAGCAATCTTGGTTTTCTGAACAAACATTTCTTTGGTGTATTACTTGAGCTTCTCCAGAGAAAGAATTAATAGGATGGTTTTATGTAGAAAGAAAGCAATTCATTGCCAGGAACTGACTCACATAATTACGGGGGCTGGCAAGTCCAAATCTGCAGTGTGAACCAGCAAGCTAGAAACCCAGGAGAGCCGATGGTGCAGTTCCAGTCCAAAGGCTGGCAGGCAGAGACCCAGGAGAGCCAATGGCATAAGAGAAGTCTGAAGGCAGTCTACTGCAGAATTATCTCTTAATCTTGGAGGCTAGTCTTATTGTTCTATTCAGGGTTTCAGCTAACTGGATGAGACCCACCCATATTATGGAGGACAATCAGCTTCCTCAAAGTTCACTGATTTAAATGGTAATCTCACCCAAAAACACCCTCTGAGTTGACACATGAGATCAACCTTCAAATCTAGTAACCTACATCTTCACTGTTTTGTTCAAGAGTCTGGTTGTTACCTGGCCACAATATTTGCCTTGCTCCTAAGTTTGATGTTGGTGTTAAGGAAAAGAATTCTGGAGCCAGTCACTCCTGAGTTTAAATTCTGATACCTCAGGAGTTTGAGCAAGTTTATTAAGCTCTTTGAGACACATTTGCTTCATCAGTATAATTCCAATCAAAATGTTGTTGAGATATGCAGCTGCTAAAAAGATTAAAATATCTAATACACCTACCACCACAATGTGTGTCACATGAAAGACACTAAACAAGTGTTACGTCTTTTCCCTCCTTATTTCCCATTTTCTATAATTTTAAAATGCCAAGAATATTATCTTTAAATGCTTGTCCTTTATCTTATTCAAGGTTTATTTAGTTGTAAGCTAATAAAAACTTGTTGAAATTAGCTCAACTGAAAAAAAAAGTGTGAGAAGTGAGGAGCATTATAGTGTTATATGAGGCACTCTCATACATTTCTTTAGCAAGAAAATTAGGGCTAGGCACAGAGGCTCACGCCTATAATCCCAGCACTTTGGGAGGCTGAGACGGTTGGATCACCTGAGGTCAGGAGGTCGAGACCAGCCTGATCAATGTGGAGAAACCCCGTCTCTACTAAAAATACAAAATTAGCTGGGCGTGGCGTCGCATGCCTATAATCCTAGCTACTCGGGAGCCTGAGGCAGGAGAATCACTTGAACCCAGGAGGTGGAGGTTGCAGTGAGCCAAGATCACGCCATTGCACTCTAGCCTAGGCAACATGAGTGAAACTCTGTCTCAGAAAAAAAAAAAAAAAAAAGGAAATTAGGTTCAACTGAGACTCATCAGGAAAAAACTGGGAACTGGACTCAGCATTTGTGGATGTCTGCCCACCATTAATTTCTCTGTGGAGTAACTGCCTTTTGCTTCTTCTTCACTCATCACTTCTGCCCCTTCCTCAATTCGGTTTGCTTTTAGTTTTGCCTCTCAATAGGATTGGCCCTATGCTAGATGCCATGATCTTAGCACTTTCAAGAGTGAAAATTTAGTTGGCTGTGGGCCAGCCAATAGATTTTCTAACATTGATTCAAGAATCTGTCCTGGTCCAAGCAGGGACATGACATAGTACAAACATGGTTGCTTAGTTTTACCTGCCTGTGAAGAGAAAAGAGACTTCTATAGTAGGACACACCTTAAAGCGATGTTGACCATTGCCCCATGTCTTAGTTTGGGCTGCCATAATGAAATACCATAGACAGAGTGACTTAACAAACATTTATTTCTCACAGTTCTGGAGGCTGAGAAGTCAAAGTTCCAAGTGCTGGCAGATTCAGTTTTGGGTGAGAGTCCTCTTCCTGGTTTGCATAGAGCCATCTTCTTCTTATGTTTTCACTAGGCCTTTTCTTGGTATCTGCACAAGGTGGTGAGGTGGCTGGGAGAAGAAGGAGACAGAGAGAGAGATCTCCTGTCTCTCCTTCTTTTTATAAGAGCATTAATTCCATCATAAATGCCCCATCCTCATGACCTAATCCAATCCTAGATAGTTCCTTAAGGTCCCATCTCCAAATACCATCACTTGGGGGTTAAAGCTTCTTTGTATGAATTTTGGAGGGAAATGAACATTCAGTCTTTAATATTTCATCTCCCTCACTTTCCACCCTACAAATACTGGTAATTTTCTTTACATTGAAAAGGGATAAGTAGTCTTTACTCCCCTGAAGACGTTTTCTTCTCCTTATACACCTTCTAGAGAAGAAACTATTTTCTCCAGAGAACTGTTTTATTTCCTCAAGCTGAGATAACTTCAGTTTATTGATCTTTTTTTAATAAGACATCTTTAAAAATATGTAAGCTGACATTCTCCCAAGAGACAGAGCCTGTATGTTTACTTTCTTACTTAATGCTTTGCCATATAATTTAATTATGTCATGTTCTCGTTGCTACACGTAATCTCAGGGGGCCTGAGAAATCAGCCTGTGGTGAATGTTTTGCATGCTAAGCATCCACTCCAATGCTGGCTATACAAAATAACCACTCCAAGATGTTTATGGCCACAGTGACAAAATCAAATGGAGATTAGAGAAACTAGCTAGTACATTTTAGCAATTTTAGTAGCCATCCCAGGTATTTAGAACAAGAACAATATTCATTTTTCTGCAAACGTTTGTCTTTTGGGCTAAATTGTTCATGTTGTAGTTTTGTATCTTTCCTTTGCTTGATGAACACACCTATTTTCTCTTAAGCCACAGAGCATATTGGCTTGGCAGCTTAGTGATTTTTCAACTTTGGCCAAACATTTTTACTGGTAAGAAAAATTTCATGGGCAAAATTATTTATTCTAGAGTACTCAAGGCCAAAATTGAATCTGACAGTTTACCGTATGAGACCAAAGGTTAGATGAAAAAGATCCACACACTATGCAAATACATTTTTAGTGTTTTTATATTACCTTCATAAAACTTGACCTCCTCTGCGTTAAGTAATGTGCTTGGGTTTGAGATAGGTTAATTCAATTAGAGCTCCACTTTTTTTTCTGAAGACATCTGAAGAGCTCACTCGGAGTGACCAAACAGTGATGTGTTATTGACACTGCTATGCGGCAGCATAATCAGACTTCTTTATCAATCTTTTCTTGGGCCCTGAGCTAACTTAGAGACTGAGTTATCTCTGGCCCTCAGAACCAGATGGTAAGTTCCTGTGAAGTTGGAGAAAATTGCTTCCAGTCATTATTGGAAAGTTATCTCCACACCTGCCACAGCCTATGTAGCAGGTAGATAAATTTAAAAAAAGAGAGAGAGCGAGAACATGCCACGTTCCTCTCACCAACCCACAGCCCCAGACAAACACTCTATACCGGAATAAAATCCAGCACGAGATGTAGAAGTTATTGCCACCTTTGCTTACAAGTCCCATTTGACCCCAAATCTCTCAAATACTCTCTATATTTTAAATAAGAAAAGTTGGGTTAGCTATCACTTTCCATCCAGGTTCTTAAATAAGTCTTTTCTTCTTGTTGGCATTATGAAATGGTACATTCAAAGACAGAGAAGAATAGGAAAACTCTCATGTGTAGGTTTACCAGAGTATTATTAAAAAGAAGGAATTGCGTTTCATCAAAGGTTGAGATTAACAATGCTGTATAATGTTTCTGAAAGGAATAATGAAAGGTGTGACCAGAGTTTTATTTATTGCACTGATGGGATTTTTTACTTGTGTGTATATGTTAATGTATACACACACAGATGATATGTAAGTAATACATAGATTCTGTATATTCTAACTGCCTCTTGGGGATATTAAGAGAATGAGTCCTTCATTTTCTCAACTAATAACAGCATTTGATTGAAGGCATACAAAAATGGAGAAGATATGGCCTTGTTTCTAAAGGAATTTATTTTGAAAAAATGATTAAGTCATATATTGATGTGGATAGTACCTTATATTATTTAAGGAAGTTGACATTGTGTTAATATGTTTCCATAATTTGTAGGCCATTTTTCAACAAGAAATGCTAAACACAGGCATTTTTTTTTTTCAGAATTATTGAGGAGGTGGTTTGTAGCAAAGATGTATGTTGAGCTGGCATTTTTCATAGCTCTAGCTATAGCATTTTGTCATTTTTAACAAGAATGCCCTTCATCATTTTACTTTGGCTATATTAAATTAATAAGAAAAAGGTACTAGAAGCATGAGAGAACCTGGGCTTTCAAGCCAGTGAGACTTGCAGTTGACTCTAGTTTCACCCATGAATCGTTGGGTGGCTTTGGGAAAATCACATAAACTCTTTGACCTTTATTGTCCTTGTCTGTTGAATAGGGATAACAATCTCTAATTCTGAAGGTTTTTCATAAGACTTACATAAGATAACTTGTTTAAAGATCACTGAGGGAGATAAGTGGTTCTACTGATTTCAAAAATATAGTGGTCATATTTGCTCCATATAAAACCTGGTCAATTTCACATGACAAATTAATCGAAGACCTCAGACCAATTGACACTTTTCCAAGACTAAATTTAAAGAATCACCTTTATGGAATTAAAAAAAAATAAAGCCACATATGAATGCCCCAGGAGAATTTTGCCACATTGAATAAATAAGTTTAAAAAGTTGTCTATATGACATCCTTCTCAGTCTGTTAGGGAAAAACAAAATGTTAAATCTAACAAGGGGATGAGGACTCCAGGCTGCTACTTTTTTTTTCCTAAGAAGTATAGCTCTTAATCAGAGTGCATTCTCCATTCAAAATAATCTGTGAAGATTGGCATGAAAATGCAGATTCCTAATTGAACAAAGACAATTATTTCCAGATTGAAGTACACTGGTGAATAGCTCTGTGCTCCAATTATCGTTAGACTTTTATTTCAAATAGAAGGCTGAAATCACAGACGTGTTAGCCTTAATTGGAAGAAATGGCTGAAATTGTACTTTTAATACTGTACTGTACCATCATATATGTAGGTCATCTTTTTTCACATATACATGATGGTGCCCTGTTTACACGTCCATTTGGGACAGCAAGCTGAAATGGCAGGAGGAATAGCCTTTCTCAAAAGAGGTAAAAGCACTCAAGAGTTAAACAGAGCCATAAAACTGTAGAGCTTTTAAATAAAGGAACTGAAAAGCACATTACTTACGATAGCTATGTGTGTTAAATCAGAGCCTAACATGAAATCCTAAGTTGAGATAATGTCAGTTCAGGAAATATTTTCCTTCATTTTGACTAGTCAGTCTTTCATAATACATCCACTTAAAAGCTATTTCAGGAGGTAGCTCAAACATGAATATATTAGCCTAAAAGATCAGGGCAGAGTTAACAGATTAAGAAAAAATGATTAAAAGAAATGCTTAAGGAATTCAAAGTATACAGAAAATCTGTTCTTCGCAAACAAACTGGCAATAAAAGAGAGCCTGCAGTAGGGTTGAGTTGAAGAAACTGGCTTGTGAGGGATGAGGGCGTAGAAACAGTATTAGTCATGACTCGTCCTGAGGTTCTTTTACTCCAGCTGGGGACATCAGACTCAGACACGTGAAGCCATGTCACCAACCCAGGAATCATTTGCATTTGTGTAGTAGTTTCTAGTGGATCTCACCCACTGAGTTTCATTTAATCCTCATCCCTGCAAGTTAGGCATAGAGGATACAATCATCTCTTTTTTACAAATGGAGAGACTGAGGTCCAGATACTTGCTTCAGGTTACAGAGTGAATGAGTGCAGAGCAGCTAGGATTAGGCAAAGCCTTTGGTTAATAATAACAAACCCAAAGCTATAAAATGTCACCGGAGGAATTGTCAATGACTTCAATATCTTAGTGTGGGGAATTCAACATGTCACTGCTTGTCAAGCCATGGAAACCACAACAAAAACATCTGTGCTGTCTGTCTTCTTATATTCATTAGTTTTCACAATTAGCAAGTGACATGTTTGGCTGTGTCCCCACCCAAATCTCATCTTAAATTGTAGCTCCCATAATTTCCACATGTTGTGGGAAGGACCCAATGGGAGATAATCGAATCATGGGGGAATTTTCCCCCATACTGTTCTCCTGGTAGTGAATAAGTCTCAAGAGATTATTCTTTATAAATTACCTAGTCTCAGGTATTTTTGTTATAGCAGCAAAAACAGAAAAAGACACAAGGCATAAGGTGTTTGGGAAAATTATTTAACCTTTCCAAGACTCAGTTTTCCCATGTGAAAGATGGCACATTACTCAGTGGGGTGTAATAAAGATTAAAGAGATATATTTAGAATAATTTTTGTCACATAGTAAGAGCCCCTGTATAGCTGTATTTATTATTATTGTTACTACTTAATTTTTTTTTTTTTTTTTTTTTGCTGTTGACTAGAGAGAACAATTGGGCATGCTAGTCGAGGTCCCAAGAACCTCAGCAGAGAGAAAAACAGAACTACTAAGCTTAAGGCTGATGAGAGAGGCCAAGTGTGTCAGGTTTTGTCCTTTGAGAAGCAGATACCAAAATGGAATTCAAAGTGCAAGAGATTTACTGGGGGGAAGCACCTATGAAGGATAAAGCTAAATGGGTTGGAAGACCTTCTGATCACAATGCAAGTGTGATGTCTGTGAAGGGAGGGAGAGAGGGGATAAAACAAAACAAGGTTGAAACAGCCTCAGTCTGCAGTGCAGCTCTGAGTAAGGCTCAGTCCAGAGCAAAGATTGCCTGTTTGAGGAGCCACACATTAGGTAGAGAGGCCCAGCTCCAGAGCCTTCATTGGCCACAGCCTCAGTGAGAACACTACTGCAGTGGATCTCGGAGGTGCAGCAGCTGGAGGCTGTCAGCTAACTACACTCCTCACAGCAGGTTCTGTTTTGCAGGGAGATCAAACCATCAATAAGTATCTGATGGCTTTATAAGGGGAAATCCCTTTTGCTTGACTCTCATTTTCTCTCTTGTCTGCTACCATGTAAGATGCGTCTTTGCCTTCTGCCAGTAGTGTGAGGCCTCCCGAGCCACTGGAACTGTAAGTCCATTAAACCTCTTTTTCTTTATAAATTACCCAGTCTTGGGTATGACTTTATCAGCTGTGTGAGAACGGACTAATACAGCAAGGTATTTATTGTCATCTCTATTTTACAGATATGGAAAACAGGGCTTACAAATGATAAATGACTTTTCCAAAGTCATACAACTAGTAAGTGCTGGAGTTAGACCCCAAACCCAGACTCACTGACTCCAAATGCTGCGCTTTTTTTCTCTTCCTTCACCAGGGGATGCCCTGGGTTTTACCTCCATGCTTCCTGCTGCTATTTACAGAATGTATTCATTCACCCAACAAAATTCACAGCTGTGGACAAAAACCCAAATCCCTACCCCTATGGAGCCTACATTCTAGCAGGAGACACAGATGATACACAAAATTAAGTAAAAAGATACTGTATGTTTGATGGTGGTAAGTGCTCTAGAGAAAAATAAAGCTAAAAAGAATTTGATAGGACCAGGGAAGTTGCAACTTTAAATCAGGTGGATTGTTGAGGCTTCACTGAAGGTGGCATTTGAGCAAAGACCTGAAGGAGATGAGGGAATAAATTCTGCTATCATCCGCATATCAGGCAGAGGGAGTGGTAAGTAACCCTGAGCCGGAAGCTTTTCTTGCTTGTTCAAGGAATAACACAGCAGCTAATGGGTCTGGGGCTGGGTAGGCAAAGAGTGAGGTAATAAGAGAAGAGGGCCATGGGCAATGGGAGGTCACACAAAACCAGGCTATTACAAGGATTTTTCTGAGTGAAATGGAAGTTTGTGAAGGGTTTTGAGTAAAGTATATTATCATCTGACATATCAAAACGACAGCTCTGGATGTCATGCTGAAAATAGACTGAACAATGGGTCCAGCACAGAAGCAGAGACAATCATTTAGGAGGCAGATAATAAAAATAACTAATAAAATAAAAATAGGCCAAAGATTATATTGGCTTAGGCTAGGGAGGTAGTGAGAAATGGTCAGAAGGAGGAGAAATCAGGCTGGCTCTGCTCCTGTTTCAGCCTGTTTGCCTTGCAGGTTGCCAAGTACCTTGGAGATGTCAAGTAGGAAAAAGCCCTCCAAGGAAAATGATCCTAGGATTGGCATGCAGCCATGGGAGCGTGGTGCTCAGATCTCCCTGCAAAACAGAACCTGCAGCGAGGAGTGTAGTTAGCTGACAGCCTCCAGCTGCTGCACCTCCGAGATCCACTGCAGTAGTGTTCTCACTGAGGCTGTGGCCAATGAAGGCTCTGGAGCTGGGCCTCTCTACCTAATGTGTGGCTCCTCAAACAGGCAATCTTTGCTCTGGGCTGAGCCTTACTCAGAGCTGCACTGCAGACTGAGGCTGTTTCAACCTTGTTTTGTTTTATCCCCTCTCTCCCTCCCTTCACAGACATCACACTTGCATTGTGATCAGAAGGTCTTCCAACCCATTTAGCTTTATCCTTCATAGGTGCTTCCCCCAAGTAAATCTCTTGCACTTTGAATTCCATTTTGGTATCTGCTTCTCAAAGGACAAAACCTGACACACTTGGCCTCTCTCATCAGCCTTAAGCTTAGTAGTTCTGTTTTTCTCTCTGCTGAGGTTCTTGGGACCTCGACTAGCATGCCCAATTGTTCTCTCTAGTCAACAGCAAAAAAAAAAAAAAAAAAAAAAAAAAAAAAATTAAGTAGTAACAATAATAATAAATACAGCTATACAGGGGCTCTTACTATGTGACAAAAATTATTCTAAATATATCTCTTTAATCTTTATTACACCCCACTGAGTAATGTGCCATCTTTCACATGGGTAAACTGAGTCTTGGAAAGGTTAAATAATTTTCCCAAACACCTTATGCCTTGTGTCTTTTTCTGTTTTTGCTGCTATAACAAAAATACCTGAGACTGGGTAATTTATAAAGAATGGAAATTTATTCCTCAAAGTTATGGAGATTGACACTCCGAGATCAAGGCATCTGTAGATTTGATGGCCTGGTAAGGGCTGCTCTCTACTTTCAAGATGGTGCCTTGTTACAGCTTCATCCTCCAGATGGGAGAAACACTGTGTCCTTACATGGTGGAAGGCAGAAGGGAAAGCTAGTCGAATGCTGCCGCATGAAGCCTTTTTATATATATATAAAGGTCTTAATCCCATTCTCAAAGGAGGAGCTCCCACAGCCTAATCACCTCTTCAAGGTTCTACTTCATCATACTTCACATTGGCAACATCTGAATTTTGGAGGGGACACATTCAAACCACAGCAGCTGGTAAGTGAAGGAACTGTCATTGAACTTGGGCTATGTAGATATAAAAGCTATACTCTTGCTACTACACTAATCTCAGGCGAAGGTCCTCCCACTGCCTGGTCCATTAGCTTTCTGCTGCTTGGCTATTTGATACTAGTTTCCAAATATCACCATAAGATTTTGACCAGACTTCTCTTGGTGCTGAGCAAGAAGCTAGGGTGCCTCCCCTGTGATTAGACTTCCCACAACTTCCCAGGCCTTGCAATTACACTTCTCCAGAACAGAATTGTTTTCATTTCTTGGCAAATATTGATCTTACTACCTGGCTAGTGTCTTTGTTACCACAGTTCCTCACTAGTCTTTTATTAATTTTAAGTGACAATTATTTCACAACTCTCATGAGGTGAGGAAAAGAGCCCTGAATTGGCATCAGAAAACCTGAGTTTTTGTCCCAGCTTCAATACTATGACAGTTTAAGATGTTTTCAGCTGAGAATCACAAAACTCTATCAGAACTAGCTAAGGCAAAGGGAGAAGTATTTGCCATCTAAACTAGGAACCCCAAATGGTGACTTTAATTGCAAACACAACTGTATCCAGGGATTCAAACTACAGCATTAGGACTCTCTCTCCCTGCATGTATCAGCCCTGTCTGCCACTGTCTTGGCTTTATTCTTGGTAGACTCATTTTATTTGACAGTAAAAATGGCTCCCCCCAACTCCTATATTTTTCTTAACACTAGAAATCACATATGTGGATAAACTTGCTTGGCATCCATATAAATCCCTAAGTGAGGATGTTGTTGGCCCTGTTTGGGACAGGTGCTTGACGATGAACTCATTACTGGGTCCAGGATGATGATATATTTAGAAGGGCCAGCCTGGGTCAGCAGTGCATTTCTGCAGCAGGCAATGAGGGACCAAATGATTAAGCAATGTATCAGTGGGAGACATTTATTCCTGCATTGAAAAGGAAAAAAGATGCTGGGCAAGTAGATGTAACAACTATCCACAACAGCCCCTTAAATCTTCCAAAAATAAAGCACATTCATGCCCCTTCCCAAGGCAGCCAACCCAAAGCCTCATCTATTTACCCCATCTAGCTCAAAGTTCCAGTCTTCTGGTTAGATGTGCAACCTTCTTCATCAAGACCAGATGTGGCTGCTGGTAAACAAGTTAAAGCAAAAGCAAGTTATCTGAACTTATGTAAGCCCCCCCACCAACACACACACAAAACACTCAGTACAGGTTGAGCATCCATAATCCAAAAATCTAAAATCCAAAATGCTCCAAAATCAACTTTTTGTGCACCTACATGATGCCATAAGTAGGCAATTCCACATCTAATTTTATGCGATGGGTCATAGTCAAAATGCAGTCAAAACTTTGTTTCATGCACAAAATTATTTAAAATATTGTATAAAATAAACTTTAGGCTATGCATATAAGGTATATATAAAAAATAAATTAGTTTTGTATTTAGGGTTGGTTCTATTCCTCAAGATATCTCATTATGTATATGCTAATTTCCCCAAATCCAAAAGAATTCAAAACCTGAAACACTTCTGGTCCCAAGCATTTTAAATAAGGCATATTCAACCTCTATATAATGTGAAATAAGGCAGGCTACTAGCAATAAAAAGCCTCCATTCAAGACAGAAAAGAATGGTAAACTAACTGCCTGTAGTTCTTAGCAATGATGAAACCCTTGACCTACTAGTACAGGAGGCTCCTTGATTTGACCCTAAATCTATGTTCTAGGATCTACTTGCTTTGGGTCAGTTCTGCAAGCCAGTAACCAAAATCAAAATTCTTTCCTAAACATGGTCTTAAATTCTGCTTTATTATTTATTTTGTCCCTCTGTACCTCTCTTTCCCTCTCAACTTAGTATTGGCTAACTGGAGGCCATCTCAAGCAGTAGGCATGTCTAGGAAGACAGCAAACTTAATCTGAATTCCACCACAATTCTTGTTAATTGAAAAATCTCTGGGGGCCTTTGTTATTCAACATCTTCTCACTGATATTTCCTGCGCTTTGGGATCCAGAAGTAAATAACTCTTCATCCCTATGTGCTCCATATTTCTGGACTGTCTCTGTTCCCTTTCTTTTCTTTGCAATGCTTGCCTGAGGAGCATCTCTTTCTTGGAGCTCTTGTAATATATCCAGAATCAACCAACACACACTAACATCGAGCACTTCCAAATTTTTGCCCAGAGCAATAGACTCCAAAGGTACTTCTGCCTTCTAATTGCTGCAGGCAACCATTTCAGCAAGCATTTTTCTTCAGCATCTGGGATATCTGATCTGGCCGCTCTGTTTCCTCGCCATCTGAAAACCAAATGCTAAGCCATTGCCATATATTTTAGATTTTTATTATAACAGCACACCACTTCAAGTATTAGTAGGGTAAGCTATGCTGCTGTAATATATATATATATATATATATATATATATATATATATATATATATATAAAATATATAAAATATATGTTCACTGTGTAACTATGAGTAGATTATAGAAATATATATAACCATTATATATTATATATATCATATATATTATATATTATATATATCATATATATTATATATATTATATATTTTATATATATTATATATTATATATATTATATATTATATATATTATATATATTATATATTATATATATTATATATATTATATATTATATATATTATATATTATATATATTATATATATTATATATTATATATTATATATATTATATATATAATGTTCAAACACTGTGGAGGTTTATTTCTCATTTACATGTCCCTCATTCTTGGGTGGCACTTCTCCACATGGTGAATCAGGAACCCAAGTTCGTCAGGTTCCTTTTGTCTTGTGGATCTACCATCTCGTGCTTTTGTCTTCATTCAGTCAATAGGATGGTAAAAAGAGAGCATGGGAGGTCCTCCTCACTTCTTAAAAGCTTCAGTTCAGAAATGACATACATTACTCCCAGTCATCCCATCGAGTAGAATTCAGTCACTAGGAGTGTGGGAGAGAGTGAGAAATGTAGTCTAGCTGCAAGGCCAGGAAGAAAAGGAAACAAATTCTTAGTAAAGAGCAGGGTGTCTCGTTGTGTAGAGCAAAGAAAAAAAATGTGTCTAAAGGGAAGGAGTGGTAAATTCTGCCAGCTGAAGCTTAGGAAACAAATGGTTGATGGCTGATACGCAGCTAAGTGATGTGAGTAGTTGATGTTAGAGAACATTTTCATGGAGGTAACAAGACAGAATCTGGATTTCTGGGGGTTGAGGAATGGATGGGAAGGGAAGAAATGAAAGCAGCAAATGTAGTTAACACTTTCAAGACTTTTGTCTGTGAAAAGCAGGAAAATGCTGAGAAATGGAATAGATGGAGGATTTTAATTTTTTTTAATTAAAAAGACTAAAATATGTGTAAATATTGATGGGAAAGATACCAACACAGACACACACACACAAACACACACACACACACAGAGTTGGGGGGGGGAGAGATTTGCAAAAAGAGGAAATAACAGATGGTATAAAGACCCTGAATGAAGGTATGTATTAGTCTGTTCTCAAGCTGCTAATAACATACCCAAGACTGGGTAATATATGAAGGAAAGAAGTTTAATCCACTCATAGTTGCACAGGGCTGGGGAGGCCTCAGGAAACCTATGATCATCATGGAAGCGGAAACAAACGCTTTCTTTTTTACATAGTGGCAGCAGGAAGAAGTGCAGAGTGAAGGAGGATGGGAAAGCCCCATATAAAACCATCAGATCTCATGAGAACTCACTATCACAGCAACAGCATGAGGGTAACAGTCCCCATGATTCAGTTACCCTCCCATGACATGTGGGGATTATGGGAACTACAATTCAAGATGAAATTTGGGTGGGGACACAGCCAAACCATATCAAGGTAGCAACAGCCTTACAGAGTAAGAGTTATCTTACTCTCTCACTTTCTTTCTCTCACTCTGTAACTCTCTCTCACTCTCCCACTCTGCCTCTTTCACTCACTCTCACTCTTATTCTCACCTTTGTGTCTTTTAAATGCATTTTCCTTGCCATGATGGCAGAAAATGAATGGCATTTGCTCTTGTCAGATGAGAAAAGAAAAATACTTCCCATTTTCCAAGTAACAAATGTATGTTACCGGCTCCTCCTCCTCCTAAAATATGCAACAAAGAGAAAAATAAAGTTAGTACTTCTAAAAGATGCCATGCCATATTAGGAGAATCCCCTTAATTGAGCAATTGCTCTCTTGCAAGTTACAAGCTACCCATTATCTCAAGTAAGATATTATTTACCCTAATTTTTACAGATAAGGAATCTTAGACTCAAATGCATTAAATATAGAATCTGTCATCAATTCAGGCAGGACACAGAACCCTCTCAATTTATTTTATGCAGAAAGCGGTTTTATATAGGAATCTGGTTACTTAGTACATCATTGGGAGAGTTGAAGAAGAGAACTTTAGTCTTGACATCCAGCATTGATTCTCAGAAAACTGGTGCCAACATCATGGCTATTCTTTTCATATACTCTGGAACTGTTGATTCAAGAACATACTATGATGGTCATAATGGACAAAACAAAATGCCACTGCTGATGCCACCCCC
Source organism: Homo sapiens (assembly GCF_000001405.40). Classification (NCBI taxonomy): domain Eukaryota; kingdom Metazoa; phylum Chordata; class Mammalia; order Primates; family Hominidae; genus Homo; species Homo sapiens. The sequence continues at coordinate 103,021,112 of NC_000012.12, read as the reverse complement.
AGTGCCTCTCAACATCCAGAAGCAAAACTAGACATTGAAGTGTTGCTTCAGAAAAAGAAAGTCCCCAAGACCTTGCTTGTCAACAACAAAGGCTAAAAATAGGACAATAGCTCTGCCTCTCTTTCACATTTCAAATCTCATACGAGCATATCTAACTGGGGGAAACTGTGTGCATTTTAAAAAGTAGCTTCAAGGGAATCTGAGAAATATATTGGTTATATTTGCAACCTTTACAGAGTCATGAATCATACAGCATAGAGTTTAAATGGATACTAAAAACCAATTCACTGCCTGCACCATAGATGGTAATCAATAACCTAGGAATTTTTAAAAATCTGTTTAGTGTTGTCATTCCTGGATATGACTACGGAAGAATTTCCCAATATAGAGTTCCACAATATTTTTTCTTCTGGAAGTTAATAGTTATGCTATAATGGTACATTTGGAATGTGCTGGTTTAAACCAAGTTAAAGTATTTCTTTATGCAGGACTTCTTGGAAGCTTTGATACAGGTGTAGGTTCTCTATTGCCACAAAAATGCTAAATAACAAGCCCAATAACTTGATGGCTTAAAGCAACAACCATTTATTATTGCCCATAAGTCTACAGGTTGCCTTTATGGTGTGCAGATCTTGGCTTGCTTACATGTCTTGGAATTGTCTGGCAGTTGACTGCTCTAGCATAGCCTTGGCCAGGATGACAGGGCAACTTGATTCTGCTGCATATGTTTCATCTTCCAGCAGGCTAGCTGGAAGAGAACAGCAGAGAAGCAAGAAGAGGAGTGGAAAAGCACAAGAGCATCAAAAGAGCATCAAGCTGGATAACCTCTATAGTCCAAGGCAAGACACATAGCCAAACAAAAAATGGGTCAAGGGGCAGGAAATATATTCCACCTTTTGATAGAAGGAACTCCCAGCATTACATTGCAAAGGACCTGGGTGTAGGGACAGCTGAATAATTACAACATCACTATAATCAATTTACCACAATATGCTAATATCCATTATAGTTATTCAAGAGAGGAATAACATAAGAAACATTTTCCAAATTTTTTAACTAGGGAATACTCCTTTTAATGGAGATCTTTTAGGAATGTCAATTTGGAAATTACTAAACTATTACAAAGTCAACTTATACACATTTATTTATATATTATATCCCTTTTCCTAAACACATATCTACATTTTAAGAGAAACAAACAAACAAAAAAACCCGTTTCTCATAAAATGTGTGTTAATTGTATTCTTTGGGTTTGGAGGGTACAGTGCTGGGGAACTACTCCATCTCCATCTACTACCAATAGAAGCCTTTCTTTTTTTTTTTTTTTTTTTTTTTTGAGACAGAGTCTCCCTCTGTCGCCCAGGCTGGAGTGCAGTAGCTTGATCTCTGCTCACTGTAAGCTCCACCTCCTGGGTTCACACTATTCTCCTGCCTCAGCCTCCCCAGTAGCTGAGACCACAGGTGCCCGCCACCACACCTGGCTAATTTTTTGTATTTTTTTTAGTAGAGATGGGGTTTCACCATGTTAGTCAGGATGGTCTCGAACTCCTGACCTCATGATCTGCCCGCCTCGGCCTCCCAAAGTGCTGAGATTACAGGTGTGAGCCACCGTGCCCAGCCCCTACCAATAGAAGCCTTTCTAGGTGAAAAGTATTTCCTATAACAAATGATTAAATTAAAAGGGCAGAGGTAATCTTGACCAAGAAAATAAAGTACACCTAGTGTAGAGGCATATTATGGGTTAAATTGTGTACCTCAACAAAAGAAATATATTGGAGTCCTAACCTCCAACAAGGTCAGAATGTGACATTATTTGATGATAGGCTGCTATAGTTAGGATATTTATGCCCTCCAAACCTAATGTTGAAATTTGATCCCCAATGTTGAAAGTAGGTCCTAATGGGAGGTATTCAGGTCATGGGGGCAGATCCCTCATGTATAGATTAATGCCCTTCCTGGAGATGGGGGTGAATGGGTTCTCACTTTTATCAGTTCTCTTGACAGTTGGTTTTTAAAAAGGGCCTGGCACCTCCCTCCTCTCTCTCTTGCTCTCTCTCTTGCCATGTGATCTCTGCACACACTGGCTTCCATTCTCTTCCTGCCATGAATGGGCAAAACTTGAGGCCCTATCAGAAGCAGATGCTGGCACCATGCTTTCTTGTATAGTGTGCAGAACCATAAGCCAAATAAATATTTCTTTATAAATTACCCAGCTATGGGTATTCCTTTATAGCAACAAAAACAAACTGAGACAAAAAATTGGTACCAAGAAGTGGGGTGTTGCTATAGATACCTAAAAATGTGTAAGCAGCTTTGGAACTGGGTAATAGGCAGTGGTTAGAAGAGTTTAGGGAGCTCAGAAGAAGATAAAAAGATAAAAGAAGGTTGGGAACTTGTTAGAAACTAGTTAAGTGGTTGTAACCAAAATGCTGATAGAAATAGGGACAGTAAAGGCCCAGATGATGAGGTCTCAGATGGAAATGAGGAAGTTATTGGGAGCTGGAATAAAGATCACTCTTGTTACACTGCCACAGCAAAGAACTTGGCTACATTGTATTCATGCCCTAGGGTTTGCGGAAGGCTGAATTTAAGAGTGGTGGCCTAGGGCATCTTGTGAAAGAAATTTCTAATCAAGAAAGTCTTCAAGATGCGGTGTGGCTACTTTTAACAGCTTATGATCAAATACAGCAGCAAAGAAATGATCTGAAAGTGGAATTTATGATTAAAAAGGAAGCAGAGTTTAAAAATCTGGAAAAATCTTCAGCTTGGCCATGTGGTAGAGAAGGAAAGAGCATTTTCAGGAGAGAAATCCAAGGGTGCTGTGGTGCAACCACTAGCTAGAGAGATTAGAGGTTCTAATCGTCAAGATTAAGGAGAAAAAAAGCTCCAAATGCATTTCAGCAGGCCACCCTCCCATCAGAGGCCAGAGGCTTAAGAGGACAGAATGATTTCAGGGGACAGGCCTGGGGTGCCACTGTGAATCCTCCTCTCACAGCCCTCAGGAGGAGCCAACGCTGCTGACACCTTGATTTTGGACTTGTAGCCTCTAGAACTGTAAGACAATATATTTCTGTTGTTTAAGCCACTCAATTTGTGGTATTCTGTTATGGCACTAGTAACAAATTGATGCACTAGTAACAAACATCTATTGTTTCTACTTGCCTGTCATTCATTTCACCTATGGTTCCTTTGAAGAAACTCTCTTCCCCTCCTCTCAGTTCATGTGATTCTTCTGGATCTCATCCAATTTGTAGCTTCTGGAGTTAGCACATGACTCAGGCTTAGCCAATCAGTGTGTCTAATCCCCTAAACACAGTGGAAACAGCAGAAGTTTTGCTGAAACTTTTCTTTGGAGTTGCTATGCTGATAGAATGTAGGCCTGGAGCTAGTGGTGCCCACCTTGTTAGCATAAAGAGAAAACCTCCCTGAGAATTAAGCCATTGTAAAGAAAGTTAAGCTGAGATATAGGGAGTAAAAAAAATTCTAATAATATGTAATATGAGCACTCAGGTACAACGGTTCCTGAGGCTGTATAGTCTTGTACTTTTTCATATATGATCAACAAATTCTCTCTTACTGTTCACATTGGTTTGATTTAGGTTTTTTTCACTAGCAACTGAAAGAGTTTTGGTTAAATGATATAGCTACTTATACCAGTCCACATCCGACTGCCTCTTGACTTTCTCTGTCCATATTTTTTTCCTTCTTAACCCCATTCTAAATTATTGACCCTGGAGGTCCTCCCCTCATTGGAAAGGAGAGGAGAAACTCTAGAACACCTCTTCACCTTGGTTTATATGAAACTTGAAAAAAAAAGGTAAATGTAATCTGATATTTTACAGATTTATTTCTTCTCTATATCTCCATTTTATTGCACATTCAAACTCAATTAGAGTAAGTTTTGCTTTAAAGTGTCAAGGACATTTTGAAGAAACAATTTGAGGACAATCTAGATCTTAGCTAATCTTATCACTCATTACTGAGTACATTAAGTGCATAATTAAAATTGAGATGAAATACCAACAATGAATGAAAATGAGGAAAAATAACTAGAGACTTAGCATTCCCAAACACGTCTTTTTCTTTTAGACTGAAAATATAAATTTGAAAATAAAGATTGAGCTGGGTGCGGTGGTTCATGCCTATAATCCCAGCAGTGTGGGAAGCAGAGGTGAGTGGATCGCCTGAGCCCAGGAATTCAATATCAGCCTGGGAAAAATGATGAAACCCTATCTATACAAAAAATACAAAAATTATCCACGTGTGGTGGCACATGCCTGTAGTCTCAGCTACTGGAGAGGCTGAGGTGGGAGGATTGTTTGAGCCTAGGAGGTCAAGGCTGCAGTGAGCTGTGAGCATGCCACTGTACTCCAGCCTGGATGGCAGAACAAAACTCTGTCTTGAAAAAAGAAAAGAAAGAAAATTTTAAAAATTGTATAATGAGAATGTATATGAAATTTCAAATCTATCCATGATATGATATACAATGGGCAGGGTGTGTAAGTGACTAAAATGTTCTGAGCTGTCTGTGGTCCTGAAAAGCCCATTATTAAAAAACATGGATACTTTTTATTATTTACTGTTATTGTAAGTAATAATGAGACATTTTTCCTAAATGAGACATTTAGGAAATGAGAATTTTTCCTTATTGTTATTGTAAGTAATAATGAGATATTTTTCCTAAAGAAAACTATTCTTAAAGAATGCTGAATAAAACAGAAATTCAATTTCATCTTCCTTGACTTTCATTCCTCCTGAGCAGATAAATTAGTGGAGTAGATTACTTTCCTTATTCTGGCAATCATGTGTAGCTACAAAGTAATAATAAATACAGACAGTAAAAGAAAACCACTAAAGAGAAACTAGAATTTCCCATCTTCTTTTGGCCTTAATTTATAGCTGTTTTATAAAGAGAAACATCCAACTATCTTCTCAAAGTTTAAATATCATCACATAATATTCATTGCTAAATTTTTCTTTCTAATATTTATAAATATGAGCCTTTGCCTTTCCACAATGATGTCATTTCTTTTTATTATAAATATTTTGACAAAGAAATGTAGTTCTATATTCTTGATGCTTTCTCTACTTGAAGCTCTTTTTCAATTTGTCTTGTTTTTGTTTGTTTGGGCTTTTTTTCTGTTAAAGTGAGATGGGAGGAAATATTTCTACAATGTGGGTGTCCATCTTGTTCACTGAGCTTTCTATAACATAGCTTCCCATAGAGTCAAAAATGTACCTGTGAAGAAATATTTTCCACTCAGTTAATAGATTAGGAGAATTGGCATTCATTGCACATAACATTGTACAATAAGTAGGTTATGGGATCCAAACTAACAACTGTCTAACTTTAAGTCTAGCATTAGCCTTCCTCAAGCAGTTTTCTTGGTAACTTACCAATATAACAGGTTCTTTCTTACTTTGCACTTTATGGTTATTCTCTACCATTTCAAGAAGGTGTTCTTTTCTCCCCAGCCAGGCAATAAGCTCCTAAAGACCTCAACTCATGTTTCATCTTCTTTGATAGAGAGAAGTGTGTGACCTTGGGATCAGAGTACAGGCTTTGCAGTTGGCCAGGCAAGGTTTTAGTTCTTGGATGGCTAAACTGTTCTGAGCCTCAGTGTCCTCATTTATAAAATGGAATTAACATTAACTATATGATGAAATTGTGTGCAGAGTTTAGCAAGGTATCTGATTCATGATGATGTTCAATAAATGTTAGCCTTTATATGTGTAAGATAGGTAGATACACAGATAGGTAAATAGATGATAGATGGATAGATTGATAGATAGATAGGTAGATAGATAGATGCTATAATGGATACTTAGCACATGGCTTAAATTCTTAACAAACAAAAAGAAGATGTGTTTTGTTGGGCATTGTGGAAGGTATTATGTGATGACTTAAATACTCAAGTGATATTAAATGCTTTATTGCATGCCAGGCATTCTGCTAAGTTTTGAAGACATTAAAAGCAAGTATAATACTAGTTTTCAGAGGAGACTCAATATTTTTGTTGAACTTGACTTTAATGTTGGTTTGCGTGTACACACTTCTCTTTGCCTCATTCTACATGTTCTCTCAGCAGTTTATCTCGTTCCTGTGCTTCAACAATTATTTCCAGATGAATTTGTAAATTCATTTAAGTTATTTTCCTTCAAGGCACAGCTGCCTCCTCTTGATGTCTCCTTCACCTTACCCCGGCAGAGCATTTCTCTGGTGCTTCCATCATGCATTGTACCCATGCCCATCCAGCTGTCACCAGGCCTGCTTATTCCTTCCCTGCAAGGTTGGAAGCTTTGTGAGGGCAGGAACAAGTGCTTTTATCTTTGAATTCACAGTACCTAGGACAATGCCTGGAACACACAGTGACCTCCAACAAATGTGCAATCATTGAAAGAATATGTAGTAGAACTCCAATAGTTTGTCTCTTTAGTATCCCATTCTCCCTTCTTAAAGAAACAGCAGTTAGATTTTTCCTTGAAAGAACTTACTAATACCCTCCTCCCTAGCCCCATGCAGGGCCAACATGATCCGGTTTAAATCTTGAACAGAAGGACACAAAAATCAAAGAAGGGTAGGGTTTATTAATTTTAATGATGGTGCCCAAATGTACCTCGTTGATAATAAATAGTGAATTTTTGTTGAAGAAACAAAGAAGAGGGAGGAAGAGGGAGAAGGGAGGGAGGAAGGAAAGGAGGGGAAAAGGATCAGTTTAGGATAGTCCTCTGGTCGGGTCTGCAGAGGACAGCTAGAAAGAATCAGACAGGCTGAGCCACAGACAGAGAGCTGTAAACTCTGCGCTCTGGATGCCTCATGTCTCCTCGACTAAACAGCTCTTTATCTGAATGGCTGCTTCCTTGCCTGGACTATTTTGGTACATCTATTATTGGCTTCCATTTAGTGTCTGTTTATTTAAATCTGCTTTCAACTGGAACATAATTCTCTTGATTATCGGTTGATGCTGCGACACAGTAGGAATACAGATAATTGTCACCGTGCACATTCTGCTGGAAATGTAAAATTATTATCTTTAGAGCCTTTGAGTAGGGTATTTCAGCATGAATGTTATGCAGCTCAGGCACGTGGAATTTGTAGAGCGCTAATTTGTTGGCTCCCTGGCCTTCCTTCACTGACTGTCATGTGAGCCTCCCCCAGGAACGCAGGCAGACACCCAGCTCCCTGGAGCATCCTGCCATTTGCCTACTTGTGAGGAGTGTGCAGTCTACACTCACACAGAACGTCAGGGCTTCTTTCATGGTTATCAGAGACTGAAGGGACTGGGGAGACTGCTCAGACTCTGGGTGCTGGTCACTGTCCCAGGCACCCATGACTTTCGGGGGGCTGCCTTACCAGGGGACAGAAACTGAGTGGGTGGGGCATCTGCACAGCCCAAGGAGAGAGCAGCCTGAAGGCATGTGGTTAGAGTGGGGACTGAGGCCACAGTTCCCCAGTTTCCATCCATCCATTCTTCACTGGCCTCCCCTTCCCCTCACCCGCTTCCCGCCCCACTTCATTCTCCTCACCTGCCCCTCAACCCCCACCACCTGCTGCACCCCTGCACACCTACCTCCAGACTCAGCTCCCCACCCCAAACTAGGTGCCTCTTCATTTACAAGCAGCATCACTAATTGCTTTTTAGGGTCCCTTTTCTGCTCTCTGTTCAAAATTCACGGGGCGTTCCCCAGTTCCTTTTATGCTACTTTTCTGAACCTTTTCAGACTCTTTTACAAACTTAGCACTTTCTGTGCCTCTTTTAGTCTTTGCGAGAAGAAAGAGACTTGAGAGGTTTTTTTTTTTTTTTTTGGCAGTAAAGCTCCTTCTCCGGTACCCCCTCCCCCGCCCTCTCCCTATCCCCTGTCTCCACCCCCACTGCCCCCAAAGCACACGCATTGGCCCTCCTCCCACTGAATGGGGCTTTGTGCAGGGAATTTCCGGAACATAGCCCAGTGCCCAGGCCTCTGTGTGAGAAGAGGAGGGGCCCAGCCGGGCAAGGAGACCCTTAAGCCCACCCCATTACCACGGTCACTGTTTGCCCTGGATTCTCTAAAAGGCCTATTGTTGCTGGTTGCCAGGTATTCCTTAGCAACACTTAAGCCAAGCTGCCTACCCTATTTAGGCCCAAAACTTTTCAATGGCCTCCAAAACCCGTGCTTGTCAGCACTGTAGACCGTTCCTCAAACAGCCTCAGAGGGGAGGGAGAAACCAAACCATCCCCCAGCCGTCTCTGCCTTTCAAATATCTGTGTTTGAGGCTGCTTGGGGGCTTCTTGTCATTTGCCTAGGATCAGCAGGCCAAACAATTGCAATTAAAATTTCTCTCTCCCCAACCCTGCATCTCTCTTCTCTCCCCAGCCCCCCACCCTCATTGCAGACCCCTCGCTAACTTAATATTCAGCTGGGGCTGGGTTTCATCACATTTTGCAAGGGCCTCCTGACTTTTCTTCTGACCATTTCAAAGGAAATTGCTTTATTATTTTAGGACAGCTTTGGTGGACTTGCATGCAAGGGTTTAGCCTCCTCCCCGGCTCTGGCAGGGAGGAAAATAATCAAATCACAGAAGGAATCCTAATGATGGTCCCCAGATGAGGGTCTGGAGGCCCAGATCCGGGAATGGTCTGGATCAGGTTAGCTATTTACTAACAGATGGGGTTCTGGAGCCTGAGGCACCTGACCCCTAATCCTGTGCTTTTTCTCACTACAGAAAGCTAAAGTAATATGAGAAGCAGATTGTCAAAGTGAAAAAAAATCCTATGCACCTCAAAAATTAAAAGTGGAAGAAGAACAGGTTCTGGTTTTACAGGAATATAGCATCCCAGCCCTGAACGCTCTCCACTCCTTTCTTTCCCCAGCCCTAGTGACAGGATTCTGGGAGGCAGGATCTGAGGTCTTTTTGCTACCTTACTTTCCTCACTGTAGATACTCAAAGCACCTCTCCCAGGTCCTGAATTAGATAAGGTTAGACTTAGCATTCCAGACTGTGAGAATCATTCAGCTGCTCCATCCTCATCACCCCATCCTTGCCATTTGACAGAAACAGAATGACTTGCAGGATGTCACACTGCATTTAAAATAAAATCAAGCTCCCCATCAGTGCCTGCAGGTCCAGGATAATCTGGCCCTAGCTGATCTCCAGCCTGTCTCTCCCAGTCTCAGTTCATTCCAGCCACATCTACCTTTTTTTGTTCCTCAGATAAAACAAACTCACTCCAGCCTCAGGACCTCTGCCTTGCTCTCCTCCCTGCCTGGAAAGCCCTGCCCCCAGATCTTTTTGGGACTCTATCCTTCTCACTATTTGAGACTCAGGTCATAGACCGCTGTCTTAGGAAACCATCTCTGTTATCACTCTATAAGCTCAACTGTATCTGTTGTCCTCTTGAAATTTCTGTATATCATGTATTATTATTAATTATTAAAATTGATTATTTACTCTAGACAGCAGTTATAATTATATTTGTTGCTATCATCATTGTTACATTATTATTAGGCATTCGAAGCTTATTTATTGCCTGTCCCATCCCCAAATATAAACTCTACAAGAATAGGAGCTTTGCTATAGTGTATCTATCTAATACAGTGCCTGGAACATACAAGACATTCAATAAATATTTGATAAATAAGTAAATACATGGCTGTGCTCATTGGTGGCAAATATGAAAATTATAACTCAAGTCTTCTATCCTCCAATATATGTTTTTTTCTTGGGGAGTGTACACATGAATCTTTTTTCTTGGGGAGTATGTCTTTTTCTTGGGGAGTGTAAAGAAACAGCGCTGGTGTGTTTTTAAACACTTCCTTACTACCCAGTATTTCCCAACCCTTTCAAATATATAGTATTACTATTATTACTGCTCTTCTAAGAAGCCTTTTTAGCTATTTTTTTCCTAATCGGCTTCCATGAAATTACCAGGGATATACTATCTATTTTTATACTGTCCTTTGAAGGGCTACAAATCATTATAATATCGAAGATTTTCCTCCACCCCAAGAACCAATTTTTGCCTCCATGGGAGTGATATCACCTCCCTTGAGAATGCATGTCACAACCAGGATAGTCATTTGTAGAAAAACATACAGATTTCTGATGGTGCCACAATACCAGGGAATTAATTCTGTCCCATATGAAAATGGAGGAGACTTGTCTCAGAGCTTCAGTGTGGAAGAACTCTGACCATAAAAATTGACAAGAGTGGGCAAAAAGGACAGTGGATGTGTTAACTTTGGGCTTCAAGCCCAGCCCTCATATTACATACTTCACAAAGGTTTTTTTAAGATCTTTAGAAAAAGCCTTTCAGCTTAGGTAAATGTGGTGTTAAACCACTAATCGCTAACCCCTTGCCTCTTCTTACTTAGCTCTTAATCAGATTATACAAAAGCTTTCAGATGTTCTTGCTGTCTAAAGCCAGTGTGTGAGGATGAGGCAGGGTTTCTAACATGCTGATTTGGAAGTGTGAATTTTAAAATTTCACTGCTGTATGTGTCCACAAAATAAAGTCTTTATTTAAAAAATTAGCCCTACCTCCTGAAAATACCAGTAGATTAGAGACTGACATATCTATAGACAGTATGTTCATTCCTGCCCTCATTAATTCAAAAAGTGTTTATTGGGTCTCACCTATGTGCCAGGCACTGTGCTAGAAGCCATATCTGTCTTTTTCATAGAATTTGTGCATGAATACCAGGTACTAGGGAATGGAATCTACTGTTTCCAGGTCACACGATTAAAAGCATAATTATAATTTGGCCTCTCTGATATAAACTGCCTATGCATAGAATTATTGAAAATGCTACAGAAGTTCCATCATCTCCTTAGTAGAAAAGATAGATGTCTATTCTTACTGTAATGAACATCTATTTTGTTACTGTCCAGAGCCCTTCCTCTCCTTCCTGTGGTTGTACCAATTCCTCCTTCTTCGAGTAACTAAGCTCCCCCATTCCGTGTGGTTCTGGAATTACTGCAATTCAGAGTATCCCATTCCTCACCTAGATGAATGACAGAAAACTCCTTGCTAAGTGGTTTCCTCAGAAATGGACCATGTGGCCCCAAAGTGATAAGAAGAGTCTTTCTCTGGGTCCTTCTACCTGGCAAATACAGGAAATACACTTAATGTCGTCAATAGGTTCTTGAAACTGCACATTTAAGCAAAATGACATATAGCAAAACTAATTTTACCATAAGCTAATTGCTATAAACAAGAGTTAACTTCATATGGCATATTTCTGATTATAAGACTTCTAAATAAAGGCCAAAACGCTTCTAATATTAAGCATTGAAACAAATGTTAGCTAAATATACATTTAAAGAGATTAATGAAAACGAGTACGATAGTTATTTACCCAATTATTCCAGTTCAGAGTAGCAAGTGGCTATGTGCTCAGGGGGCCAGGCAGGAACCCACCCTGGATAGGATGCCATTCCATTATAGGATGCACTCATACCCACACCCACACTCACTCAGATGGGAACAACTTAGACACACCAATTCATCTAATGTGCACATCTTTGGGATGTGGGAGTTAACCAAAATACCTGGAGAACATCCATGGCGACATGCAGAGGACATGCAAACTTCACACAGACAGTGGCCCTGGCCAGGAATCTTTTTTTTTTTTTTTCTCAATGTCAGAATAAAAGGTCATTGAATGAAACAATGTTGTTCAGGGACCTGCTGTACTGATTCCACTCTTTCTGCTCAAGGGGCTTGAGAGGGAAGGAAGAGACCAGTTTTAGAGGGTAAAGGTCCCTAAGGATCTTGAAGTCTGCTGTTGCTCACTGCTACCACAGTGAAAGAAGAAGAGAGCCAGAGGAAAAGTCAACACAAATTCTGAAAAGGGAGCTCAAGGTTACATCAAATCTTGGATTTAGACCTGGGAGTCAAACCAGGAGTTCAGAGTTAATTAGTGCCACCCTGGAGAGCAAATAAATCAGGAACTGGCAAATATGGACTGCATCATTGTTTCATATACCATTTGGTGTTTTTGTTCACTTCATAGACAGCAGGAAGGTAAACCTAGTGGCTGGCAGGCTAACAGAGCCACTGGCAGAGAAGAGTCTTGGAGAGTTTTAATTTCTCCTTTTATAAATATCTTGATCCATTGACTTCCAAGAAACATTGATTGTACACGTATCTTCCTTCCTCCTTCTCATATTGATGTTTCCAGATTATTGCATTCAGCCCTTCTCTTTCCTCATTCTTCCACACTTTTCTCATCTACCCCTGTGGTCAGTTGAACCATGCCCCCTATCCCAAAGATGTACACACTCTAACTCCCAGAACCTGTTTGGTGTGTTAGCATACATGTCAAAAGGGATTTTGCAGATGTGATTAAGAATCTTGAGATGAGATTATCTTGGATTATCTAGACGAGCAGGCGGGTCTGTATGGAAGAAGCAGATATGACAATAAAAGTGAGGTTGACTAAGATACTTCGAAGGTGGAAGTAGGGGCCGCAAGCCAAAGAAAGAAGGCAGCTTCTAGGAGTTGGAAAACGTAAGAAAGGAAAATTGCCCCTGGAGCCTACAGAAGGAACGCAACCCTGCTGAAACCTTTATTTTAGTCTCAAAAGACTCATTTCAGGCTTCTGAAAAATAACAGTTTTGTGTTGTTTTAAATTCCTAAGTGTATAGTTCAGTCATCTCCCCTTATCTGCAGAGAATATATTCCAAGACACCCCATGGATGCCTGAAATCACAGATAATACCAAATCCAATATATAATATGTTTTCCCTATACGGATATAACTATGATAAATAAATCAGGCAGAGTGAGAGATTAACAACCATCACAATAATAAAATAGAACAATTATAATAATATACTGTAATTAAAGTTATGTAAATGTGGATGCTCTTCTCTTTTTTTTTCTCTCTCTCTCTCAAAATACCTTATTGCACTATGTTCAGCTATTTTCAGATTGTGGTTGACTGTAGGTAACTGAAACCATGGAAATCAAAACTGCAGATAAGGGGAACTACTTAATTTCTTAAAGCGGCAGTGGGAAAATAATTCATTATTATTTCCTAATAATTCCCAAATTTATAGAGCTTCCATTCTGACCTCTTTCTTGAATGCCAAATCTCATTTGTAACTGAGACTTGGACATATCTGCCTTGGTGTTTTCCAGATACTTTAAATTCATTCCGTCAGTGTCTTCCCCATGCTTGCTGCCTACATTATGTTAACAGCATCCCCACCTACCTGGAAGATGTTCATTTAGGAGACTTAAAGCATTCTTTCGTTCTTCTTTTTATTAATTATCTTCTATGAACTGTTGATCTATAATGTTCTGTATGCTTACCTACCACAGTAGTTCAGGTCTTCATCTCTGAAAAGTTGATTATCCTAACAGCCTCTTAACTATCCTCCTGCCTTCAGTCTCTGCACAACAAGTCATACTCAACAATGTGAACAAGGTTATTTCTCATAACTGAGCATATCACTCTCCTACTTGAGAATATTAATTGGCTCTATTCAGGCCAATACACCTACAAAATAAAGTCCAAAATCTTTAGTACATTCAAATATCTTTGGCATCTTGCTCAATCTTATTTTTGCTCATTTTACACATTTTTTGCTCATTTTGCTCACTTTTTGATGATTTTGCTCAGCCCTTATCACTCCTTTCACATTAAATGCACACATGCATGCACACACACATGCACACGCAATAATCATAGTAGACTACACACAATTCCCCATCCAAAGGCCTTTATATCTTGATACATGCAGTTTTCTGTACCTCACATAATCTGGTCTTCTTTGCCAGGCAAATCCCTTCTGTGATGGTTAATATTGAGTGTCAACTTGATTGTATTGAAGGATGCAAAGTATTGTTCTTGGGTGTGTCTTTGCAGGTGTTGCCAAAGTAGATTAGCATTGGAGTCAGTGAACTGGGAGAGGCAGACCCACCCTCAATCTGGGTGGGCACCATCTAGTCAGCTGCCAGCATAAAAGGAGGCAAGGTAAGAGTAGACTTGCTGAGTCTTCTGGCCTCCATCTTTCTCCTGTGCTGGATGCTTCTTGTCCCTGAACGTCAGTCTCCAAGTTCTTTAGCTTTTGGACTCTTGGACTTACACCAGCCACCTGACAGAGGCTCTCGGGCCTTTGGCCACAGACTGAAATCTGCACCATTGGCTTCCCTACTTTTGAAGTTTTGGGACTCAGACTGGCTTCTTGGCTCCTCAGCTTGCAGATGGCCTATTGTGGGACTTCACCTTGTGATCGTGTGAGTCAATTATCTTAATAAACTCCCCTTCATATATGCATCTATCCTATTAGTTCTGTCCCTCTAGAGAACCCTGACTAATACACCTTCTAAGCCTTGACTGCCCAATGTTAATATGAAGTTTTCTCCAAGCCTTCCACCTTCCCACCCAAAATGAAGGTCTATTCTATGATTCCACATCATTTACTTGTTGATGCTCTGCTATGGTATTTATCACATTGTATCATAATCTTTCATTTGTACATCTGTGTATTCTCCACTGAAGGGTGAGCTCTGTGGTAATAGGGACTGTGTCCTATTTCATCTTTCTTCTTTTAACACCTGAATCCCAATTTGCTGCATTACTTAGACCTGCTCCTATGACAGGCCACAAGAAGGAAAATGGATCACCAATGGGTTTGAGTCTTATTGTTGAAGAGCAAGAAGGGATATAATTTAGGAATGATGGGGTAAAACAAAGGAACTCAACTTCTCTGCATAACAATGTTACTTATTGCTGCTATGGCAAGAGGTGCCTTAGAAATTACCAGACCACTGGGTAAACATTTTATTCCTCATTATGGGTTTAAGGTTTACTGACACAGAATTAATACTTCTTCCTTCAGAGATTATGTATACATGCTTAATGAAATAAGTTAATGTTTACCTGAAAAATATTCAAGAAAATCAGTAAGTATGACTTTAATTTTCACTGCTAGGGTGATCTTAAAGGAGATATCTAGAAGGTTTATGCTGCTCTGCAATTTTCTGTGTGAGTTGGAGCCCCAACCCTACCTTAACTCAGCCTCTTTTGTAGAATCTAAGGTGTCAAAGGTCATCCATATATGTTCTAAAAAGCCCCCATCTCCCCCATATCTCATTTATAGTTGACTGAGATGAAATGATACCAAACTAGGGGAAAGAACTATTGCAGGTGGAGATGTCAGGGGACAGGATTCCTCGTGGAGAGCAGGGAGTAAGAGTTCACATTAGGAAGGCGAGAAAAAATAGACACTGTGGGAGAGAATAAAAACTGAGGACAAGATAGCCAAATTAAAATCTTGGGATATGTCAACTGTTTAAATGGATCTAACCCTATGCCTGGCACATAGTAAATGTCCAATAAGTTGCTCTTGAATTAAAATGTGAAGGATTTAGTGTTTTATATGCTTTTATATGATTTAGTGTTTTATATGCTTTTCCTTGGACTGCACAAATTGCCACACAGCTTTTGGATTTTCCCTTCTGACATTATAATTTTGTCTAATTACTCCTCAACTATTGATTAAAGGGTGCCAAGATCACTCCTGCAGCTTTGTTTGGAGTGATGCTGGGAGATCAAAGGAGCAGGACAGTCAGAGGGAGAGTAGCCTGCCCTACATCCATGTTTCCATGGTGTCCTGCCACAAATCAACCAGTGACCTGCAGGTAAAACATACAAGCCACTGAGAAGCAGAGTCCAAAACTCAGTTCCAGAGAAATGTAAGAGGAAAACTCCCATTTTTTCAACTATTTGCTCAAGGGAGCTAGCCCTAGAAAGGTGAGTTGGGGAGGTGGGAGATGAAACACAGCAGGCTGTTGGAGTTGGCTGGTACCAGCTTGCAAGAGCCAGTTGCTAGATTTTCCTATTGTTTAAATATTGTCATCATTAAATGTTAAGTTGTAGAATGATAAAAATTTACTAATGTAATATCAATTATTTATATTAATCTCCTAGATGTATGCCTGTAATAAACATGTTCTGTTGTTTTCCTATGCTGTTTGTTGTGATAACATTTATTAAAACATAATTTTATATCTGTAAATCTAATAATAAATCATTCTTTGTGCTTGTGAAAAAAATAAAAAATCTTAATTAGAAAAAAAATTTAAATTAGCTGACAACAAAATTAATTAGATTAAAAACAAAGGTAATAAAGATCTTAAACTCTTAAGTTTAACTTCTTAACTATTTTACTGTGTTTTATTATTATTTATGCTTTTGAGGTTATTTCTCTATTATATGTGTATCTGTATCATGGAAATATTATATAATGGTGTGTTACTATTCATCTCTTCACAATTCTATGTTTAGTGATGTCATGTTGATTGCTTGAAGTCGGCTATGGTGGAAGGATTTTCACCATGGATAATGGCAAATACCACAAAGCAGGATGCCTTTTTTTTGACAGACCCATTTTTAAATATTTTCTAGCACACCTCTGGTGAATCCTGACTCCAGAGCTATAGAAATAGTCACTGGAGCCTGTAATTCCAGCATTTTGGGAGGCTGAGGCAGGTGGATCACCTGAGGTTGGGAGTTTAACACCAGCCTGGCCAACATGGTGAAACCCCATCTCTACTAAAAACACAAAAATTAGCCAGGTAAATGGTGGCATGCACCTGTAATCCCAGCTACTCGGGAGGCTGAGGCACAGGAATCACTTGAACCTGGAGGTGGAGGTTGCAATGAATGGACTCCAGCCTGGGCAACAGAGTGAGACTCTGAAAAAAGAAAAAGAAGAAAGAAAGCCAGACAGAGAGTGAGAGAGAAAGAAAGAAAGAAAGAAGAAAGAGAGAGAGAGAGAAAGAAAGAAAGAGAAAGAAAGAAAGAAAAAGAAGAAAGAAAGAGAAGAAAAAAGAAAAAGAAAAAGAAATAGTCACTAGAACACTTACTGTGATGAGGCAAAGGGGGACTCATATTTATTAAGCTGATAATGTGTGACAGGCTTAACAAGCACTGGGACAATGATTATTAAAAAGTCAAGAAACAACAGATGCTGGTGAGGTTGCAGATAAATAGGAATGCTTTTACACTGTTGGTGGGAATGTAAATTCGTTCAACCATTGTGAAAGATGGTGTGGTGATTCTTCAAAGATTTAGAACCAGAAATACCATTTGACCCAGCAATACCATTACTGGGTATACACCCAAAGGAATATAAATCATTCTTTTACAAAGATACATGCACACTTATGTTCACTGTACTCTTCACAATAGCAAAGACATGGAATCAACCCAAATGCCCATCAATGATACACTGGATAAAGAAAATGTGGTACATATACTCCATGAAACACTATGCAGCCATAAAAAGGAAAAAGATCATGTCCTTTGCAGGGACATGGATGGAGCCGGAAGACATTGTCTTCAGCAAATTAATGCAGGAACAGAAAACCAAACGCTACATGTTCTCACTTATAAGTGGGAGCTGGATAATGAGAACACATGAACACAGGGAGAGGAACAATACACACTGGGGCCTGTCAGGGTATGGTTGGGGGAGGGAGAGCATTAGGAAAAATAGTCAATGCATGCTGGGCTTAATACCTAGGTGATGGCTTGATAGGTGCAGCAAACCACCACGGCACACATTTACCTATGTAACAAACTTGCACATCCTTCACATGTACCCTAAAACTTAAAATAAAAATTCAAATTAATTAAAAGAAAAGAAAAACTATAGCATTTTAAAACTTTATAATAACCTGATAATATTATCTCCACTTTTATGGACAAGCAAACTGAGACTCAAAGAAATTTTTAAAACATTCCCAAGTCACTCAGTCAGCTATTGCTTTTAGTTGCAAAGAGAGCCACAAAGAAATGATATCTAGTCTTTGATCTATAGGAATTTAAATGTTAAGTGTGAGTCAAAGTGCAGAGCTGGAAAAAGCTTAATCTCCTAGTAAAAGAATGCTAATTTCAGAATGGTTAATAAGAAAATATATTGGCTCATGTAACTGGAAAAGACCAGAGGTAAAGGTTTGATTAGTTAAAGCTTAATACAATTTCTCTATCATTGTTTCTTGGTGATTCTATTCGCTCTGTCTTTCCTTAGCCTCACATTCTTGCTGGTAGCAATATCATTGCTGCAGTTTCAGGTCTTACTTATGCTAACAACTATAACCAGAAGAAACGGGACCATTACTTTCATTTATCCTCTCTTAAGAAGGAGATAACTTTTCATGGAATCCCCCAGAAAACTTTTCCTTTGTGACTAAGTCAAAACTGATTTGTATGTCCATTCTTGAAATAATCTCTGTGGCCAGGGGAATACCATGTGATGATTAGCTGAATTGCTGAACTCAATGAGATTACACTTAGACCCTCCAGATTCATCCCAGGGAAGTGAGATGAGCTTTCCCTGAAAGATATGGGCTCCAGTGGCAGGAAGAAAGGTATCTGAATGAAACACAAGAGGTTTGACTTCTGATCTTGATTAAAATGAATTGACATAGACTAGATTTACACTCCTCACTCAAAAAACTACCAAAAAAATGAAAAAAAAAAATGGCTCTGAATACATTGGAACATTGGACATCAGACAAGGAAGGCCATAATCTAGCCAAGATGAAAAACAAAATAGGTGAACCTTATAATTGTTCCAACTTAGCTCCAGAAGAAAATTTCTGGCCTGCATTGTGCAGGATTAGAGAGACACAGGAAGAGCTTGGTAGTATCTCTGAGTCTAGGACAAGAATCCGGGAATCTGGGGAAACCAAGGCAACTGAAGATCACAGGACAGAGTACTAGGGAAGAGAGAGCTACACACAGAAAGAACTTTATAGATCTGTAGAGGGTCCCCTTCAAGTATTCAGTAGACTACTCAATAATGCATCCATGTGAGAAAGGTACCCAAGGCTGAAGAAAGAACCACCTGAAAGGATTAGAGAAAATAATGTCAAATCATAGGGTCAATAATAGTGTCTGTTTCCAAATATCAGATTTGAAAATCTTATAATTTACAGGGCACCAGTTAGAGTTTTAAAAGGGATTTTTAACTGTTAATCATTAAAACTCCCAGGATCCACATAAACCATATTCAAGTCATAAATTTTGGAGTATTGGAGTAATTTAGCCCTAGTAAATGTGGCTCTGGTCCCATCTAACAAAGCCTAGAACAAGATTTCCCCCAAGAAACCACTTTTTTTCAAGTAACTTAACCATGTCCCAAAACAAAGCTCAAAAATATTTTAGGAACACAAAAATATCTAGCATCCAACAAGGTAAAGTTCAAAATGTCTGACATCCTACCAAAAATTGCCAAGCATGCAAAGAAATGGGAAAATATTAGCCATAATGAGATAAAAAAATTAATTGATTAAAAGTCACCCAGAAATGTCACAGATTATAATTAACAAACATGACAATAAAATAGTTATTATAATTGTATTCCATAAATTCAAAAAGCTGAGGGAAGAATGCACATGTTGAATAGATACATGGAAGCGACTGTTAAAAACCAATCTTAGGCTTCTAGAGATAAAAACTTCAAGTGAAAAAAGCACTGGATAGGATTAATGGCAGATAAGACAGTGAAATTTCTGAATTTTAAACAAGAATAGAAACTCTAAAATTAAATGGGAGGAAAAAAAGACTAGAAAACATGAATTGAACATCAGTGAGCTGTGGGACATATGTGGCCACATGTGTATACAATCAGACACATGGGAGGTAGAGGTATCTAGAAAAAATATTTAAAGGAAAAATGGCCAAAAAGTTGTTCAAATTTGCAGAAAATGATAAATCTAAAGTTTCAAAAATTTCAACAAGTTTCAAGTCAAGAAACATGAAGTAAACTACACCAAGGCACAATATGATCAAATTGCTTAAAAGCAATGATGAAAAGGAAATCTTAAAATTAAACAGAAAAAAGCATGTTATATACAGAATGACAAACATACAGATTGCATCAGATATCTTGTCACAAAAAAAGACAGAAAATAATGGAACAACATCCTTACAGTACTGAAAGAAAAATAGATGTGCCAACCTAAGATGCTATAATTGGTGAAAATATCTTTCAATACCAAACGTAAAATAAAGATTGTTTTCAGACATACAGAAGCTAAAAGAACCCATTATCAGAAAAGAAATATTAAAGTGAGTGCTACAAGTAAAAAGAAAATTGTATCAGATGAAAACCTGAATCTATCAAAGGAATTAAGAGCATCAAAGATTGTTTTCAGACATACAGAAGCTGAAAGAACCCATTATCAGAAAAGAAATATTAAAGTGAGTGCTACAAGTAAAAAGAAAATTGTATCAGATGAAAACCTGAATCTATCAAAGGAATTAAGAGCATCAAAAACGGTAACTATGATGGAGAAATATGTGCATAGAAAGGGCACTAGAAGTCTCAAGAGTAGGCTTTTTTTTCCTTTCACACTGGATCAGTTCACATAGAATATGCATAGTCTCTAGGTCTTAAATTACCACCAGCATGTGTGCAAAGACCCTCAGTAGAAGAAAGCCAAAGCCAAAATTTTGTATATGGTGGGGGTTTTCTTATAGTGAGCTGGTCACATAAACACATTCGAGCTATGTAACTGACCAGACTTTACCATTGAAATTCCCAGAATCCACTGAAACCACATTCAAATCATAAGTCAAATTATTATTACTAAAAATGTTGAAAGTCTCATACATTCTATTATGAAACAACTTACCCAAGGTTACAGAATATGATTGACCAAGAGTCAACAACCCTGAAGACAAGTACAGGGGCCAATTTAGACCAACTAAGATTAACTCATAATATTCAGTACTATATAAATTGCGGAAATTGAATTTACAGTTAGAAAACATTTTCCACAAAGAAAACTCTGGATCCAGATGGTTTTACTCATGAATTCTAGCAAATATTTAAGGAGGATATTATGTTTGTCTTACCCCAAATATTTCAAAAAGTTGAAAATCAAAGAGAAGGGAATACTCATGAACTCATTCTTTGAGGCCAGCATTATTTTGATACCAAAACCAGACATTACCAGAAAAGAAAACTGAAGATCAGCATTCCCTGATATATAAAGACAATCATACATCATGACCAAGTGGTATGTATCCCAGGAATATATGATTGGCTTGCTATATTTAAATCTGTCAATATAATTTATCATATTAGTGGACAGGAAAACATATGATAATATTGGTAGAGGCACAAAAAATATTTAACAAAACTTAATGTTAATTCCTGATTTAAAAAGAAAAACTCTCAGAAAACTAGGAATATAACGACATTCCTAAACCTAATAAATGGCACCTATGAAAAACTTACAACTAACATCATACTTAATGGGGAAAGACTAAATGATTTTTTGCTAAGAACAGGAAAAAAGACATTATATTTAACATTGTACTAGGGGTTTTAGCAAATGCACTAAGGCAAGAAAAATAAAAAATACGACATTAATATTGGCAAGAATAAAGTAAAACTGCCATTATTTAAAGATGACATAATCATTCATGAAAAAAAATCCATGTAGAAAATTAAATGGAATCTAGATTGCAGAATATAAGACCAAATAGAAAAATCAATTGTATTACTATATACTAGCAATGAACAATAGGAAACTGATATTTAAAAAATATATACTATTTATAATTATATAAAAAATTATATGAATGAAGAGAAACTGAACTGAAAAAAATTGAGCAGTACCTCAGGAACCTGTGGAGTGATAACAAGAGATCCAATATTCATATTAATATAGTTCCTAATATGGTTTGGCTGTGTCCCTACCCAAATCTCATCTTGAATTCCCACGTGTTGTGGGAGGGTCCCAGTGGGAGGTACTTGGATCATGCAAGCAAGCCTTTCCCATGCTGTTCTCCTGATAGTGAATAAGTCTCACAAGATCTGATGGCTTTAGAAACAGGAATTTCCCTACACAAGATCTCTCTCTTTGCCTGCTACATCCACATTAATTGTGACTTCCTCCTCCTTGCCTTTCATCATAGTTGTGAGGCCTCCCCTGTCACGTAGAACTGTAAGTCCATTAAACCTCTTTTTTCTGTAAATTGCCCAGTCTCAGGTATGTCTTTAACAACAGCATGAAAATAGATTAATACAGTAAATTGATACCAGTATAGTGGGGTGCTGCTGAAAAGCTACCCAAAAATGTGGAAGCACCTTTGGAACTGGGTAACAGGCAGAGATTAAGACAGTTTGGAGGGCTCAGAAGAAGACAGTAAAATGTGGGAAAAATTGGAACTCCTTAGAGACTTGTGGAATGGCCTCAGCCAAAATGCTGATAATGATATGGACAATGAAATACAGGCTGAAGTGGTCTCACATGGAAATGAGAAACTTGTTGGAAACTGGAACAAAGGTGACTCTTGTTACATTTTAGCAAAGAGACTGGCAGCATTTTGCCCCTGCTCTAGAGATTTGTGGAGCTTTGAACTTAAGAGAGATGATTTAGGGTATCTGGTGGAAAAGTTTCTAAGCAGCAAAGCATTCAAGAGGTGACTTGGTGCTGTTAAAGGCATTCAGTTTTATAAGGGAAGCAGAACATAAAAGTTTGGAAAATTTGCAGCCTGACAATTTAGTAAAAGAGAAAGTCCCATTTTCTTAGGAGAAATACAAGCCAGCTACAGAAATTTGCAAACGTAATGAGGAGTTGAATGTTAATCTCCAAGACAATGGGGAAAATGTCTCCAGGGCATGTCAGAGGTCCTCTTGGTAGCCTCTCCCATCACAAACCTGGAGGCCTAGGAGGAAAAAATGGTTTCATGGGCTGGGCCCCGGATCCCCATGCTTTATGCAGCCTAGGGACTTGGTGCCCTGAGTCTCAGCCACTCCAGCCATGGCCGAAAGGGGCCAACATAAAGCTCAAGCCTTGGCTTCAGAGGGTGCAAGCCCCAAGCCTTGGCAGCTTCCACATGGTGTTGAGCCTGTGAGGGCACAGAAGTCAAGAATTGGGGTTTGGGAACCTCCACCTTAATTTCAGAGAATGTACGGAAATGTCTGGATGCCCAGGCAGAAGTTTGTTGCAGGGGTGGGGCCCTCATGGAGAACCTCTGCTAGGGCAGTGCAGAAGGGAAATGTGGAGTCAGAGGCCCCACACAGAGTCCCTACTGGGGCATTGCCTAGTGGAGCTGTGAGAAGAGGGCAACCATCCTCCAGACCCCAGAATCATAGATCCACTGACAGCTTGCACCATGCACCTGGAAAAGTGACAGACACTCTACACCAGCACATGAAAGCAGCTGGGGGGGAGGCTGTACCCTGCAAAGCCACAGGGACAGAGCTGCCCAAGATGATGGGAACCCACCTCTTGCATCAGTGTGACCTGGAAGTGAGACATGGAGTCAAAGGAGATTATTTTTTTGAGCTTTGAGATTTGACTGCCCTGCTGGATTTTGGACTTGCATGGGACCTGTAGCCCCTTTGTTTTGGCCAATTTCTCCCATTTGGAATGGATATATTTACCCAATGCCTGTACCCCCATTTTACCTAGGAAGTAACTAACTTGCTTTTGATTTAACAGGCTCATACGTGGAAGGAACTTGCCTTGTCTCAGATGAGACTTTGGACTGTGGACTTTTGAGTTAATACTGAAATGAGTTAAGACTTTGGGATACTGTTGGGAAGGCATGATTGGTTTCGAAATGTAAGGACATGAGATTTGGGAGGGGCCAGGGGCAGAAAGGTATGGTTTGGCTTTGTCCCCACACAAATCTCATCTTGAATTGTGGGAGGGACCCAGTATTGAATTATGGGGGCAAGTCTGTTCTCCTGATACTGAATAAGTCTCATAAGATCTGATGGTTTTAAAAATGGGAGTTTCTCTGCAAAAGCTGTCTCTCTTTGCCTGCTGCCATCTATGTAAGATGTGACTTGCTCCTCCTTGTCTTCCATCATAATTGTGATGCCTCCTCAGCCACTTGGAACTGTAAGTCGATTAAAACTCTTCAAAAAAAAAAAATATCCAGTTGTGGGTATGTCCTTATCAGCAGCATGAAAACGAACTAATACAGTCCCAGAAGGAGAGATGAAAGGGAGGGAGGTGAAAGATTATTTTAAGAAATAATTGCTGAAACTGTCTGAAATTTGGCAAAGAAAAAACAACCCCACAATGTACTGATCCAAGAAGCTGCATGAATCCCAAAGAGAATAAACCCCCAAAATTCCATACCAAGAGACAACATAATTAAACTTTTAAAAACTAAAGATAAAAGAAAAAAATATTGAAATGACACATTCCCTACAGGGAAACACCAATTGGAATGACAGTGGATTTCTCATTTGGAACTATGAAGGTCAAAAGTTAGTGGCAAAGTATTTTTCAGTTGCTGAGAAGAAGGAACCATTGACCATGAAATCTGAATTCTAAGAGAACCTAAAATAATCTTGGAGAAGAAGAGTAAAGTGGCAAGAACCACTCCACTCAATACTAAGGCTTACTGTATACTTACAGTAATCAAGACAGTGTGGTACTGATGGAGATGTCCACACATAGACCAATGGAACAGAAGAAAGAACCCAGAAACAGTCCCATATAAATATGCCAAAATACTTTTTAACAAAGGTGCAAAAACAACACAAGGAAGGAAAAATAACCTTTTCAACAAATAGTGCTAGAGCAATTGGATATTCATAGTCATAAAAATGAACCTCAACCTAAACTTCACACTTGATACAATAATTAACTAAAAATAGACCATGAACTTAACTGTAAAACTATAAATTTTTAAAAATAAGAGAAAAACTTTAAAATTGAAGCCTAGGCAAAGGGCTCTTAGATTTGACACCAAAAACATGATCCATAAAAGAAAATGTTAATAAATCAAACTGTAACAAAAATTAGAAACCTTTATTTTTTGAAATTCCATGTGAAGAGGATGAAAAGATATGCTAGGGTCTCAGAAAAAAATATTTGCAAACCACACATCTGATAAAAGACAAGTATCTAGGACATATAAGTCACTGCAAATCAATAGTAAAAACAAACAAGGAAAAAAAGTTGGACAATGGGCAAAAGATATGAATAGACATTTCACAAAAAAAGATATTTATATATATATATATATATATATATATATATATATATATATATATATATATATATAGTGAATAAAGCTATGAAAAGGTATTCCATATCATTACACACCAAAGAAATGTACATTCAAATAATAATGAAATATTACCTTACACCTACCTGAGTGGCCAAAATCAAATATAGTTACAACACCAAATGATGGTAAAGTTGTAAAAAAAAACTGGATAACTGAGATATTCCTTGTGGAAATACAAGATAGTACAGACACTCTCAAAAAATAACGTGTCAATTTCTAACAAAGCTAAACATGCAGGGCCATACAATCTAGTAAGTGCATTTTGGGGCATTTATCCTAGAGAAGTGAAAATTTACTTCCACACAAAACCTGTACACAAATGTTCATAGCAGCTTTATTTGTAACAGCAAAAAACTGGAATCAACCCAAATGTCCTTCAACAGGTAATGATTAAACAAAGTGTGGTACATACACACTATGAAATATTACTCAGCAATAAAAAGTAACAAACTAGTGGTACACAAAACAACTTGGATAAATCTCCAAGGAATTATGCTGAGTAGGGGAAAAATGGCAGGCCCAAAAGGTTACACACTACTTACTTTCATTTATATAACGTTGTTTGAAATTACAAAGTTTCAGAAATTAAGAACAGAGTAGTAGCTTCCAGGAGTTAAAGATCCAGGGAGGGGCAGTGGGGAGAGTAACAATAGAGAAAAAGGTAGCAATAGAGTTTCTTACTGTGATGTAACTAGTCAGTATCTCCACTGTGATGGTAAATGCAAAAACCTACACATGTGATAAGACTGTAAAGAACTACACACATGCACACACACACACACACACACACAAATTGCTTATAAGAATAAGTGTACCTACAAATTAGTATTCTGAATAAGATTGTTGGATTGTATCAATATCAATATCTTGGTTGTGATATTATAGTTTTGCAAAATGTTACATTTTGGAGAAACTGAGTAAAATGTTTGTGGAATCTATCTGTATATTTAAAACTGCACGTGAATTTATCACTATCTCTGTAAAATTTCAATAAAAAAATGAAAGGAAATTTTATACTTCCCATAAAATCCGGCCATTGTACTCTTAGACATTTACCCAAGAAAAATGAATGTTTGTCATACAAAGACTTGCATATAAATATTCATATCAGTTTTATTTGTAATAGTCAAAATCTGTTAAGTGAAATGTCCGTCAACAGGTGAATGGATAAACAAATTGTGTTATATTCATACAATGGAATGCTACTCAAAATGTAAAAGGAATTAATGAATACACACAACAACATGGATGAATCTCAAAATAATTTCGCTCAGTGAAAGAAGCCAAGCAACCAAACAAAATGAGTACATGCCATTTGTTTCCATATCAGTAAAATTCTAGAAAATGCAAGCTCTATTGACAGAGAGCAGATAGTTGTTGCCTAAGGATGGAAGAAAAGTTAAGGGAAAGAAGAGAGGAATTACAAAAGATCACCAGGAAGTTTTGGGGGGTGATGAACATATTTATTATCTTGACTGTGATAGGGGTTCACAACTACACATATATGTCAAACTTATCAAACTATATTTTAACCATATGTAACATGAAGTAGTCTGTTATTACTCAATAAAGCTGTTAAAAAGAATGGTTTCAGAAAAATGGAAAGGAAAAGTAATTATTCTTTCTATTAGTGTGATACCTGAGGATCAAAGAGATTAAGTTTCTCCTCCCTTTTTAGATTCAGAATTGCAAACCAAGTCTATCTTATTTCAAAATCATGTTATTTCCATTACACCTTGCAAGATTTATATGTTAGCTATTGCCATAATAATGCTGTGTAGAAAACTGTCCCCAAATTAAACATTTATTCTTGCTAGCTCATCCACAAATCAGCTGGAGGTCTACTGATCTAGGCTGGGTTCAGCTGAGTTTGGTTTCTAGGTGGAGGTTGTTTTCAGGTATGCTCTGTAGAACTTCAATATCCTGGGACCAGTAGGCTACCTAGAGCACACTAGTCTCTTGATGATTTTGAAGTGCAAATGAGGAAAGTTCAACTGCTCAAGCACAATTTAAGCCTCTGCTTGCATTATGTCTGCAAATATCTCATTGACTGAAGCAAGTTACATGGCTGATCCTAAACTCAAGAGATAGGGAAGTATACCTAACCCCTGGTGGGAGGAACTAGTAAGTCACATGGTGAAAGCAGTAGATACAAGGAGTGAAGAAATGGGAGCAATAATGCAGCTACCAACAATTGACCAGTAAAAGGAAGAGAATGTGAGTAACACTTTAGGATGGTAAGATGTGCAAAATTGGAGAAGATAAAGGAGGATCACATCTGTGAGACAAGCTCAGGGGATCTGAGGTGACAAGAGGTTTTAGATGTAAAGATAAGGGCACAGGAAATGGTGTCAGCAGCCACACAGCCAAAACTCATAGAATAAGATGACTATTATTTCTCTGGCCCCATCAATATTCATGTCCCCTTTTATAGAAAAAAAAAAAGCGTAATTTCTGTCAACCAAGATTTCCTACAATTTTCTAACCACAGGGTAGGTCTAGCTGAAGCATTAAGACACTCTCAATGACTCTGACTCTGGAGTGGAGTGAGGTTACAGTTAAACTTGACTCATTGCAGAGGCAAAACTCAGAAGGACCTTGCTTCCTGGATTCCCAGAGACATCTTTCTTCAGCTACTTTTTTATTCCAAGAGCCTTCCCATGTCTTTCCAATACATTTCCCATTTCCTCAAGTTGACAAGAGTTAGTTTTTGTTGCTAGCTGTCTAAGAATGAAATAGCACAGTCTACATTACTTTTTGGGATGCCTCAGCAACTTAAGTCTCTGGTGACTTCATGACCATATTAGTAACAATCTCCTTAGACAGTCCCCACTCACAATTTCCCCACATGTGGAACTCATTCCCTTTCTGTCTCCTTTCAGGCACTTCTGTCTCCACAGGCTTTGCCTCTGCCTCCTAGCTTCTGCTTCTTAGTGGCCTCTCACTGACTTCACTCGGTGAGACTTCACTGTCTTCATATTCCTTTATGGGTGTCTTCAGGCCAACCTCCTCAAGGGAGAAAAGCTGTCTGTGGGCACTGTGGTCAGTGCAAGGCATAGCCTTGCCAGTCAGAAGTCTTAAGCCACTACCTCTTGCACTGCAAATAGCCTCCATTGGGGGCTGACACTGCTCCTTAGTCTAAACAGCTGTGGTCTTCAAGTGCGTAGAAAGTATCAAGATTTATACTTAAAGTTACTTCCCTCAGAAGGGGCTGTGGATAAGGCAAGCACCCAGGACCCTGCGCATATCCCGCCTTTGTCTGAGTGAGAAAAAGGTGAGCATAGGTTATGGGAGCAGGGATGGGAATTTCTATTTCTATTTCTATTTCTCAGAGCCTAAGTTTACAAATGAGGGAAACCCCAGGGATATTAGTGGTGGTCAGTGGGCGGGGTGGGTGGGGGAGCAGCCAGGCAAATGTTTCCAACACTTATTAGAATACCGTGGTGAATACTTTGACAGACATTTTATCTTGCCCTGAGTCACTCAAGCTGAAACAGGTCTAGGGAAGCCAGCCCCACGTGAGAACTTGGAACAACCTATACAAACTGTACAGGTCACAGAGCATGCAAACAAGGATGAGCTAATGAGGGACTTGTCAGAGACTCTGAGACCTCGCACAGCCTAAATCATCCTGACAGACCTCCCTCCACCGTAAGAGGGAAGCACTGGGGAGCTCTGTGGTGGGAGCTTTGTCCTTCTACCTGGAAAATCTCTAGCCACAGGACTAGGTCTGCTTTTCAGATTGTGCAGAGGTATGAGTTACAGTCAGTAAGCAAACCTGGGTGATGCTGAGTTAGAAAAAGCCCAGAGAAATCACTTTGGCTTCAGAGAGCACATGATTTCATCAAACTGAAAATAAAATGCAATTTTAATAATTAGCATTAATTAGAACTTTGCACTTTAGAAAATGCTTTTAAATATCTAATTATAGATCATCTTTGAGCACTTTCTATGGCAAGATACTGAGCTAAATATGTTATATATATAATCTTCTTATTGAATCTTTGCAATAAACCTTTAAGATTGGTGATATTACTATGTTCTTTTTTACAGATAAAGAAATTAAAGCTTTGAAAGCTTACACGATATGCCCAGGATCACAGAGTTAGAGCCAAGACCCCAGTTCAAGGTTGTCTAACTCCAAAACCCAACCCTTGCCACCACGTTCTGCCTCATCTTTCTCAATACTCATAAAAATCAACAAGGATGACATTTATTGACTCCATTTTAAAGAGGAGGGATTTCATTAAAATTAAGACTCCAGGTCATGCCACTAAGTAGAAAATGGACCAGGACAAGAATCCAGATCTTCTGACACCAAGGAGATGCTCTAGGGTACAGTAGAAAGATCATATCTTTGAAATCATACAGACTTGCATTCAAAGGCTGATTGCTGAGGGTATTTACTGTGTGACTTAGGCAAATTTCTCAACATCTCTGACCTGTGAAATAGTTTTTTTTTAAATACATACTCTAAGTAAGGATTCAATAAGACAATTTACATACCATGAATGTTAACTTCCTTCTTCATCTCCAAAGTCTCCGATCTTTCTACCAAACTAGATTAAATGGCAGAATCCTAGCTCGAATCCACAAATAGCTACATGGAGAAAGAAAACTCAACTTACCAATGGATGGTGTTTCAAAGATTCCTTTAGCAGGTATATTTGGAAATCTAAATGAATTTTCCAATATAAGCAATTCCATAGTGTTTTGGGGGTTGAAATTTGTCCCGCAGAAAATTATGTTGAAGTTCCAACCCCTGGTACCCCTGGATGGTGGCTTATTTGGAAATAGAGTCTTTGAAGACTCAATCAAGTTGAAGTCATAGGGGAATAGGGTAGATTCTAACCCAATGACTGGTGCCCTTATAAGATGAGGGAAATTTGGACACACACAGAGAAGAGAATATTACGTGATGACAGAGTCAGGCATTGGAGTAATTCTTCTACAGGTCACAAGATGTCAAGGACTATCAGCAGCTGCTAGAAGCTAGGAGACAGGCAGGGAACAGGTTCTCCCTCAGAGCCTCTAGAATAAGCCAACCCTGCTGATACTGATTTTGGTCTTCTAGACTCCAGAACTGTCAGATAATACATTTCTGTTATTTTAAGCCACCCTGTCTGTGGTACTTTGTTACAGACATTCTAGGAAACTAACAGTGTGTTAAGTGGGGTGTCAGCTTTTGCTGCCTAAAAAATAAAACCAGCCAGAAAGCTCAGTGGCTTAAAATAAAGCCATTTATATGTTTCATGATTGCGTGGGTCAGCAATTTGGGCTGGGCCCAGCTGAGCAGTTCTTCTTATCTTGGCTGGGCTCACTCACACATCTTCAGTTAGGGGCTAGGTCAGCTAGGGAATAGCTGATCTCTGGTGGCCATAGCTGGGATGGCCGGTCTCTGTAAACTGTGTCTCTTATCCTCCAGCAGACTTGCCTGGCCTCATGCTGATGGCATCAGGCAGTGTTCCAGAGGCACACAGAGCAGAAACACACAAAACATTTTGAGGCCTAGATTTGGAATTGGCCTGTCACTTTTGCCACATTCTACTGGCCAAACAAGTCACAAGGCCAGTCCAGAGTCCAGTGATGGGGAAATAAAATGCACCTCTTTTTGTTATGCTTTAGAAATTCATTTGATTTCTATAATGAATCTTTGATACATAACAGTTACAAAATTAAAATCCTATTTCTTCCTTATGCTTTTTTAAATTTTTACTTCTTAACTTTTATTTTAGGTTCAGGGGTACATGTACAGGTTTGTTATATAGGGAAAGTACATGTCACAGGGGTTTGGTGTACAGATTATTTTGTCACTCAGGTAATAAGCATAGAACCTGATAGATAGTTTTTCAGTCCTCAACCCCCTCCCATCCTCCACCCTCAAGTAGGTCTTGATGTCTGTTGTTCCCTTCTTTGTGTTCATACGCACTCAATGTTTAGCTCCCACTTATAAGTAATAACATGTGGTATTTGGTTTTCCATTCTTACATTAGTTCACTTAGGATAATGGCCCCCAGCCCCATCCATGTTGCTGCAAAGTATGTGATCTTATTTTTTATGGCTGCATAGTATTCCACGGTTAAACTTTACCTCTTGGTGGGAAGATCTGCAAGGTCATGTTAAAAAAAGGCTTGGGCCCAGAAGGGGAATATAGTGCCCATGGTGACTATTTTTACCAACAACCACCTGAAGGATATAGAAAGCCACTGTCTGCTCAAAAGGGATTCCTAGTGAGTCCTGTTCAGTCCCTCTACCCCTTCACAAATTACAGGGAAAGGGCTTTTCTTTTGCTCCCATTATAGTTCTTCTGGGCATCTAGGGCTCTACACATCTTCTCTTGAGCTTATAAGTGTACTGGGTTTTCTAGGGAGAGAGTTGTCCTCATGAGTGTGTCAGATGGGGATGAAGCAAAGTCTTGGAGCACATGCCTCCCTCTCTATTTTCTTACTCCTGCACAAGATGACATGCTGGAGCTGTAGAAAGAAAGCCTCCTTTAGATGTTGGTCATGCAATCATCTGTCACGGCCTTGAAACACCAAGGATGGTAGATCATGCTCACTCAAGTGAGGGCTTGGCAGCCCAAAGGTGATTCCGTTTCTGGGCTCTCCAAAAATTCCCTGCATCTTTAATTCCTGATTGTATGGTGTTTAGGTCTGGTCCTCTGCCGTTGGCCCCGTGGACCTCTTCAATCTTTCTACTAAATGTTTCATTTTACCCAGATTCCCTTCATTACTGAGGAATGCAGATAATGAGAAATGAGTCCATTGGACAAGGTGGGGGTCATGGCTCACTGGGGTCCTTGTCCCTTAGGAAAGCAACAGGCACTATAAGCTCCAACTAACTGCTGCCATGTGGGAGAGTTGGCCCTTGTTCCCAGACTATCTAAGCTTTCAAAAAAAGCTAACAATCTTGATTGTTATGAGAATTTAAGGGTTTTTAATGGGCAATTAAAATTCTAAGCATGTGTGAATCTAGAATTTTAAGGTGTGTTCATCAGAACACATCTTCAGGCTAGATTTGGCCTAAGGGGCATCAGACTGTGAAATTTTGGAGAGGAAGAAATATTTCTTTATTTCTGCTTCCAGTGCTCTTGATCCCTCCCCTGAAGCAATGAGTGCAGAACTGACTTATCTTCTTGACATAGGACCTAGTGTAGGGCACAGAGGATGGAGAGGATGTTGAAAAACTGCAGATCAGGAGAACAAAAGCACATGCTCTTGTAAGTTGTCCAGCCAAGTGTGACACCAGCTTGCTGGGGTTCACATCATGGCCCAGCCATACTCTAACCCTGGGATCTGGCAAGTGGGTTGACCCCATGCTAATCAAATTGTTGTCCAGGGACTTAGAGAACCAGCACCATCTGGGAGTGTATTAGAAACAAGAATCTCAAAAACAGATTCTCAAGCAGATTCACAAGAAACAGAGTCTTCAACTCCAGG
Source organism: Homo sapiens (assembly GCF_000001405.40). Taxonomy (NCBI): domain Eukaryota; kingdom Metazoa; phylum Chordata; class Mammalia; order Primates; family Hominidae; genus Homo; species Homo sapiens. The sequence continues at coordinate 102,988,626 of NC_000012.12, read as the reverse complement.
CTAGGCCTACTGAATCACAAGTCCCAGTTTAACAAAATTTTCAAATGACTCTTATGCACACTGAAGTTTGAGAAGTACTGAAATAACTTATCTAGGTCTCAGGTTCCTTGTGAATAAAATATGTGAATTGTTGGTAAAAATAGTCACCATGGGCACCACATTCCCCTCCTGTGCCCAAGCCCTTTTTTAACATTACCTTGTAGATCTTCCCACCAAGTGGTAAAGTTTAACCTTGGAATACTATGCAACCATAAAAAATGAGATCACATCCTTTGCAGCAACATGGATGAGGCTGGAGGCCATTATCCTAAGCAAACTAATGCAGAACAGAAAACCAAATACCATTTATTATTACTTATAAGTGGGAGCTAAATATTGAGTACATATGTGCCTGAATCATAGCTGATGCTATGAACACAAAGAACACATATGAACACAACATAAAATAAAATATACACTTAAATAGTAGTAGCGTTATAGGGTATATAAAGGTTAAATAAGATAATGGGTGTAAAGCACTTAACACAATGCCCAGCACACACCAAGCCCCTAATCATCTTAAATAAACCAGGCTTTGATTTCTAGGTCTACATAAAAAGAACTGTGCAAACTATACAAATAATATAAGGGAGAATCCAGCTATAAAACGAATCATGTTTGAGAAGCTAACTTTTGGCCGAGCGCAGTGGCTCAGGCCTGTAATCCCAGCACTTTGGCAGGCGGATCACAAAGCCAGGAGATCGAGACCATCTGGCTCATGGTGAAACCCCATCTCTACTAAAAACATACAAAAAAAATAGCCGGGCGTGGTGGCGGGTGCCTGTAGTCCCAGCTACTCAGGAGGCTGAGGCAGGAGAATGGCATGAACCCAGGAGGTGGAGCTTGCAGTGAGCTGAGAGAGCACAACTGCACTCCAGCCTGGGCAACATAGTGAGACTCCGTCTCAAAAAAAAAAAAAAAGAGAGAGAGAGAAGCTAACTTTCCCCCATCACCACTATTTCTGTGAAGAAGTGTTTTCTGAATTCTGGTTGAGAACACTGGGACATATCTTTTTCCTTCCCACTCTCCTTGTAGCAGCCACAGGTCCCATCAGAAAGGACCTATCAGAAGGGGCTCCTTGAGTAAGACAGAGATAAAACTGCAGCCAGGAAAGTGAAATAACTTGCCAAGTTCCTACCATCCTTCCTGGAACGCAATGTGTGCTCAATAAATGGCATGTATTGGCTGAATGTAGTGGCTCACACCTGTAATCCCAGCACTTTGAGAGGCTGAGGCAGACAAATCACTTCAGCCCAGGTGTTCAAGATCAGCCTGGGCAGCTTGGCAAAACCCTGTCTCGATAATAATAATAATGATAATAAAATTACCCGGGCATGTTGGCACACACCTGTAGTCCCAGCTACCCGGGAGGCTGAAGTGGGAAGATCTCTTGAGCCCAGGAGCTATGATTGTGCCACTGCACTGCACCCTGAACACTAGAGCAAGACCCTGTCTCAAAAAACACAAGTTAGAAATTATATATATGTATATACATATATATATATAAAATACATAAATGGCTTATTTTATGTCTCACCATTAATTTATCATATTTCCTCTCTTAGAAGCTTTCTCTCAATGAGTCAGTGAAATTCAGCCTTATTCTGAACTTTCTAAGTAAAAAAATCCAGATTTTCTGTGCTTTCGTCCCTAGAAATATCTATTACACATAGGGGAGGGAGGAGGGAAGAAAGAAAAGGGAGGTTGCTAGTTTGACTATTTGTTGCTAGATTTTATAGCATTTGCATTTTTCTGCTTGTATAAATTAAATATGCAGGAAATATTAAAAAGATAATTAAAACCGTTTGAAATCGCTGTACCCAGGGACATTAGCATGCTATTCTTTTCCTTCATGCGTTTTTCTAAGTGGTTATATATATTATAGATATTTACACAATGAGGTTCAGTTTCATATTGTGTATGCAGCTTTGTATCCTGATTTTTACATTTTACTTAAAATTTTATTGTGATCATTTCCATGTCAATAAATAGACTTTGAGAAAAAAAAAAAAAACCTCTTTAATGGAGATCCTAATAGTTCACATTATTATTCCTCTGGTTTTGATCATTAACATTATTCTCAAGTTTTTTCTATTAAAAGTAGTACTTCAATTGAGGTCTTAGATGAATCTTTGGTTACGTATCTGACTGTTTCTTCATGAGAGGTTTTCAGGATGTTAATCTCAATGAAAGGAATTTCTGGTTTTTAAATAATATGAGATTGTCAATATTCTTGATATGCGCTGTAAAATTGCTTTCCCAAAAGGCTATGCCAATTTGGATTCCCACCAGTCATTGTGAAATATTTATTTCCATGGCCTGAATTGAGTACTATCAATTATTTTAATCTTTATATTTTAAATAGGTAAAGAAATATCTCATTTAAATTTTCATTTCTTTATTGGTAACATTAAATAGTTTTCTAATCTTTATTTACTATTGTCATATTTTATAAATTATCTATTTGTATCTTTTCTGTTTTTCTATCATAATTCTTAAGTATTTTTTATTAATCTGGAAAAATTTTTTATTATTGATATTTGTGTTTATTGATATTGTATTGACATACAAGTACTAGATATTGATAATACATGTTACAAATATTTCCCCAGTTTGCTTTTCATTTTTCAATATGATTAAGATAATTTAAAATACTAAATGTTAAAATATTTTTGTAGTCAAATCTACTGGTCACTTCTCTTACATAGTTTCTCCCATTATTTATGCTTAAGAAGATCACGTGTCACAAATCAGTTAAATAAAGACCTATCTTATCTTCTGATTGCTTGTATTTTTTAAAATATATTTAGCCCTTTACTTAAGCTGGATTTTATTTTACATTATAGAGCAAAGTCAGAAACTGTTGTCTCCTCAAATTGCCAATTTTCTCAATGTCCTTGTTAAATAAATTGTTCATTCCTAAGTGATTTATAGTGTTTCCACTATCTTATTCTTCCTTTTTTGGTAAATACTGTTTCAAGATGTTGTATTTTCTTTTATCAGTTGATCTGCTGATTTGTGGATGGTTATCATGCTGTTTTAATTATTATAACTTTCTAGAAACCTTTAACTTCTGGAGGTTGCAAGCTTACAGACTTTTCATGTAATTATTAGGTTTTCTAAACATTCTGGTTGCGCATAAAATGAATCATTAACCATAAACTATTTGAGATTTAAGAAACTTTGTATCTCATATCTCATTAAGCAGCAAGGTTATTTAGATCATAAAAGCTGAAGCGACTTGTCCCAAATTTCCCAGCTCCCTAGAAACAGGGCTAGAACTGGAACCCAGACCTCTGCAGCTAGTCTTGAGCACTTTCCACATCTTACTTTTTTCTTCCTTTTCCTAAGTCTTAGCAAAATGCAGCATTGGGCGGTCTCAGTCCAGCAAGGGGTGAGCATCAGCTATAATTTAGGCACTGTGTTTACTCAGGAGGCACTGTAATATGGTTCCTGCCATAAGATGGAGGCACTAATGCATTACAAATTTCTTCAATAAAGTATCAAGTATGAGAAGTCTTGAATAAGGAATAGAGAGGCAGGGAGAGATTCATTCCAGTCACAGGTTGGAGGCTTCCAGCAAGAGGTGACCTTTATGCTGAGACTCAAATAATGGGTTGAATTGAGGAGATAGGAAGAAGGGCACTCTGAGTGCATTCCAGAGTGAACAAAAGCAAACAACAATAACAACAATAAAACCCAACATGGTATCTTCAGGGTCTCTTTTACTTTGCTCCCCGACCCAACCCTGCCCAGGCAATCCATTAGCTCTGCTGTTAATTCCACTTTCAGTATAAATCCTGACTATTCCAATTCTTCATGCCCCACCACCCCAGTGTAAACCATCATGTTTCCCCTGAAGACAACTGTGATCTCCTAGCTGCCTTTCCTACTTCCACTTTTGCTCCCTGCAGTCTTTTCTCCCAAAGAGAAGCCAGATCTATTCTCTTAAAACATGAACCAGATCATTTCCCTGCTTATAATCATCTACTAGCTTCCCATTGAACTTAAAATCCTAACCACCTACAATGACCTTCACAACTCCATGCACTAGCTCTGACTTCCTCTCCAGCCACATTTCCCACTACTCTCCTCCTCATTCCTATGCTCCAGACCATTTCTCCTGCTCCTGGAGCTCATTCCTGTCTCAGAGCCTTTGCGTTTTTGTTCCCACTACCAGTGTCATGCTTCTTCCCATCTTCACCTGGCTGACACTTCCTCATCATTCAGGTCTCAGCAACATGCCAGCTCCTCAGAGACACCTCCCAGATAACCTTGCTAAAGCAATCCGCCTATGCTCCAACCTCTTTATCATATGACTCCATCCTAATTTTCTTCATTGCACTTACCATGGCCTGAAATTATGTTATTATATATTTGATTAATAGAATGTAAGCCCCATGGATAGCAGAGACTTCTGTCTTGTTCACTGCTTAAATTCCCTATGCCTAAAACCATGCATGGAACATCCTATAAATAATTAAATAGTCATGGAATAAAATGAATGAATCAGGCAGTTCTGAAATGTGATTCCTTGTGAGAAGTCACAGGAAACAAGTCTGGAGAGGCAGATTAAGGCCAGACCATGACAAGCCTTTAATATCAATCTAAGCAAGTCTAGATTTCATGCTCATCTTCCTCTTTGAACTGATATATCAGCTATATGTCCTCACAGTCACAGGAATCTTCATTACCTGGTCTTCACCTTGAATGAATACTGGACATCCAAGAAAGAAAGAGAAATATTCAGAAGACTTGGAGAGAGTTTCAGAAATTGATTTTTCATTCAGAAATGGAAAATGGGAAAGCAAAACTAATGAATGAGTCTGCAAATTTCTTCACCCACATGGTGATATAGCATAGGTATAGGCTGCTCTGGCCAGAGGAAGGGACATACACCTAGTGACAATCATCCTTGCCTTTGATAATAGAACTTGGAACATAGGTAGTCAGCAAGTACTGATTGGACTCAATGTCTGAAGGCTTACACAGTTATAAGCCACTTTGCTTTGTGCCACATGGCTACAATTCCTTCAAGCCTATTTCCTCATTTGCAAAACTGGAATTATTTCCACCTCCTAGGGTTGTTTAGAGGATCAAAATGAAATAATCCAACTGCTGTTAGCAGTGTCAAGCACATAGTATGTGGTCAATAAATTTGAGCTGCATTCCTTCTGTATGTGGTCCACGGGAACTGGAAGAGCTTATCTCTTCTTACTTTGATGCCTCAAGCTTAACAAGAAGGCTGAATTGAGAAATGACACAAACGCTGAAATCCTATCCTTTGACGTACACTTAACGGCAACCATGTGTGCCAAACTTGTCCTCCATCAGTGATGAGGAGATCCCCAACAAAAGGTCATAAGCATCTTAGAAATCATTTCATATAATCGAGTGTGTCCCCTTCAAATGCCATTTATGCCTGTGGTCCTGTCTGCTTGGCTCCTCAGAGCCTGTCTCCCTGCATTCTCCGCCTTTCCTCTTTACATATTTATCCCAACCGGATTTCACTTCTTCATCTGAAAAAGAAAGACCTCCACTTCTTTCAGAAATAATATCTTCTGCAGAATCACATAACTGAAACAATTGAAGTATGTTCATTAATGACCAAATAAGGCTATTAAATTAAGCAGCTGACAATGGTTGTTCGGAGTGCACTTTTCTAATTCTGCCTGTTTCTTGAGTCCATCCTTCCCCACTCCACTTCTCTAATTTACAGGATTATGTGAGTGCAAAATGAGATAATATATATCAAAATGCTTTGTAAAATGTAAACTCTAGACAAATAACTTGCTGTTATTCTTCTTCCTGTTGAGATACCACATAATGGTCCTTTTGACATTTGTAGCAAGATTGCTAATGTTTGCCAATATCTGCTCTTACCTTCCTTTTCATGGTAATAGAACTCCTGATTGTTGGCTGAGTTCATGGCTGTAAAAAATATGAGTAAATAGGCTGGGTGCGGTGGCTCACACCTGTGATCCCAGCACTTCGGGAGGCCGAGGCGGGTGGATCACGAGATCAGGAGATTAAGACCACCCTGGCCAATGTGGTGAAACCCTGTCTCTACTAAAATAAAAAAAAAATTAAAAAAATTAGCCGGCGGTGGTGGCGTGCACCTGTAGTCCCAGCTACTTGGGAGGCAGAGGCTGCAGTGAGCTGAGATCACGCCACTGTACTTCAGCCTGGAGACAGAGCAAGACTCCGTCTTTCTCTCTCTCTCTCTCTCTCTCTCTCTCTCTCTCTCTCTCTCTGTGTGTGTGTGTGTGTGTGTATATATATATATAACATATATAATATATATGACATATATAATATATATAAAACATATATAATATATATATTACATTTCCAAGACCCCTTTGCAGATAGATATTTCCTTGTATCTAAATTCTGCATATGGGCAGATTTGATGTGGCTTCTGAGTGTGTAATCCTCTTTCTCCTGGCTGGAATGTGGATGTGGTTGTGCACCATTTTCGACTAGATGGAATAGGGTGTTGACCCTAAGGAAAGTGGAAGAAGAAAAGGGTCCTGGATTCCTACCACTGTGGATCTTCAGTAGCAGCCTTGAGCTTATCACACTTGAACAGTTTTGTGAGACAATTAATTTTCTAAACTTATTTTAACCACTATTATTTTGTGTGTGTGTTCCAAAGCCTAATATCCTGCATGTAATTAATGCAATATAGATGTGCCAAGGTGTTGTGAAGACTCTGGGCCACTGTTTAGCTCAGTTGGTCAATGCCCAGTTTAAGATGAGGATTATCACCCCTGCCTGGGACAGATAATTCCATACTGTCTTCAACCACCTCTTACTACTCTGGGCTGCAAATGAGAATATGGATAGATCTGGGTAAATACATTCCCACTACCATAGGTGAGAAGATTTTAGTGAATATACCACCTACAAACAGTGGAATTACATAAAAGACACACCTAAGAAATGGCACGTGGTCCTACAACATAGTGAAAGTTGGTTAGGCTATTTTGGAGGATATTTTGGTGGAATATATTAAAGTTAATAATGCTCTTGCCCTATAATCCATCGATTTCAATTTTCAGTGTCTACCCTAGAGACAGACTCATAGGTGTATGATGAGGTGTTATAAAAGAGGAAGGCATTTGCATGGACAGTCATCAGGCAACATTGGTTTTGTAGCACAATGACTATCTCTAGGATGTAAATGCATACTTTGAAACTTTGTGCACCTATTTTTTTAATGAGGTGGATTCATTTGTACTGACCTAGTACAAGACATACATACATGAGACATATTGTTCGGTGAAAAAAATTTTGCAGAATGACATGTAAAGTATAACATCATGCATACTTCTATGAAACACATACAGACAGAAATTAGTTTCAAAGCTTCATATACATAAATACCTTAAAAAGAAAAAAAAGGCCAGCCAGGTTCAGTCCTAGCTGGTGAAAATGACTCCCTTTGGAATAAAGATAGGAAGCTATAACTATTCTCTACAATGCCTAAATTGTTTGCAGTGGGAATTAATTTATTTATTACTTGGAAGTTAAAAATAAAAATATTTTTAGAAAAGAGGACACCCGTACCATGTGTCTATTGAGTATTGTACAGATTCCAAAAATATGTTGCTGCCTTCTAATTAGAATAAGTAGGGAAAGAAAAAATAATTTTCAAAGCAAATATATACCTGAAAAACATAGAAATTTGGAAATTTGCCTCACCCAGTAGCCAAGCCTAATTTTTTAAAAAAAGTTTTTACATGTTTTTCTCTCAAAGGTAAGCTCTCCAGAAAGATACAATTATCAGACCAAAAATTATCATTTTAATGCTTTTTCTAAACATACTAGGGCATACTTTATGCCTTAGATTCCCCTGAGTTCACATGGCATGACCTTGACTTCCAGTCACAATGCTTTGACACAAAGAGAGAAAAGTGAAGTCTGGCCATACAGTGAAAAGCAAGTGATTTTTGATGTTTAGAAATTTCAAAGAAAAATCCATCCACTAATCATCCAAATGGCACAAACTTGATCAATGGGTTGCGTAACCACAAAGCCTACCTCAACTACCTAACTTTGACTCTCTTAGTCTGGCATTGACTGTTTTTGTATGTAAATAAAGATGGAAGCCATGGGTCCCTCAGCCTCAAATGTTCTCTTCCTCCCTTTGTTGTCACCACCTCATGTCATTCAGTTCTATTTCCAAAAATGTAGCTCACTTTCTTCTGGTAGTCATCCTGGAGATGATTTTAGATAGTGCACGGATAAACATTTGTCATTTTTTCAATTACACACATATATATGTAATTACATATATTATATAAAGTACATATCAAATTTGTGACATATAACATACAAACAAGTAATTTTACAGGTACTATTGACTAGGACAAGAGTAAAGTAAGAAATTAAGTGAAAAGCATGATTCAATATTACATGAATATGACAAACATAAGGAAGTGTCATTTGAATGAGTTATGTGTGAGAGAAACTGGCCGTTAGCATCTTACAAGTTTTGGTGCTCCGTACCAAACATTTTTCTTTGTGAAAAATGTTTTTCACATGTCCATCTCCTCCATATTTTGGCATGGATTATCTTGCATGATGAGTACTGTGCATAGAACCTAGTGCATAGAAGGTTCTTCATGAGATAATGCCTGGGAACTTGATGACAGTTACTTGGCTTGACTGTGTGCATTGTAAGGTCAGCTTTCTTAGTGACAAACAGCTCCCAGAAATGTTATGGTGGAGCTGACCCACTGCTCCCAAGGTTGAGTGTTTCTCATCCTTGACTGCATAGAAGAAACACCTGGGAGCTTTGAAAGCCCTCCATGCCCAGGCTACGCCCCACACCAATTAAATCAGAATCTCTGGAAGTAGGACCCAGGAGTTTTATTTTTCTAATTATCTGTGTGCTTTCAACATGCAGCCAAGGTTGAAAACCACAAGGCTGGGTGATAAAGTCACCATCAGCTAGCTAAGTGACTGAGAGCCAGTTAGTCACAGAAAACGACAGCATCAGTGGTCTTATAGACCATTAGGGCCTTTGCTCTAGAAATGTTCTCCTTGCCTGAATGCTTCTCTGTCAGATATATGCTTGGCTGACTCCCTCATCTCCTTCAGGTCACTGTCAAATCTCACTGACCACCATATTTCTGACTTTGTTCTGTCCCCAACCTCCACCTAATACCATTCCTATTTCCCCTTATTCTGTCCAAGTATTTTCTTTTCCATAGTGCTTATTATCCTCTAACATATATAATTTCCTTATTAAATTATTGTTATTGTCAATGATTGTCTCACCCCTCTAGAGTGTGAGCTCCTTGGGCACAGGGAACTTTGTCTGCTTTCTTCTCTAAATATCTCAAGAGCCTAGAAGAGTGCTAACTACATGGTGAGTGCTCAATAAATATCCGCAACATAAATGAAAATTCAAGCCAGAAAAAGCCTGCTAGATTGTTTCTAAATCCAACATTCTCATTGAACTGATGTGAAAACTGCAGCCCAGAGAGGAGAAGAAATGCATCCGGGGTCGCAGAGCAGTGCAGCGACTGACCCAGCACTAGACCCAGACTCTGTGACTCCCAGTGCAATGCCCTTCCACTCTAATAAACAATTTTACTGTTTAGAAGTGTGTGCACAAATAGTTCCAAAGAGCAAAACTTTAAGCGGAGCCTTTGTCTCTGCCTAGGTTTTTCAAAAATCTACTCTTTGTTTTGAGAGGCATTACTATCATTAGACCTTGATGAATCCAATTCAAAATTTGGGAATACCACTGTGCTGTCTCTGGAATCACTCAGAGCCTGGAGACCATACAGAGAGATTGATTTTTACCAGCCCATTTTTTTTTGGAGCCATTTTTGTTTGTTTTGTTTTGTTTTCCCTAATCTGGGCTTAAATAAAGAAGCTGCAAGATCTACGCTTTGAATTTTCTAAATGAGCCTGCCGCTCATTGCACTTTTCAGCAAGATAAGGCCCGAATGGCATTTGCAGAAATGCCTCCCTATCTCTCCAACAATCCGGCTCCTCTGCGGGCCCCTTGGTAACAGCTTGGCAAATCTGCAAAAGGAATGCGACTATATAGTTTGTGTGTGAACCGTGGAGTTATTATGGTTTCCAAATTGCCTAGCAGGTCATTAATCATAGGCCAAGATAGGCCATCGCAGCAGCCTGGAGTGAAAGCGCCCAGCATAATGCCAGCGAAATCATGTTTAACATGCAGCTCTTGCCGGCACAGATATGGAAGGGGAGAGGGAAGGAAAAAAATCATTCCCCTTTTAGGAAAGAAAACTTCTACTTATCTTTGATTTGCATTCAGTCCTCCCTCAATAGTCCTTAAGCCTGTTATTTAATTCATTTTGGTGACAGGGTTCATCACAAAGCAAAAACCCTAAGCGAGACCTATGCAGTCTGTGACCTCCAAACCCCCTGTCTTTTCTTGTCAGTTCTATGTCATTTGTGCAGTTGAACTCCACCAATTTGAAATGCTGACCTCTTCCATAGACAACCTTATTCTCCTCGAGTGAAAGAAAGGCCCCAGGGCCGACAAACCACTCAAGCGGGAGATGGCAAGAAAAGAGAAAAGTGGTTGACTCGTAAATCAATTTCCACAGCCCACCCAAAATCCACACACACATTGAATTTGTATAATTTTTTTTAAAAAAATTGCTGAATGGGTTTATAAAGAAGGGGGCACCAAGAACAAAAATAAAAAGTTATGAATTGGGGCCAGAAAGAAGGGAAGTTAAAATCCTGCTCCCAGTGGGCCAGAACAGCTCTTAGGGTCCTCCTCTTTTTTTATACCTGGACTCCCTGAGGTTGTTTGAAAAGAAAAGTTGAAAACAAAATGCAGGAATAAAGTTCCATGTCACTGGCAAAGGCAACAAAAGAGAAGGGGGTGCTGAGACTACCAGAAAAAAAACAGGACTTAAGCTATAGAGTCTAGGAGTTGCTAGGCCAAAGCTTGGGATATATATGACCCATCTGCATGGTGCTGTACATGTGCACATATACTCATATTCCCCATTGCTGGGCCTATGTCCTGCATGCCCAAAAATGTAAAACTCAACAACACCCTAAGACCTGTCGTTTTACATAGCCAATGTTTTTTTCCTACCATATCTGTCACCTCTCTTAGATTTTAGATTTTTTTCCCATCAAAACCAGTCATCAACTATACAATTATACTACACAATTTTTCCCAAAAAACAGTCATTAACTATACAATTATTTAATTGAAATCTACATTTATTGAGCACCTACTGTGTTTCTGCCCTAGGCATTGGGAATATTAAACACAGTACTTTTCCCCAAACCCCAATAATCTAGTGTGAAAATAAAACATAAAAGTTCCCTCATATGGAGAAAAAAACAGAATAGACATACAAGTTTCTGCTTTCCCACATGAATCGGTTTTGCTTAGATTTTTCTCTCTCCACCCCCATTTTATTGCTACCAAGATTTTTTAGACTGAGAAAAAAGTCCCAAATCCGTTTGCATTTTGCTATAGACAGTTCTTTCTGTTCCCTAGACCTCCTGACACCTAAAGAGAACAAAAAGAATAGTTCCCTTCTTGTGTTCTGAAAATTGAGTTTCTCTCATTATGAAGCACACACTAATGAACCCTTTTATTTCAGTTACTTTCAAGATTCGTGAAACATTGTTAGACAATTAATGAGGATTCACAAATTGTTATAGCTGAGTGAGATAAAGCATCATGGAGTTTCCTGGCTACTTTTCTTTAGAGCTATTGTTCTCAGAGCTACAGAATGCTCATTGTAACTCCTGGTGGTCAATATGAAAATTTTCATCCTTTCTCTTTTTGATACAGCAGAGTCTACTTAATAAAAGTGATTCCAGGAGTTCTTCTGAATTCTAAACACAATTCAAATTTCTTTCGTTTTAATAAGCTTTTTCACTTTAGGAAATAAAAAAGGAAGGACTATGCACAAATAAATAGAATATTGTGATGAGGGCAACTACGTAACAACAGAATACGGTCATCCCTTGGTGTCTGTGGTGGATTGGTTCCAGGAACCCCTGGAATACCAAAGTCCACAGGTGCTGATATACTACAATCCCTGATATAAAATGGCATAGTATTTGCATATAACCTATATACATCCCCCCTTCTACTTTAAATCATCTCTAGATTACTTATAATACTTAATACAAGGTAAATGATATATAAATAGCTGTTATATCATTCAGGGAATAATGACAAGAAAAAAATCTGTCCATGTTCAGTACAGATGTAATTTTTTTTCGGATATGTTCAATCTGAAATTGGTTGAATCCATGGATGTGGAACCCATGGCTATGGAGGGCCAACTCTGTGCAAAAGTTCCAGAGAAAAGTGATTAATCTGTGTAAAGTGGGATCAAAGAAGGCCTCCTGGAGGAAGTGATGACTGAGACACCAGAGAAACAAAGAGGACATATGCAAAGACACCAAGATGAGACAAAGCAGAATGTGTGCAGAGAGGACAAACAATTTGGCATTGCTGGGGGATAAAGGTCAACAGGGTGGCTGGAGATCTGGGTGGGACTGAAGACAGAGGCTAGGTCATCAAATCTCTTATCAAGCATCCATTAGAACAGAAGTTCCAGGTGAGTAGCCAGCACGTCTGCCATACTCGGCATCACATCAACTTTGCCTACCATAGTACTGGCACATTGTAAGAGCTCCATGAACATTTGTGGGGTGAAAAAAGTAACTGCAATCATGGGCAATGGGGGAAACCATAGAAGTGTTTTAAAAGATCACTTTGGTGGCAGTGGTGTGGTCTGTGTATTATTTTAAAAGTACTCTAGTGGCCACAGGGTGGAAGATGGATTGGAGTGACAAGAATAAGAACAGTATTTAAGAGGCGAAGGTCCAGGGAGAAATGATCAGGTCCTGAACAAAGGCAAAAGCCATGGGGTTGAGAAGGCAGGAGCTGAAATGAAAAGGGCATATAAAAGGTTTGGAAACAGAAAAAATTATGTCTAAATCGTGCATCAGTTACATTTTCAAATAACATTCTCAGAAGTTTCCTCCAACCTCAGGACATCTTTACAGGCAAAATATCTCTAAATGTAAAGCTTTATGGGTCTAATCATTAACTGGGGGAAATAGTTCAACAAATCATTCTAATATTTCCCCATTTTCTAGACTTTTAAGACATCATATAGAATCTTTTAGATTTATTGATGCTCACTGGGATCTGGTAGAAGAAGATGAGAAAGGATACAAACTACTCTTGGGTTTCTGGTTGAAAATATTGTGGGGATGGGGGTGGCAATATCACAAATGAAGATTTGGAAAACAAGTTGGGCATGCTCTTTCAACCAACATTTTTTTCAGAGCCTAAGAAGCACTTAATGAGAGCTAGATTTAGGCCCTTAGAGGTTCTAGGAATGGAAAAAAATAAGGAAGGCTGGAAATGTAGTTCAAACACCAATGCCAGTGCTGTCAGCTAAAATGTAGATCCTAGTAATGAAAGGAACTAGATAGAGAAGATTCTGCCTGGCCTTGATGGTTTGAAATTTTTGCAATCTTCAAATCTAATTGAGAAAATGGTCTTTTGAGGGAACATACTTGCCATTCTCTCCATGTTTTTTAATCTTGAATCTCCCAGTTATGAGTGGTATCATCTTGGGCAAGTCATTTAATTTTTTTGTTTGTTTTTGAGACAGAGTCTCACTCTGTCACCCAGGCTGGAGTGCAGTGGCACGATCTGGACTCACTGCAACCTCCGCCTCCCGGGTTCAAGCAATTCTCCTGCCTCAGCCTCCCAAGTAGCTGGGATTACAGGCGCTCACCACCTCGACCAGCTCATTTTTTGTATTTTTAGTAGAGACGGGGTTTCACCATTTTGGCCAGGCTGGTCTTGAACTCCTGAACTCGTCATTTGCCCGCCTTGGCCTCCCAAAGTGTTGGGATTACAGGCTTGAGCCATCGCGCCCAGCCTAAGTCATTTAATATTTCTGAGCCTCTGTTTCCACCATCTATAGCTCAGGGGGTTGAAGAAGGAGACCTCTAAGGTACTTCTACCTTTAAACATTCAGGGATTCCATAAATGAAATTGATGACACCATGTTGGGAAATCTGACCCTACTGTTCAGAAAACTTAAAAGTTCAGACAATTAAGGAGGATGAAAAGTATTGGAAGCAAATGCCCAGCTCATGGGTGGGACCCACAAATTCATTAAAAATGGCACTTGGAGTAAAATCTACAGTAGACAGAGCCCAAGTCTCTCCGAAACCCCATACCCACTGTGCCCCTCTTCCTTACTCACAGAATCCCCCTTGCATTTTAAGCAGTGACATTCCTGGCTTAAAAAGTAAAACTCTAGCCACATTTTAGAAGACAGCAGCTTTCAGCTGGCCTGCTCTTTTTCTCTTTATCCTTCCCCTTCTTGCCTAGAAAGCAGACATTATCTGGAGATGGGGCAGTCATCCTGGGACCATAAGGCAACAGGTTAAACACTAAGGATGGCTGGGTGGAAAGCTAGTCAGCACCTGTGACCCTGAAAGCACTGAGAGCCATCATAGTAACCCCAGTGCATTCCCACATCCAGACTTCTTGCTCAGAGAAAAAGGAAGAAAGGAAAGAGGGGAGGGAGGAAGAGTGGAAGGAAGTGAAGGAGAGAGGAAAAGAATAAGAGAGACAGACAGAGGGAGGAGAAGAGAGAAAGAAGGAGAGAAAGAAGACAGGCAGGAAAGGAACAAAGGCAGGAAGGAAGGAGGGAAGGAAGGAAGGAAGGAAAAAGGGAGGGAAAGAGAGAGGGAAGGAAGGAAGCTGGAGAGAGGAAGAGAACAGAGAAGGGGAGGCAGAAAGTAGATAGAGGAGGGACTGAGAAAGGAATGAAGGAAGGAAGGGAAAGAGGGAGGGGGAAGGATGGAAGGAAGAAAGAAAGGAAGGAAGGGAGAGGAGGGAGAGATTGAGGAAGGAAGAGAGAGGAAGGAGGGAGGAAAGGAATGAAAGAAGAAAGAAGGGAGGAAAAGAGGGAGGCAGTGGGAGGAAGGAAGGTGAGGAAGGAAGGAAGGAACAAAGGAAGAGAAAAAAGAAGAAAAGAAAGGCATGAAGAAAGGAAGGGAAGGAAGGAAGGAAGGGGGGAGGGAGGGAGAAAGGAAGGAAGGAAGGAAAGAAGGGAGGCAGAGAGGGGGAGGGAGGAAGGAAGGGAGGGAGGAAGGAAGGAAGGAAAGAAGGAAGGAAGGAAAGAAGGAAGGGTGCATCCGTAATTTGGTTTTACTATCATAGGTTGGGTTTTCTGCACCATCAACCTATTTCTGATAAATATGATGACTGACCTCTTTCATTTAGTGATGAATAAGCTCATTTTCCTGCAACACTTAGTATGCTTGGGAGCTACAGATATAATAAATGACTGCTTCCAGTAAAAAATCTTGACTACAAAGAGGAACAAAACTAATTGTATGTCTTCCAGGACAGAGGCCACATTTTATACACCTCTAGCCCTATTGCCCAGTGTAGACATGACAAACTTTAGGACCACAATTCCTATGGGTTAAATAAATGATGGAGAGAAGGAAAGTGTCTTTTTCCATCAAAGAGTTATTCTATCATTTTGACAGCAAACATTTACACGTGATGATTCATCATTAGATTGATTCTTTCTCCTTCCCAGGTCAACTAAATCAGTCTATGGGAACATCACATGGAAACCACAAGAAGTATCTGCTGAATTTCACCAGTGTGGCATGACATGCCCTTAGGAAGAAGGTAATACCCAGATTCCTGGGGTAGATGAAGTGCCCTTGTGATACCATCCATGGCAAGGAAATATGAAACTTGCCCCAAAAGGTGTAATAATGCATCAGGGCTGAGAAGAGGAGCACTTGGGAGCCTCAGAGCAGAGCCTGGGTGGTCATGCAGGAAGGCATAAGGTAGGAGAAGGCACTTCTTCTCCCTCCTTTGTTCTGCTACACTCCCTACCTAGAGGAGGTCTCAACTAATGCCCAGATCTGAACTGAAATTATGTTTAAATGCAGATAGTTTACATATTGTTAACCCCCTAACTGGGAAACAGTTTTCACAACAAAACCAACAGTTACCACGGGCAACATAACCGAATGAGAGAAAACATCTTGCTAGTGCACAGTTGAGTGAATTGCTACTCTCTCTGCCAGCATCCATTTCCAGCCACTCCTTGAAGGACAGTTTTAAAGTTTCACCTAGTTATCACCATCATCATCACTCTAGAGCAAGGATCAGCAAAGTACAATCTGGAATCAAATCCTGTTGTTGTAGGTAAAATTTTATTGGAGGACAGCCACACTCATTCATTTACATATTGTTCCTCGCTGCTGTTGCACTACAGTTGCGGAATTGAGTAGTTGCTCATGAAGCTGAAAATATTTACTATGTCACCCTTTACAAAACAGTTTGCAGATTCCTGATCTAAAAGATAGTTGTATTTTCTTGTTTGTTGTTTTGTTTTATTTTTGGCTGCCCAGTGTCTGAGTACACTTCCCTTGGGTATTCTTAAGCATTTTGAGAAAAGTTTAAAAGCAGACAAGGCCACTCACTTTCCTGGCCTTCCTTGCATCTACGGCTCAACCATTCTGAAGCTCTCACCATAGTTGTGGACCTGACGACTAGTGACACAAAGAAGCAGGGACAGAAGATAATCTGTTTTGGTCCCTGTAGTACCTGGGGCTACAGCAAACCAATTTCCAGGCTGTGGCACCATCTGCACCAGCAGTACATCCAATGTCTAGACCTGGGGATGGCGTCAGTACAAACAGTGGGAACCAGAGATCAGAAGCAGTGGTGGTTGCAGCCTTATCCAACTATTCTGGGAAATGGTTTTAATGATGGTTTTGGCTGCTTCTCAGCCGTACATTTTCTAGTCCATGTTCTGATTCTGGAATTAGCCTTTTTAGTAATTTTATGAACTACCCAAAGCTCCTTCTGTGACTTTCTTTCTTGTTTAAATTGACCAAAGTCTATTTCTGTTGCTTGTAACTGAGAGCTCTGACTGATAAAACCACCTATTTTTTTCCACTTGTACATCAGTTAGCAGTTTACAAATCACCTTCATATAACTGTTTTTGTCTTGTGACAACCCTGCAAAATGTGTTTACGCCCACTAAACAGGTGACGAAACTGAGGTTAAGTGAGGTTGAGCAATCTCATTATGTCAACACTGGGATCTCTTTTGATAAAAACAAGGAATCTCTTTGCACTATGCCAAGCAGGCAAAAGTCCTTTTATAGCATCACGCTTACTGCTTTTACTTATAAATTAAGCAAATACATCCCCTCTTCAAAACCAGCAGAGTCCAGAGCTCTGTTAATGCTTACCAGCATCTTGTCATTTATTTGCCTCCTTTATTCCCATCCAGGTGGCTTTATTTTTCATTTGAAAATGTCATTGCCACATCATTAGCAATGCACTGTTACCTGACAGTAGGAAGAAGTGTCCCTAGGCCATATGGCTGAGTTTAATCTACATGGTCACGGTGTAATCCCATTGAAATGGCTTCCCTTTGCAATCAAAACCGAATTTCACACTTTACCAAGATGGGGGCAGCTCTTGTCTTCCCCAGAGTAATATAGATCTCCCCAGGCAGCCAAGGCCAATGGAAATGGCTTTCTTCTCCGGGCTAGCAGCAGGTGGGGGGCAGGGCTGAGAGGTCAGCACAAACGGAAAGAGACTGGAAAGGAGAAGCAGGACCACTGGGGGAATCAGAGTCCAAAGTAATCCTTTGCATTCACCTCCAATAGATTACCACTGGGGACATTCAATCCATGTAACTTGGGAGAAGTAAATTTAGAATAAGCCCTCTTTATGGAATTAGAGGCTTTATCTTATCCACAATTGTTATTTCTAAAATTTTCTATCTGATTTATCTCCCCAGAAAGGCTAAAATTAAAAACGATTGTCTACAAACTAGCCTTATATCAGAGAAACCTCAGTTAATTAGAATCTCCAGAAATATGTATTTTAAGCAAACCTCTCTCCATTTATTATAATGCTACCAGTCTTAGTCCAGCATATGATAATCACTGCTACAAATACATAAGAAAAGAAAAATTGAGTGTCACTAGTGATGTAAGCATAATTTTAAAAATGAGAAATCACTTTTAAGAAAACTTACCAATTGGTAAATTTGTTGGTTTAAACTATAATAAAACTTAGTGAGACTGTGAGGAAATTTATACTCATATCACTGACCATGGAATCATAACTGATTGAATCTTTCTGAAGGCAATTAAGAAATATTAAGCAAAAAGCCTCCAAAAGACACATTTCCTTGGGCAAAGCAAGTCTCCTTCTGTAGATCTGTCCTGAGGATATAATCATGGAAGTGTGTAATTGCTTGGTTATAATGTTTTTCATCATAGAATTTATTCACTAAGGGCAACATATTTTAAAAAAGAAATTCCCTTGTTTAAAAACACACAGATTTGTTAAGATGTTATTGTACCTTCAATCAACATTTTAACATTTTAAATCATGTTGTAGAAGACTAATGATACAGAAACATGTAACTACTAGATGTTTGAGTTTCTGTCTTAATGGGATGACATAAACTGTAAGGTCTGGGACCAATTTGGTCTTTTTCACTACTGTACCTTGAGGGCTTACAACAGGACCTGGGAAAACATTTGTTGAATAAATAACTAAACTAATTAATATTCATATTTTAAGTAGAAAAGTGAAAGATCTGATGCTATTTTATAAAAATAAATAGATGAAAGATAGATGATAGATAGATAACTAAATGTTGACTAATACTCTCTGGTTAATAGAATTATATGTGATGGCTATTTTCTTCTTTTCATTTATGTATATCACAGATATATTTCTATGGTAATAAACGTAAATCTGCATCACCATTTAAAATTCTGCACAATATACTATTATATGAGCTTGCAAATATTAATCTATTTATCTATTTATATATTTATTGAGACAAGGTCTCTAGCTCTGCCACCCAGCCTGGAATTCAGTAGCACCATAGTGGCTTGCTGTAGCCTCAACATCCTAGGCTTAAGTGATCCTCCCACCTCAGCTTCCTGAGTAGCTGGGACCACAGGTATGCACCAGCACCTTCAGCTAATTTTTGTAGAGACAGGGTCTCGCCATCTTTCCCAGGCTAGTCTCAAACTCCCGCACTCAAGCAACCCTCCTGCCTCAGCCTCCTAAAGTGCTGAGATCTCAAGCATGAGCTGCTGTGACCTGCCTGCAAATATAGTATTTATTTGAACCAATACTCAAGATTAAAGTTTTGGGTTGTTTTGGGTTTTTCACCATTATCTTTTAAAAAAAAATACGACAACAAACACCTCTGGCTATGTATCTTTTCAACTTGTCTGATTTTTTTTTTTTTGCCTTACAAAAAAGTCCCTAGAATTAGAATAGCATGTCTGTTTTCATCTATAGAGGATCTCCAGCAACAAATTAGCTGTTTGTTGAAATGTATACCCTGTTTAAACAGCACAAAATAAATCCCCCTCATTTCTGTGTCCCAGTGACACAGGGACATTCCTGAGAAAGAGGAGATGGATGTAAAGCAGGCCTCTTCTTAGCCACCCCAACAGGAGAAAGAACATGCCCTACACGTGTTGCTCTGTCTTCCAAACACAGCTTCCATGTCCTCAGGAAGTGGAGACATGAGTGGTCTGAATGCTGAACCTGGACTAGTCTAGCCAGATCATCCTCCCAAGCCTGAGATATTTGGTATTATATTTTCATGGATTTTCAAGGGGAAAAATATCATCATTAGTTTACATGAAGCACCATTGGCTACATCTCTGTGGTTATACCAACTCTAGAGTTTTTATTTCAGCAGTCCTATATTATGTGCTTATGTGGGGCAGGCTTATGGTTGTTTCTAAATCTGTCCTATGTATCAAATACTACTGCATTCTGAACATATTTAGACAATGTAATATTTTCATAAAATATCTGAAAAGTAGACCTTGTGTTTACATTTTTGGCCTCCATTATTTTTGGCCAACAGTCCATGAGGTAATTATTATATCTCAAAAACATAGTCTGTCTTCTGGAAAATGAAGTTTGCCCAGAGAAGGAAAAAAAACCAGAAATGTGGGAAAGACAAAGAGGGACATGTGGAAGATCATCCCCGCTCTCCAGAAACGAAAACATCATACAAGGACTCAGTGAAAAGCTAATGACCAGGAAGCTGACCAACTTTTGCAGGATTATCAAACATTTCTGGGATTATCAACAGCAGTTTTTCTTGGGTTTTTTTTCTCCATTTTTAAAAAATTGGTGTTTTGGAACTGAAAGAGCTGATTGGTGGGTAGAAGCAGAGGGAGACAGTGACAGCAATCTTGGAAGTTTGAAAACTGAAGCAAATTTTAATAATTTCACTAGTGTCCCATGCAGTGGAAATAATGACTATCCCATGAATATGAATGGTTTTGTGAAAATGTTCCTTCTAAGTCCTGAGGAGACCAAAGTTCTGAATCACTCCAGAAAGCTCAGAAGATATGTCTCCTGGAAGGAATCACAGTGGCCAATTTTAACTTCCAGTGTTTATTTTCTCCTAGCAAAGTAGTCACATCTTGGGGCTTCATTTTTCTGTTCCACAAAATGGGGTGATAATTTCCTACCTGCTTCATCAGGGAGAAGTAACACCCACATCATTTTGCTCTTGCTGGAAGATGATGGCTCACTTCTTGGAAGCCCTGAAACTCTTCCACAACACTAGACACTCTTTCCTCTTTCCTTCTTTCCATAAGTTTAGACCTGTGAACATGATCTCTGCTTTACCTCATTCTATCTTGGTGGCACGAACACCACGGGACAACAGTATTAAAAATTCCCTGACGACTTAGCTATGGCATAGCATTTTTGTTTCACAGATGTAAGGCATGTGTGATATATATTTTCTTGATACACAAAAATAAAAGACTAATACCTATTTCATTTTCAACTGGATTTTCTTGAGCCTGTGTTGGATATCATGCTAGCAACTTTTGCAAAGTTAATCTTATTCTATCTTTATCATTACCATAGAAGGTAGTTATTATTATCTCCACTTATGCAGATGAGAAAACAAAGGTTCCACTCCCGAACTAACTGATGGTACATAAGAATCCCAACCAGATCTCTTCACGCAAAGTTAAATATCTTCCAGAACAAAATAATGTTCAAAGAAAACCAAAAGGACCTTTCTAAGGAATTCCTCCCTTCCTCCTTTTTTTCCTTTCTTTGTATCTTCCTCTTCCCTTCCTTCCACAAGTTTATGAGTGTCAAGGACATGCCAGATACTGTTCTAAAAGTGGAGAATATTCTTGGTAATACAAAGAAGATGGCAAAGAACATGCTCAAGTATTGGCAGTGCTTTCAGAAGCAAGCAAGCATAGAGTTGGTGTCTGGATCTTATTGGAGAAACTAAGGGCTGGATTATGGTGGAAGGGGAATGAAATTTGGAGTCAGGCAAATCTGACGTCCAATCCTGTCTGCCACTACTTAGCTGTTACAGACTCTCAGTTTTATTCACCTATAAGATAAATATAATAATACACCACCTTGAAGGATTGCTCTGATCATGAACAATGTAAGATCCCTGGCACTTGAAAAATGCTCAGCAAACAGGAAATAAGGATGTAGCCATGTGTATATATTTTACCCATTCCCATTGTAGGAAAAGGTCCTGCTATACTGCCCTGGTCTGGGTGGTCATTCATCTGCCCACCTGCAGTACTATCTTGTATGACCTCTCCCAGGCATCCAACACAGCCAAGCCTCAGAAAGCAGAAGCTGGGGGCATCTCGGTGCGTCAGGACACTGCGGAAACTGCACTAGGACAGGCTCCATCTCCTTTGGCTTGCAAATCCCCGCTCCTTTGGCTGGCAGGCACTTCATGGGGTGGAGGGCCAATTCGCCATGGCAGTTTGTATCTGCAGCAGGCCTGACAGGCTGGGAGAGGAAGGCGTTAATGTTTTCTGACAGGCGACCCCTAATTGTGGGAGCTTTTCTTTTCGGCCTTTCTGTGAAATTCTGACTTAGGCGAGCAGCATAACCAAGTGGTAGGGCATTCAGCATGGCTTGCACTACACTGAGTTGGGAGTGGGGGGGTTTGGGGTGGTGGAGTGGAGGAGGGGGGTGCTGGCCCAACATTATTCATGAAGACTTTCAGCTGTTTTTGTCTTTTAACTAACCTTTGAGTTTGATCAGAAGGCTGGCCGGCCTCCCTTTTGCCAAAGGCCCTGCTGGCACCTGGACAATGGAGACAGACTGTTTTTCCTAGTAAAGAGAGATAGCTGGAGGAACCTAAAAGCTCTGTGTACTGGAGGGGGGTGGCTGGGGAAAGGACACGCCAGCTTTACTTCTGTCTGGTCTTCAGGAGTGGGGTGGTTATTGATAGAATTTCCAATTCCCCCAACAGAAGCAGCCGCCCTCTGACTGCTGACCCTGCAGGCTCAAGAACTTCATCCAGGAAAATGCACACAGTAGGCTGGTTTTTTCATTCAATTTTCAAATGTCACTCTCTTCCCCCAGCAATATCTTTCTTCTGCTCTTTCTCCCCACTATCCTCCCTCTTTCCAAAGAGTCCACCGGCTGAGCAGAGCTCCAATCTAGAAGTGTCCGGGGTTTTGTTAATTGTAAATAATGATGACAGAAAAGAAAGAACAAATGAGTGAGAAAGAAGAGGGGAAGGAAGAAGAAAAAGAAGAAAGAAAAGAGAGGCGAGAGAGAAAGTGACTCAGATGACAGAGAAAGACAGATCCAAAGAAAGGCAGGCAGAAGTAGTTTGGTTCAGAGACGATTCGGACGGCGGGGCTATGGTGGGGTCGAGTCCGGAGGCGGTGGGGCTGGCTGCGCTGAGCCCGGTAGTGCAAGCTTCCCGGGCCCGCGGGGGAGCAGGGAGCGGCGAGGGGGAGGCTCTCTCTAAGGTCTCGCATTTGGCAGGTGCGGAGCTTTTGTCCCCTACATCCACTTCCTGCTTCGACAGCCCGGACCCAGGGCCCAGTCCTCTCCAACGCACTTTGCAGAAAGTGACTCCCTCCAAGGAGTGTGGGTTGGCGGCTTTCCCCCATCTCGTCCCCAAAATAGCCCTGGTAGCCAGAGCATCAAAGGCGGCTTTGTAAGCGGCCGCCCGCTGGCTGCCTAGAGGGGGGCGCACGCGGGACGTTCTGGGAGCGCGTCCCACTCCTGTCTCCAGCCTCTCTCTATGCTCTCTCTCATTTATTCTCCTATCCTCGCCTCTCCTTTATTCTCTCTTTCTCCCTCTTGTTTTTCTCGTCTGCTTTCTCCATCTTTTCCTCTCTCCTCTCTCCCACCCCCGCAACCTACGCTTGAGTTTCTCTTCCCTTCTCTCTTCTCCTTCCTTCCTTGCCTTCTCTCCTCTCTCTCTATGTCTCTCTTGCTCTATCCCTGTTTCTCTCTCTCACCCCCTACTCCTACCTGTTCCTCCTTTTCACACCTCTCCCCTCGGGTCCCCACGCCTCCTCTTCCTCCCCCCAGCTTCAGGTAGCCTGGAGAGTTCCCGGCGCGCGCAGCTGACAGCGGACGCATGCCTGCAGCCAATCAACGCCCGGATGCGCTGCAGCTTGAATAAATCATTAAGCCTGACACGCGCTCAGGGCCCGCGCTCCGCGCTGCAACTTGCTTCCTGCCATTAACCTACACACCCTCTTTTGTAACAACCTAATCTTGCATACAAAGGAAGAAGGAATATAACTTCGACCTGCGCTAGATCCAAGCCATTCGCTTTCGCAGTGGGTAAAGAACCTTAGTGTCACCGAATCCACTTCCCTCCTTACCGTTGACTCCGGATAACCTGGAGCTTCTCGGGAAGTCCGGAAAGAATTATTTCTTGGCTCAGGAGTGGAGAGAGGGAGAAAGGAGTTCAGAGGCTTTTCAGCAATAAGTAAAAGGACCTGAGGTTGCGGACGATTATTACACCACAAAAGCATCCACAGTGTTGCTTTTTTTTTTTTTAAGAAGTTGCAATAACTGATGCTTCTTGGAGAGCACTCTCTAGAAAATACAAATTAACACAACTAAGTTCTAGAAATGTTGACCAGATTTAATAATTTGTCCCTCCCCTTTGAAGTGAGTGCATAAATTGCAGAGCGAATGAATGGGCGAAAGAAAGTAGGGGTGGCTTCCAACAGCAGCAGCAGCTTTGCTGATCTTAACGGCAAGACCCAGTACCACCCCACTACCTGGTTCAGAAAGATCTTAAGAAGCACGTATCTCTTGCATTGATATAGTCATTAGTTGCTCTAAAGCCCTTTCATTTTCTGTTCATCTGGTGATCTATGCAAAGGAAGGTATCATTTTTCTCGTTTTTCCAGAAGAGAAAACTGTAATTGACTTCACTCCTGTCTCAAAAAGATGAAGTAATGTTTCTAGAGTTACATGTTATATGGAGTTGGGTTCACCCATACTCTAGGATTTTTCTTACTCATAACCCCAAGAGTCCCTGAAAAATCTTAAACAAAACTAGTATATCCATGAGATCCTATGGGGAAACGGCCTGTGTAGCAGAGTCGGAAAGAGAGATGATGGCACAAGGGTAAATGAAAAAGTTTAACAGAAAGACAGAGATGTTGGTGAGGTTAACAAAAATGATGCTGCACCCGGAGACTAGGAACAAGGGAGAGCTGTTACCACCTCTGGGCCTTATTAAAGGGCAAGAGAAGGGAGTTGTTACTGGACTTCAGCAAGAGGTGTATCTGCGGGAGAGAAGCCTCCTGACAACAGCCCTAGCCTTAGGACAAGGAGTAGAGCTACAGGCAAAGCAATAGGGCCTAGGCAGGGATGGAGCAGGGATAAAAATATCCCAACCTATATCCCCTCCTACTTTGCCAACTCCTGCTGGTGTCTCCCACTGGCCAAACCCAAGAAGAAGCCAGAAGGACACACAACTCTTGTGATGAAATCCATAAAGATAAGCCTGCCTCCTGAGACAGAGAGAAGAGCAGAGAAGGGTGGAGAGTGCAAGTGGAGGGGAAAGGAAGAATAAGAAACAACTTTCAGTGAAGCAGAGAAAACCATCCCCATTTGTCCATTTAGTCAACAAATACCTATCTTACCAGGGGCAGGGAAGACAAGACAAGACAAGTAAGGTCCCTAGCTTCAGGGAGGTTACCATGTAGTAGGGGATAATTGACAATAATCATATAACCAAACAAAGATACAGCATTTTCAGATAGTGGTAAATGCCAGGAAGGAACAACAGGATTAATGGACTGATTGTAGCAGATGGAGAGCTGCTTTAAAGAGGGTGGTCAGGAAAAGCTTCTTGGAGGAGGTGGCACTTGAGTTAAGGCAATCTGGGCTTCTTAGAAAAATCTCCCTTGATTCCACATCTACTATCAGGGTTTTTCTACGTGGTTTGTGGGTAAGAATCCAATTTGGGCTGTGATCTAGATGCATCTGACCAGTCCCCAGGAAAATGAGATAAAGGACTGGAAGATAAGAATAGCAACAACAGCAGGGGATAACATTTACATATAGCTTGTAATCTCTGCCATCAAGCCTTTTCTTAACTCCTTTGCATGGCTTCACCTAGCTCCTGTGTATATCAAGGAACTGGGCTGTTACTTCTGTGTTTAAACATCCCCAGCACTGCAAGAACGGTGAAGTGGAAAGGCACGTTCTATTGCTCTTTCTTAAGACATCTCAGTCTTACTCCTTTGAAGTTCTTTGCAAACCACAGAATAGTTTCTTCTCTCTTCCTTGGTGGGTCCTGCCTGATGTGAACTCGAGATAGATTCTTCTTGATGCATCTCCTCCTACTCTCAATTTAAAATGTTAAAATAACTGTGTCAGAGAGGTGAAACCTGTGCACCAATAGCTTTCTCCCAGCCTCTGATGATGTGTGCCATTCAACAGCTCTGCAGCTCGCGGCAGGTCTGTTTTTTCTTTCTCTCCCGCACTCCCCGCTCCTCCTCGTCGATTTCGGGCGTGTCTTCAGTCTTAACTCGGTGGTCTCCAAGCCTTTGTTGAATAGGTAAGATTTCTCAGTCAATAAAGTCAACGCAGTTTTCTACCTCAGCATTCTTCCCCTCCTCTTTCTCTCAAAAAAGAAAGAAAGAAGAAAAAAAGGAAAAAAGAAAGAAGACAGAAGAAAAAAAGGAAAAAAGAAGAAAGAAAGAAAAGAAAGAAAGAAAAAGAAAGAAAGAAAGAGAAAGAAGAAAGAAAGAAAGAAAGAAAGAAAGAAAGAGAAAGAAAGGAAGGAAGAAAGAAAGAAAGAAAGAAAGAAAGAAAGAAAGAAAGAAAGAAAGAAAGAAAAGAAAAATGGGTGGGGGCTAAGACGGGGGAGAGGCTACTATTGCTAGCCTCTGGGGTCTACATTTTGTATTTCGCTGACAGCCCAGGGCCGCTCCAAAGCCCGCCGCGCAGCCAATGGGCAGCGGTGATTTATGGAGCTGACTAACGCGCGCTGAATGCGGCCTGTCAGAGCTCTGTGAATGGCTTCCCTTCGCCGCACAAGCCCCGGCTTTGTGTTGCTAAGCGATTAGAGCAGATGTAATGAGATTTTGCCCAATCCTCGCTTTGCCCTTTCCTAGCTTAGGCAAAATTGTGTGTGTTTTTGTGAATTTTTCGAGTTTGCCTTCGCATTGTGGCAAACAACGACTAACTTTGCCTCGAGTTTAACGAGACTGGATATTTCCCATTCAGAAGTGAGTAAAGAACACCTGTCCTCACAGGAGAAGGAAAAAAAAATCCCCCTTTGTGGGGGCTGAAACATTATCCTAATGTTATATTCATAGCCATAAATGACTTGCTACACTTTCTTTGCATACCTTATCTGGAATCTTGCAAAGGAGCTAAATTAAAGGAAAGAGAAATGGAGAGTGGGGGTGGAGCCCATCTCTGGTCCTCCAAATGAGAAGATAAAAATAAAAGCAGGCATCACAAAAGCATTACTTCTCTCAAGTAAGCTCTAAATTGGCCCACTGCTGGCAGAAAGTCCGATTATTTATGGCGATGAGGAATTTACTGATTTTTTTTCCTTAATTACGCTCATCTCTTTGAAAGGGACTGAAGCCTCAATGTGCATTCTATAGAGGGTCATTTAGCAAAATGACATCAGACGCTGTGGCGTGCTCCGCGCATCGTGGCTTTAAAAAATGATTATTCTGTGCCACTAAATGGTATAGATGTACCAACACAGACTAGATTTTTAACTCTGGAAGACGTGCTGGCTACCCGTTCTTTGTTGGGTTTTGTAAGATGCATTTTGCGCTCGGCTTTCCGCTTGGCTGGAGACACGCAAACTGAATCTGCAAGTAATGCAGGCGGCGAGCGAGGAGCCGGCGAGAGGCCGAGTAGGATTCTAATCACGTCCTTGCTAACTGACAAGAAGCAAGCCAGCCAAAAACCCACCAATTTCTTTTTGAATCTTGGTAATTGGGTACTTTTACACGCAGCTCACGCTATTCGGATAGAGTCACAAGCTTAGATAGACCAGTGTCTCAAAGCGACCACACATTTCTAATGCGTTTTTTTAATTAAAATCTCAATCCGTTTGGAATGAATTCATATCATATATGCCTCTTACTTAAAATCAATATAGCAAGTAGGTGTATTGGAGAAAATGAGTAGAAAATGTATGCCTGGAAGTGAGGGAAGAGAAACATACTCACCACTAGGAGCTTGTATGTGGAGAGGGATGCCTCTCCAACCCCCATCCCAGAACCACCATCCTCCCCACCCAGACCTAGTCTCCATTATTTCATCCAGCCCCACCATAGTTTCACAGGGAGAAACTCAGAATGGAGTTGAGAATTGGAAAATGGTGGAGGACCCTCTCTTTCTGGTTCACTTTTTTGGGGGATTTTAAATTTTGATCAAAGGATAATGCAGCCATCTATTCTTTTTGGTGGGCATGTACATTTGCAGCATAGGATAGAAAGAAAACATATATACATGTACATACACACACACACACACACACACACAAACACACACTCATTCATCATAAAGAAACCATTTGGATGGGACTGGCCATAGCACTTATCATTGTCATTTCTGCCACTTAGCATGTTTTGCAACATTTTCTTCTCCATCCACCTCTTCCCTTTGACATTTTCATAAAACTGGACCAGGGGCATCAGAGTCAAAGAAAGCTTAGAGTCAGCTGATTATTTTCATTTTAAAAAAAGGAAAAAGTTTTATTACGAAACTAGTTTGTATAAAACAGGGTTATACATATTTTTGTAAGTTTGTAATAAAACAGTAAGAAAAAAAAAGGCAGTAATAGAAATCTCCAAAAGGCAACCTATCAAAACCAACTGGCTGCCACTTTGAGTTTGGACAGTAGCTGCATAAACTTTGTTCTTCTTGAACAGTATTTAATAACATCATTAATACATTAACAACATTTCTATAAAGTAAGACACATTGGTGCTGAAGTACAACTGGTGGCCTCTTGATCTCACCTATGAGGAGAGTTCTTTACAAAACCACATAGGGAAAATTGCAGTTGTAAGGTGAACTACACATCTAAAATATGCAGAGGTAATAGCATTACATGTTAAAGTATCAAGATATACACATTTTAAACCATTTGTACAAAACTTCTATAAATTTTTCTCTCTCTTTCTCTCTTATGTACAAAAATATCTTAATATATCCCCGAACTGGTTAGGATAGATACAAATAGATTTTTTATAATAAAAAATTCACAAAAGATTGGAAGCATTCTATAATGAAAATGGTAGAAAAGACAGTGTGAGGGAAGCCATGGGGTTTGGGAATCGGGCCCTGGAGGAGAAGCAGAGTTTCAAAGGGCTGAGAATAGCATAGTTTCACTGTAAACCAATGTCTACAGCTTATTGGGGTGGGGGCTACTGAGACGAAAGACACCAACTCGTTTCTAGAGGGCTAAGAACTGCACTTTAAGAAAGGGCGAGGAGGTGAAGGGACCCGAGCAAGAACTTTCAGCTGTGCGTGTTAGAGGTGATGGGAGTTACTATAACGCGTGTGCTGCTCCCTTCTGCCAGGAGCCCACTGCTTTTGCACACAAGCTGCATTTTGCGCATTGACTCAGGTCCCAGTTGCTCTTCATATCTCCGTGAATGATTGGAGTGCAAAGATACTGTTCTGAGCGCTTCCCGTTTTCTGAAAGCCATGTCTCTCAGGCATGCCTCGCTTAGTTGGCGATGGGGTTGGTTGACTGTTTTCGTTTTTTTCTTCTTCTCTTTTCTTCTTCTTCTTCTTTTTTTTTTCTTTTCCTTTTCTCCCCCTCCCAACGCCACTGACAAGAAAGCACTAAAGATGCAGGTTGTGCGATCACCCTATAACATAAGGAAAAGAACAGGAGAGGTTAATTTGAACGTGTAGGCTAGTGGTAGAGGGAGATGGAGGTCTGGGGAAAGAGTCTGTCAGGTAGACATCTCTTTTAACATGTCCCAGTATTCGGTTCACCAGTATCTCTGCACCTCACTACTACCCTTCACTCCTTGGAGACCTGGGCAAGGCCATTTTCAGAGGCCAGTGCTGAAACTAACAAACTAGGACTTGAAATCGACCAACTTTCACAAATTCTTTAAATAAAAATCCCCTTATCTCCTTGGAGACATCCCCACTTCCACAGACACTCAGAGGGAGGACGAAGGCAAGAATACCCCCCTGCCCACCCCAAAATGCAACCTACCTGCTTCCAAAGTCCATTCGCACCAGGGCCTGACCAGGCCGAGCCCCTCAGAACCAGTTGGTGAAGTCGAGAAGCTCCTGCTCCTCGGGGCTGAGCGGGTCGTAAGAGCCCTCGTCCGACGAGTAGGATGAGACCGGCGAGCCGGCCATGGAGTTCAAGTCGTTGGAGTAGTTGGGGGAGATGGTGGGCGACAGGACGCCTGCCTGGAAGGCGGCGCTCACCGCGTCATGCTCGTCCAGCAGCTGCTGCAGCGCGCGGATGTACTCGACCGCCGAGCGCAGTGTCTCCACCTTACTCATCTTC
The DNA here is from genome assembly GCF_000001405.40 of Homo sapiens. Lineage (NCBI taxonomy): Eukaryota > Metazoa > Chordata > Mammalia > Primates > Hominidae > Homo > Homo sapiens. The sequence goes on along the minus strand of NC_000012.12, from coordinate 102,958,699 downwards.
TTGTTGGCCGCGCCGTTGGGGACGTGCTCCCGAAGGGTGGCAAAGCCCAGGTTGACCAACTTGACGCGGTTGCGCTCGCGCTCGTTGCGGCGCGCCACGGCGGCCGGCTGCTGCTGCGGCAGGCTGTAGCCAAAGCCGCTGAAGTTGAGCCGGCGTTTGCAGCGCATCAGTTCGGGCGAAGACGAGCGCTGTCGCTTGACTTGCTTGGGCGCTGACTTGTGACCGCCCCCTGAGGGCTGGCCGTCGGCCGCCGGTCTCAGCTGCGGCGCCTGCTGCTGCTGCTGCTGCTGCTGCTGCTGCTGCTGCGCGCTCTGCGCTGCCGCTGCGGCGGCTGCGGCCGCCGCGGCTGCGGCCGTGGCAAAGAAACAGGCTGCGGGCGGCAGGAAGGGCTGCTGGGGCTGCGGCTGGGGCTGCTGGCCGGCGCCGCCGCTCTCCATCTTGGCAGAGCTTTCCATGCGCAGCGGCGGCCAAGGAGTCGCGGAATCAGAGCGATCCGGGACGCGAGGTGCGGGGCCCGCGAGGGGGACACAGAGAGAACTTGGGTGCAGGAACAGAGAGGGAAAGAAAAGGAAATATGAAGCGGGAGCCCTGACGGAAGTTAAAAAATATATACAAAATCCCCGGGAGACTTCTTAGAGTGGGAGCAAAAAAAGTGAAAATGCTTTTTCTCCTCCCTGCACGCCGCCTCCTCCTCCCTCCCCTCCTCCCTTCGCGGGTTGGCTTCGGGAGCCTCGCGTGGCGCTCGCGTGTGAGGCTGCCGCTGGCGCCTTCTTGTTTCTAAGAAAAAAAAAAGCAGAAGCAGCAGCAAAAGTCAGTGCTGAACGCGCTCTGCCGCGTCTCGCGTTCCTCTCCTACTAAGGCTGCGCTCTCTTGCGCCGGGTCTCGGTCTCTCCAGCCGTGGCTCAGGCTGTTTTTATTATTTTGTTAACTCCCTTCCTTTCTGATTTCCTTCTTTCACTCGCCCTCCCTGGCCGGATCCCTGTCGGTGCGCCTTCCACGTTCCCTGGCCAGAAGTGAGAGAGTGCTGGGCTGCCGGAGTGCGTCCGCCTTTTCAATGGGACACCCAGCCCCACGCGCAGCCCTGGCCCCGCCTCGCCCCCCACTCCCCGCTGCTGCAGCGAGCGGCTGCAGCCCCCACTCCCCCCCCTCCTCTTACCTCTTCCTCCCACCCACTCCCTAAACTCCCCCTCCTCCTCTCCTCTCCCCCCCTCCCGTTCCTTTCTCCCGCTCCTTGCAAACTCTCCATTCAGCTGGGTTTGTTGTTGCAGTGCGTGCGCCTGGCGCGTGCCGGACTCCCGGCTGAATAAACAGGCGGCGCGCTCGGGGCGGGCTGCTGCCGGGGGTGGCTTTAGGAAGGGGGTGGGGGGCGTCACAGGAGGGACAAATGGCTCTAGGAATTGAGGTGTATAGGTGGAAAGACTTGGGGTGAAGCTCTCTTGGATTCTACTAAGAACTTGAAGCAAAGCGCAGGGAAGGGTTTGGGCAGAAAAAATGGCACAGGAACGGTGTGGAGGTGAGGAGGGAGTGGGGCTCGACTTTTCCTGTTTTCTCTCTCTCCTCACTGTTATTCTCTTCGGGTTCCTCGGTGACCCTAGAAATTGGAGCAAATTACGATTGAAGTTTAGAAACATGGTTGGGGGAGGGACTCCGTCCAGAACAGTGAAAAAAAGTGCTGGACTATGTGAAAACGTGGGTTCTAGTCCCAAGGCGTCCTCTCAATGCTCTGTGGCTCCTCGAAGTGGCATCCTCTCTGAGCCTTCGCTTCCTCGTCTGCAGCCACAGAATATGGTCTCTAATGTCCCATTCAGCTCTAAAAACTAGGATGTGCTCCCCATAACTGAGCAAGTGTGTGGGGGGCCGCGGGGAAGCGACACCGAGGAGTGGTTGTGAGCCGTCCTGTAGGTGGGTGTATATGGCAGGGACGTCCCCCTAGGATGACCTCTGGCCCCCTGTACCATCGCCCCCTACCGCCACCCCCTCCCCATAAAGATTATTTCCGGACCAGCTTAGCGGATATCATAAAGAAGGGAGTGCTCTGGGATACTCCCAGACCCTCGGAGAAGAAAGATGCGGGGCGGGGGTTGAGTGATGGCGCTTAGGGCACTGGTGGGGATTCCTGGTTCTTCGGCGCCGCCGCGGGCACCTCGGCGGCCTTGGCGCAGCCACCATCCCGCCCCAGGCGTGTGCCCGGCGGCCCGGTGGCAGGCGACTGGGAGCGGAGCCCGGCGGGGCCGCGTGCTGGCGCCGAGAGGGAGGGGGAGGCGCTTGCAGCCGTCGCTCGACCGCTTGGACAGCGCCTGCCCAGGCGTCCTTCCTGGGCCTTCGGCCCTGGCGCTCTCTGGCCAGAACCCCGTCCAGCTTCAGGACGTCTGGGGACGCGGCGCTGCGGAGAAAGCAGACCAAGCAATAGGCCCCATCTCTTTAAGGATCTGGTCCGGAGAGAGGCTGGGGCATGTCTCAGGTCTTGTCTACATAGGCAGAACGAAGTGGAGGGCAATCATCCATTTGATTTTCCAGTAGAAATAATCCGAGATCTGGGTGCAGGAATGATTGTGGTGAATTATCCGGATAATTGGTTCTAATTGAACTCCCCTTTGTGGAGGTGGATCTTTCTAAAGGGCCAAGGGGATGACCCAGGGAGCTGCTCTTGGTATGTGGGCTGGCTGAGTGTTTCTGGAACAATAGTGATGATGGTGGGCAGTAATGACGGGCGGCTCCCGAAGTGAATCACCTCTCTTCTCTACCTCAGTTTCATCTTTGCAGAATAGGTAGGCTTCAGAGGTATAGGACCAAATCGTGCCAACAGAGGTCAATTCTGTAACCTTTCCCAGCCACACAGCCCCTTCTCCCCATGGTAACCTGTGGCTTGATGGCCTCACAGGACTGGCTGAACCCCGTGGGATTCACACCTCAGGCCTTTCTCCACATCCCTGACCAAGGAAAGGGCCTAAGAGGTCTCTGGAAGTATAGGAGGTGAGCACCCAAAAGCAGAGTCACAACACAGCCTGGGCACCCTGCACCTCCCAGCCAGAGTAAGCCTCAGACCACTTGCAGAAATAGGAATTATTCAGGCACTCCTTACCCACCTCCCACATGACCCAGCTGTGTCCTAATGCCCCATTCACTCTATTTCAGCCAAATAGTTGAGTGTTGGGGGTGGGAGGGAGTGTCGCAAATGTGGAAGCATCTAGATGTGTTTTCTTTTACATTAAGCTGAAACATGAGCCCCAAACTCCCTACTAACTTGGACTCACTTCACAAAGGTCCCGAGTCTGAGCTCTACCACAATGGTGCCTTATAACCTTGAACAAGTCCCTCTGCCTCTACTGGCCTCAGTTTTCTGATCTACACACAAGGGATGTACAGTAGCTAATTTTGAAACTTGTATCTAACAGCTTAGAAAATTTGCTGGTAGCCAGCACGTGTTTCCTTTTCCAGGATGCATACACAGAGATCTCAATACCAGGGAAGTAGAGGACAGAACCTCCTCTCCTCCTCCCCCCTACACACACCATGAAATGGGTGCCCAAATGGAGTGGAAGTGCATTGTAGTGAAGAAGCCTTGTCTTGTAGTGGCCTTACTCATTGGCCTCAGGCCAGGAGGAAGGACAGTCGTTGCTGGGATCCTTCTGGCCAAAACCGCCAGAACATTTGTCTCTATTCTCCCTATGCCAGCCCTGAGCCTGACCTCACTCTTCTCACCCTAGTATGCTAAGTTTTCTTCCTTACATGCTTTGCAAAGCCTTCCAAGAACCGAGGCGTTCTCCTCCCCCCACTCAAGTAAACCTGGAGTTTGCACCTCAACACTGTCATCTCCACTTTCTCCTCCAACCCTAGGGTAGAACAGTCTATAATTTTTCTTTAGAGGTTTGCATTTCTATCCTTGGGGATTCTACCAAGAGAGTTTTCCATTGATATTGGCTTTCTGGTTGTTTTCACCAGTGTGAAGCAAAAGATGGGAGGCTCAGGAGCCAAAATTAGAATCCTGCCTCTGACTGTGTGACCTAGATTATAATCCCTCCTCCCGACCTGAGAGAACTGGCCACATGTTCTGCTCTCCTAGGCCCATGGAATTCCAGATAAAGCAGGCTGATTTGACTTGGTATCTAGGCCCCTTTACCTGAGAGCTGTGTGACCCTGAGACACTCTAGGGGTCTCTATTTCACCTATGCCAGTAATTATAGTATCTACCTCCAAGAGTTGTGAGACTTCAATGATATGTATGTAGAGCACTCTAGCCCAGGTCTAAAGAGAAAGGGATTAATAAGAAAGTCATGCTCACACAACCCACCCAGGAAAGGGTGTGTGGCAGGAGGAGCCTCAGCACTTGGCTTCCTGGAACCACTCTGTGATCATCACTCCAGCCAATGGAGATCCAGTGCCACTCTGTCTCACTGTCCCAGCACCTAGGGGTGAGTCATTCCTGTCATTTTTGAGAAATGGTGGTGATACTGGCATATTAAGATGATGGAGATAGTAACCCGATTTTTAGACATGAAAAGTAGCAAGTAAGATAGACTATAGAGATGTTCTGTGGCCTCCACATGCAAGGGGCTTCAGCAGAGCCACTGGGCCCTGCTTTCTTGGCTCCCTTGCCACACAGTGGGCCTGATTCTGAGCAAGTCCTTAGGGCTTTAGTTGGCTAAGACACTTGAACAATGTCCCATTTATCTTCACATGAAGGGAGAAGTAAACAACTCACAAAAGGAAGGTTTGATACCTTCATTCATAAATGAGGTGGTAGTACTCCCTTTGCCTGTATGTCAAGGGTGTTATGAGAATTAAATCAGATGTTGTTGGGTAATTTGCTTTGCAAGTCTCTCCACATATCAGAGATTGCCTTTTCACTTTTTCCGAATAGCAGCATTCAGTGTTCTGTCTTGTCATGAGGGTGGGGGAGTGGGAAGGACAAAGCACTGATCCCCTTTGGTGAGTATCACCCAGAGTACAGACATTGCAGAAAGATAAGAAGGCTTCTCTTTCTCCTCCAATACAATAAGGGACTTAATTTCTGCACCTTCAGACCCCTTTCCTATATCAGAACACTCTGGAGCTGAACCATACTTCAGATTAGACTTTATCTTCATTCAGCATCAGGATCTGTAGGGGGAGATGGCTTTCCTAGTGGCCAAAGGGGTCTGCTGCCCTGAGATCAGAGACCCTGTGCCCTGAGTCTCCTGCCACCTTAATTTCCATTCACAGCTGAAGGCCAGGCCAGTACCACCTTTGCTGAAGCTCAAGACCTATGTATGTTCTCTTGATTGTGTGTTGTCTCTCTGTAAAAAGAAGATATGACTCATCTCTTTGAAAACCAATTTATGCTTTCTCTTTGGGGAGAGGGATTGATATTAAAAGTGAAACTAGGATTTTCATTGGACAAATAATTTAATAAAGTTATATTTTTAACTTTAGTTAGATTCTGAATCAGGGGCAAAGGGAATACAAAGATGAACACAAGTCTTGGATTCTGGATTTTGTTACAGGATTTTAAGTGTAATCCTCAATTTGGGGGTGACTTGAGTTCCAGAAGCAATGGATGCTTTGAGAAAAGTGAGTGTGCTTGGCATTCATAGCCAATATTCATCTTCCAGGAGCTATAATTAATACAGGGCCTCTGTCCTGCTGGGGTGTCTGCTGTTCTAAGGCTGTGCTAGACACTGTCCTACCCAGGGAAAATGAAAAGGACTTTACTGCACAATCTACTGCCTCTAAGAATACCCTACCCAAGGTAATTTCAGAAAGGATTGCTGCCCAGCCTGCATTGACTCTGCACCAGCCTTGGAGGGCCTGCTCAGGGGGCAGAATAGCACAAACCATGTATTTGGCTTGGCTCAGCTTCCTGGTCACAGCAGCCAGGCTTGCACCTGCATTAAGGAATTCAGCCTTCTAACAAATCTATTCACTTTTTCAATATGCTTTAAAAAGAAAAAAGTTTGAAAAAACAAAACAAAAAAAGCACAAACTATATTTTATTGTGGCTTTTGGGATAAGGAGGGAATGTGGGGTGGGGTGAGGAGGTAATTTGCAGCCACCCTCACAAGTCCTTTTGAAGTTCTCCAAATAAGGAGAAGTAACGCTAAGTCTTTATTTTTTTCTAAAGCCCCATTTACATTATGATTAAATACCTTCCTTGGATGAGCATAAAGAAAGTCGTTAATCTATATAGCTCTCCAAAGAATCAATACATTCTAAACTTTTGTAGGATTTGTTACACTCTATTTTGTTACAGTAGGCCAGCTCCTCTCTGTCTAGGCACATGGCTTTCCTTCCCTCCTCCTCCCCACCTCCTCCAAGAATGAAAATAAAGTAAAGGTCTTTCATGGTAAACAAAACCAGCTGATTCTTCACAGAGAACCCCTGAATAGCTGGAGAAGAAAAAAAAAACTTACAATAAATGGTGCATTTTTTTCTCTGCTGGGTGTAGTATTCAAGGATCAGGGCAGTATTCAAACAGAGGTCCATTTTTTGCTCAGCAAGAGAGTTTAGAAAAGAAGCGTGGAGTCCATTCAGAGCTCTCCCCCCTTCACAATCGAAGGGCTCTATGAAACCTATCTTCCATGCCTTGTCAGAGTGTTTCTGGGGACCAATTAGTGCTTTGTTGTACGGCTTCTTTGCTGAATCTTTGAGCCGCAAGAAAAAGCGCTCTTGAGTCTCCCCTTATTTTGACCATTTCAGTCATTACTCAGTGTAATAATTAATATGACAACTGGACGCTGGAGTTTGTATAGAAACACCTCAGCTACAGGAGCAAGTGTGCAGTGGGTGGTAACGAGCCGCACATCAGCCGGAGAAGCCACACACACAAAAAAAGCAATGAATGGCAAGAGAGAAAGAGAAGGAATAAAGATAAAATAGTTGGCACAACGCAGGGGAACATAAAACAGACTCAAATGAGAAGAAGGAGGGGGAAGGGGGGACAATTTAAAGGGGAGGGGGAAAAATGCCCTACAGAGGTTAACTTATTTTGAAACTGTTTTCTGAATAGAACCGTGGACGTGAGTGACCGGATTTCAGCCCATCAAATCTCCCACCCCCACTTTGTGGATCCTCTTGGAACTCGGGGGTGGGGAAGAGGGCTCCAGCAAACTTTAGGTTCTCCCCAGGGTTCTTCTGGAAGGTGTACCCAACATGCTACTCAGCCCAATTCCCAACCCTTTGCACCAGGTTTGGCTTCTGTTTTTATTTTTGCAAAGTCTGTTCCTCTTGGCTCCAACTTCCGTCTTTGGAGTTGTTAATGGAGAAGTTAGGGTGCTATGTAGATTCACCAGGCGAGTTCAGTACTACTACCCTGGGGATGAATGTTGGTGAGAAGCCATTCCAGATAGACCCCCAACAACTCTGCTTCGTTGACCCTCAGAACAGTACCCTGTGGGACTCCTGAGCCGTAAGGAGTCTCCCTGGTAGCGCGCAGCGGGGCCAGGCTCTGTGCTCCGGCCCCCGTGCGGTGCCCAGCTCTGCAGGTTCCCGAAAGTGCGCCCCGGGGTGGGGTTGCAATCCGCCCCGTGACGGCATAATAAATAATTAGAGGGTTTAAGCGTGTTAGCCACAGCTCATGCTAATGAGCCAGATAAGGGCTCACGCTAACCCGAAGTGACAGTTTGCATATAGGAGGGAAGAAGAAAAAATCCTGCTTCCCCCCCCACGCACAAACTTGATTGCTCCTTCTCAAATTCATGTCCCCAAATCCCTTCCCCCATTCCTCGGACTTCCCTCTTCTCACATGCCCCCACTTCAGCCACAACACACACACTATCCGTTTTTGACCCTTCCTTTGCCTTTCACCGGGTCAGACGGCATTGTGACGTCACAAAACCCCTGGGTGCCTATATCTGACCTGCGCGGAAAGTTCATTCTGAGTGCGTCCTGGCGAGTCTCAGCCCCCAAGCGGGTGGAACGCACCAAGGGTCTCATCCGCGAGGAAGGGCTTTAACGCTCAGGGTCAGGAACCTCTGAGAGCTCTTGGGGACTTGCGCGCCCTTGGATGCTCTTGCGTTCAACAGGGCTAGGAGACTACCGGCTGGGGCGAGGAATGCAGGCGCCTAGAGCCTTGGAGCTCCTGAAACGTTCCTGCCGCCTCCGGAAAGCAAGGGCAGTTTACCGAAGTGACTGAGGTCAGTCGTGTGTCCCCATTGTGTGGCCACGTGTCCTGTGTCCATCACCACCTTCCCAAAGTCCAAGCTCAGCCCGACTCCTTGCGGTGCGGCCTGGGAATGCTCTGGCCTATAAATCAGCTTCGTGGCTGGAGCTGTCTCCACCACCGTGGCAAACCTGGACGCTGGCCCCGAGGGCAAAGGGAAAGTGTACTCCTAACAGATTCAGGAGGAAGCAGCCGCAGCCTGAGCGCGGCATCTGCCAGGGAAACTGTGCGCCCCAGGTCAGCTAGTTAACTATTTCATCCCTCCCCACCACTCTTCCCTAGGCCAAGTATTTGCAGCACGGGCAGGGACCAGTAACTGATTTTCAGGCCTTTTGAGAGGAAGAGGAAGAGAGAGGAAGAGAAGGATTTCTAATAGTAGATATTCACTCTCATGGACTCTTTAGGAAACAGCAACAAAGACAAGATTAAGTAAGTTGATATTTTTAAAATGCTGACAACAGTGCACATAGTAAACACTGGATATGTGTTAAATAAGTACAAACAGACAGAAATAGATAACAGGAGGTATATGCTAATCATCTAAGATGTTAGAAAATACTGTTCAGATCTAAAAATGATCAAGGCTGACATGCTCATTGATTCATCAAATAACTATGAAACCTAATCAGAGGGGAATAAGACACAATGAGTGCCTTCAATACATTTGTGACTTAGTAGACATTAAAGCAGATGTATAAGAAAGTCCATTAAAACATGCGGTGGGGGCAACCATGGAGAATCTTCTTCCCCATGGTCCCTTCTCTTTGGACTCCCACCTTCCTGCATCTCCCACCCCAAATAAATACACAATCTAGGTAAAAGTGGTGGACTTGTTATGCAAACACATCCTAATGTCATCCAGCCCCTCTTCCCCAACCAGATGGTCACCCCTAAGCTTCTCCTATATAACAATTCATGAGCAGACACTAATGATTTCAACATACACACACCCTTTGACACGTTACTGTTAGGTGCAATGAAAAGGCAAGTCACTTAAAGAGACAGATCCCAGAAAATCCTGAAACTTTCTACCTCTGTGACCTCTGGCAAGTTGCTCATCGTCTCTCAGGCTCTATAAAATGAGAGGGTTGAGTAAGATGCCTCCCCTCTGATTCTGACTAAATAGAGAATACAGGCGTGGACCACATGATCCTCTAGTGGCAACCATTCCTCTCTTTGAATAGACGAACTTGGTTTGCTGTTCTTCTCCCACTGCCCTCCTGCCATAAGAACCTTCATTAGGCAAATGATGTCATCAGTGAGACCAGTCCTTGCTGGTGCCAGGATTATGGCTCTTGGTAGCCAGAAGGCAATGTCATTGGGTCAGCATGACTTTAGCCCTGGGGACTAGGGCAAGAGATCGGCCATTGGCACCTCAGGATGCACATGCAAACGGATGAAACTCACCATTGTCGCCGACAGCATTGCTTGGGAAATAGGATTCTCCTCTACTCCTGGGCAGTTTTGGGTCTAGGAATTGGGACCCCGAGAAGCTGTAATTTCTGCGAGTTGTGTGGGTCGTTCGCCACCTGCCGGTTATTTCGCAAACTGCAGCTGGGACTGCGAACATTTGCAACTTGATTCATTCAGGACTACTTGATTCTATTCCATTAATTCTTCTCCATACAATTTGGTTCAACCATAGAGCATCGTGAGGACTTAATGACGTTCTCCCCTGATACTCCCATTAGAGATAACTGAGATGTTTGTTAATATTCAGATTCTGAAGCTTTATCCCAGACCCACCAAATCAGAATCTGGCAAATTGGCTCTTTTAGCAAGCTACCTGGAAGTCCTTTTGTATACTAAAGATAAAGAACTATTTCTCTAGAGGTATTCTGGGTGATAAGACAGTCTCCATTACTCAGACTCATGAAGAACTAATATATTCTGATAAAGAAGTTAAACTAGCCATGTAAATATGTTAATACTTTATTTGGGTAAGAGGATGCCCTAGTGACTTGAGGGGGAGGAGAGGCTCAGTAAGTTATTACAAAGATGGCCTTTGATACTGGCCCTGAAGAATGGTCAGAAACTTGCAGCGGGAAGAAAAGATCCACAGGAACAACCTACCCAGCCCCGGAGCCTTTCGCTTCCTTGACTTTCTCCACTCCAGTAGCCTTAACCTCCATTCCTCTTCAGCCACCCCTTGCAAGTCTGCATCTTGGGCTTTGTCTTTACCCAAAAGAGCCCCACTTTGGAAATCTTAACTTTCCATTCCCATATGTAGCCTCATCCTCTGATTCTTCCTCATCCTCACTTCTGCCCTACCTCTCTCCAACCTCCTTTCCTGAGCTCTATTTCTTCCAATCTGGTCTCCCCCCAACTCAGGAAAGTTTGATTGATTAACTCATAAACCTGTAACTTATAAAATGCGTACCTTCCCATCCTAAAAAAAAGGCTGATACACTCTCTGACCTTGTGACCACCTTCAGCCCTCTGACAAATTTTTTGAACATTAGTCAACACCCACAGTTTCATTTATTTCTTGCTCTTCCCTCTGGAGTACCCAGAGTGTGTCTGTGGGAATCTTTCTGGATGAGGGGGGCTGAGTAAAGATTGTGGGTAGGGCTCATCCAATCTGTTGAGGGACTGAGGATGAGTGAGGGAGAACTTACTCTCTCTACCTGTCTTGGAGCTGGGGCACTAGTCTTCTCCTAACTTTGGACTCAGACTCATACTGGAACTGTAGTCTGGGTCCACAGTTTGTCAACTGCAGATCTTGGGACTCAGCCTCCATAACCACACGAGCTAATTTCTTGAAATACATGTCCATCTACATCTAATTTCTTACTGGTTCTTTTTTCTGGAGAACCCAGACTAATACAGTCACCCCGACTCTATTTTGCTACACATAAAAGATAAATCAGGTCCTACTTTATTTGATCATCTCAATGCATCTGGCCCTGCTGATCACTCATCTCTTCTTGAGATTCTCTCCTCCTTTGACTACCATGGTTCTTATCCTTCTGATCCTTTGTTTCTCAGTACTTAGTTTTTTTAGTTTCTCATCCCCAGTGTCAAGTTCCTTGATGACATATGCTGCCCTTAGAGTTTAGCTTCCACCTCTTCTGCTGATGACTCTCAAATTCTTGGTTCTGGACTGACCTCCCTGGGATCTGAAACTGGTGTGACCAACATTGCTACTGGAATATTCCATGGATGTATCAAGGGCAACATATTTGAAACTGAGATCATGCTTATTCCCTCAACTCGTTCCCTCCTTTTGTGTTCTATATTTCAGGGTTTAGCACCATCTGCCCACACAGTCAAACCAAAATCCTGGGGTCATGCCATACTCTCACCACTCTCTCACAGGCACTCCACAACCACCAAGTCTTAACAATTATACACACACACAGACACACACACACATATACACACACAAACACACACATTTAGTATGTATATAATATAAACAAATGTACATAATGAAAAATCCATCTGAATTTAAATCATTTTCTTCCTCCCTATTACTATATCATTGCTTTACTTCAGTATTGTCCCAGCTGGTATTCATGCTTTTAGTTTAATCTCCCTCAAATACTTTTTCTTCACTGCCACCAGAATGATCTAACTAAATGTCACAGTCACACGTATAAAAGGCATCAGAACATAAAAAAATGGAACTTTATATTACAGCCCCAGACAAAGAGATCTTTACAAAGTATCACATACCCTATTGCTCCTCTACAAAACCTTTCAGAACAGGGGAACAGGATGGCTGAATAGAAGCCTTCACCTATCATTCTCCCCACAGGAACACCAAATTGTGTGACTATCCACACAAAAAAGCATCTTCATAAGAACCAAAAATCAGGTAAGCCATCACAGTACGCTATTTTAGTTTTATATCACTGAAAGGGACACCTAAGAAGGTAGAAAAGACAGTCTTGAATTGCTGATGCAACTCCTCCCCCATCACCCCAACACTCCAGCAGCAGTGGACGCATGGCATGGACAGAGAATCTGTGTGCTTCGGTAAGGGACAGCAAAGGGATTGTGGGACTTGGCATTGTCCTGCCCTGCCATAGTGGAAAGCAACACCAGGCAGAACTCAGTCAGCACCCACAGAGGGAGCATTTAGACCAGGCCTAGCCAGAGGAGAACTGCCCATCCTAGTGTTCAAAAGTTTAGTTCTTGCAAGTCTCACCAACATGGGCTAAACAGCTCTTGGGTACTAAAGAAACTCAAAAGGCAGTCTAGGCCACAAAGACTGCAATTCCCAGGCAAGTCCTGACGCTATGCTGGGCTCAGAGCCAGTGGACTTGCGGGGCACATGACCTAGTGAATCCCCAGCAAGGGTTGCCAAGGGAGTGCTTGTCTCACCCCTCTTCCAACCTCTGGCAGCACAGCTCACAGCTCCAGGAGAGACTCCTTCCCTCTGTTTGAGGAAAGGAGAGGGAGGAATAAAGAGGGCTTTGTCTTGCAACTTGAATATCAGCTCAGCTACAGTAGAATAGGGTGCTGGGCAGAGTCCTGAGGTCCCTATTCCAGGCTCTAGCTTCCAGACAACATTTCTAGACACATCCTGGGACAGAAGAGACCCCACTACCTTGAAGTGAAGGACCCAGTCATGGAAAGAACCTTTGGGCCCTGAATGATCAGCAACAGTAACCAGGTAGTATATTCCATGGGCCTTGGCTTCAGGTGTGACCCAGCATATTCCTAGCTGTGGTGGCTATGAGGAGAGACTCCTTCTGCTTGAGAAACAGAGGGGGAAGAATAAAGGGGACTTAGTCTTGGAGCTTGGGTATGAGGTTGGCCGCAGTGGGGTAAAATAGCAGGCAGGCTCTTGGGTTCCCAATTCCAGGCCTTGGCTCTTGGATGGCATTTCTGGACTGCCCTGGGCCAGAGGGGGCCCACTCCTCTGAAGAGAGAGTCCCAGACCTTGCAGCATTCACAACAAGCTGCCCGAAGAGCCCCTAGCCCTTGAGTGAAGATCAGTGATAGCCTGGCAGTACTCCCTGTGGGTCTGGGGCAGTGGTAGCCAGGGTGAGAGACCCCTCTGTTTGTGGAAAGGGGAGGGAAGAATGGGAAGAACTCTGTCTTGTGGCTTGGGTGCCAGCTCAGCCACAGTAAAAGAGAGCACCAGGTAGTTTCCTAAGGTTTCCAACTCCAGGCTCTGGCACCTGGATGTTGAAGAGTTAGGTGTTTAATACCCTACTTGCAGTATGGGCTTCCATCTCTGGACCAGCCTAAGGCTGGGGAGAATGTGTCACCCTGGCTGGCTTTGCCACCTACTGATTGTAGAGCCCTAGGGCCTTGAGTGAACATAGGCAGTAGCCAGGCAGTAGTTGCCACAGGTCTTGGGCTACATCCAGTGCTGTGCTGGCTTCAGATCTGACCCAGTGAAGTCCTAGTGGTGGTGACCACAGGGGTGCTTGTGTCACTGCTCTGCTCCCCCAGCTCCAGACAGCTCAGCACAGAGTGAGAGACTCTATTCATCTGGGAGGAAGTAAGGATTAAAAACAAGAGTCTCTGCCTGGTAATCCAGATAATTCTTCTGGACCTTATCCAACACCACCAAGGTGGTACCTCTGTAAGCTTGCAAGAGCCACAGTATTACTTGGTTTGGAGTTTCCCCTGTTGCAAATGCAGCCGCAGTGATCAAAAACTTGGATTACAATATCCAAATTTATTAGAATACCTGGAAATCCTTTCCAAAAAGTACTACTACAAACAAGCCCAGATGGTGAGAACTATATAAAACACTAACTCTTCAATGCCCAGACACCAATGAACTAGATGGTCAAGTATCAAGATCATCTAGAAAAACACGACCTCACCAAATGAACTAAATAAGACACCAGGAACCAATGCTGCAGAGACAGAGATATGTGACCTTTCAGACAGGGAATTCAGAATACCTGCTTTGAGGAAAATCAACATAATTCAAGATAACATAGAGAAGGAATTCAGAATTCTATTGGATGAATTTATCAAAATTTAAAACAATTAAAAAGAATTGAGCAGAAATTCTGAAGCTGAAAAGTGCAATAGACATACTGAAGAATGTATTACAGTCATAAGATAATTGACGAAGCAGAAGAAAGAATTAGTGAGCTTGAAGACAGGCTATTTGAAAATACACAAAGGAGACAGAAGAGTAAAAAAGAATGAAGCATGCCTACAAGATCTAGAAAATAACCTTAAAAGAGCAGACCTAAGAGTTGTTGACCTTAAAGAGAAGGTAGAGAGAGAGATGGGGGTAGAAAGTTTTTCAAAGGCATAATAACAGAACTTGCTGAACCTAAAGAACAATATCAATGTTCAAGTACAAGAAGATTATAGAACATTAAGCAGATTTAACCCAAATAGGACTACCTGAAGACATTTAATAATCAAAAAAGGTCAAGGATAAAGGAAGGAGGCTAAAAGCAGCAAGAGAAAAGAAACAAAAAACGTGCAACGGATCTCCAATACATCTGACAGTAGACGTTTCAGTGGAAACCTTATAGGCATGGAGGAAGTAGCATGACATATTTAAAGTGCTGAAGGGAAAAAACTATTTTTTCTTTCCAACTTTTATTTTAGGTTCAGGGACTATACCTACAGGTTTGTTACATGGGTGAATTTTATATCACAGGGGTTTGGTGTACCGATTATTTTGTCACCCATGTAGGGAACATAGTATCTGATAGGTAATTTTTCAATCCTCACCCTTCTCCCACCCTCCAACCTCAAGAAGGACTCAGTATCTATTGTTCTGTTTTTTGTGTCTATCTTCACTCAGTGTTTATTTGGTTTTCTATTCTTGCATGAATTCACTTAGGATAATGGCCTCCAGCTCTATCCATGTTGCTGCAAATGACATGATTTCATTCATTTTTATGATATAATATTCCATGGTGTATATGTCGTACATTTTCCTTATCCAGTCTACCATTGATGGGCATCTAGTTTGATTACATGTCTTTGCTATTGCTAATAATGCTGCAGCAAACTTGTCCACGTGGGTATCTTTATGGTAGAATGATTTATATTCCTTTGGGTATATAATATAATGCTGGGTCGAATGGTAGTTCTGTTTTAAGTCCTTTGAGAGATCTCCAAACAGCTTTCCACAGTGGCTAAACTAATTTACTTTCCCACCAGCAGTGTATGAACATATCCTTTTCTCCACAACCTCACCAACATCTGCTACATTTTTATTTTTTCATGATCGCCATTCTGATTAGTGTGAGATGGTATCTCATTGTGGTTTTGATTTGCATTTCTCTAATGATTAGTGATGTTGAGCATTTTTTCATATGCTTGTTGGGTGTGTGTATGTCTTCTCTTGAGAAGTGTCTGTTCATGTCCTTTGCTCATTTTTAATGTGGTTGTTTGTGTTTTGTTTATTAGTTTAAGTTCCTCACAGAATCTGAATATTAGACCTTTGTTGGATGCGTAGTTTGCAAATATTTTCTCCCATTTTGTGGGTCTTCTTTTTTCTCTATTGATACTTTATTTTGCTGTGCTGAAGCTCTTTAGTTTAATTAAGTCCCACTTGTCAATTTTTCTTTTTGTTAACAATTGCTTTTGGTGTTTTCTTCATGAAATTTTTGTAGCGCTGATGTCCAGAATGGTATTTCATAGGTTTTCTTCTAGGGTTCTTAAAGTTAGTTTTAGGTTTTTAAAGTTTTAGGTCTTTTAATCATCTTGAGTTGACTTTTGTATATGGTGAAAGGAAGGAGTACAGTTTCAATCTTCAGCATATGGCTAGTCCTCTATCCCAGCACCATTTATTGAGTAGGTATTCCCTTCCCAATTGCTTATGATTGTCAGCTTTGTTGAAAATCAGGTAATTATAGATGTGCAACTTTATTTCTGAATTCTCTAACCTGTTCCATTGGTCTATGTGTCTGTTTTTGTAACAGTACCATGCTGTTTTGGTTACTTTAGCCTTGTGGTATGGTTTGAAGTTGGGTAGTGTGATGCCTCTGACTTTGTTCTTTTTGCTTAGGATTGTTTTGAATACCTAGGTTCTTTTTTGGTTTCATATGAATTTTAGAATGGTATCTTCTTATTCTGTGAAAAAAAATGTCATTGGTAGTTTCATAGAAATAGCAATGAATCTGTTGTGGGTAGTATGGCCATTTTACCAATGTTAATTCTTCCTACCCATGAGCATGGAATGTTTTTCCATTTGCTTGTGTTGTGTCTGATTTCTTTCAGCAGTGTTTTGTAATTCTCATTGTAGAGATCTTTCACCTCCCTGGTTAGCTGTATGCCCAGGTATTTTATTATTTTTGTGGCTATTGTGAATGTGATTGTGTTCTTAATTTGACTCCCAGCTTGGATGTTATTGTGTACAGAAATGCTACTAATTTTTATACATTGATTTTTTTATTCTGAAACTTTTATGAAGTTGTTTATCAGATCTAGACGCCTTAGAGCAGACACAATGGGGTTTTCTTGGTATAGGATCATAACATCTATGAAGAGAGATAGTTTGACTTCCTCTCCTATTTGGATGTCTTTTATTTCTTTCTCTTGCCTGATTACTCTGGCTAGGACTTCTAGTACGATGTTGAATAGGAGTGGTGAGAGTAGGCATCCTTGTCTTGTTCCAGTTCTCAAGCTTCCAGTTTTTGCTATTCAGTATAATGTTGGCTGTGGATTCATCATAGATGGCTCTTATTATTTTGAGGTGTGTTCCTTTGATGCCTAGTTTGTTGAGGGTTTTTAACATGAAGGGATGTTGAGTTTTATCAAAAGCCTTTTCTGCATCTATTGAGAAGATCATGTGGTTTTTGTTTTTAGTTCTGTTTTTGTGATAAATCACATTTATTGATTTTCCTATGTTGAATCAACATTGCATCCCAGGAATATAGTCTACTTGATCACTGTGGATTTGCTTTGCGATAGTTTCCTGCTATTTTTGTGTGGTTTTCTAAGTCTTTTTGTAGACCTCTAAGAATTTATGAATCTGGGTGTTCCAGTGTGGGGTGCATATATAGTTAGGATAGTTAAGCCTTCTGGTTGAATTGAACTCTGTATTATTATGTGATCCTCTACTTCATTATTTTTTATCATTGTTGGTTTAAAGTCTGTTTTGCCTGAAGTAACAATATCTATCCCTGCTCTTTTTTGTTTTCCATTTGCTTGATAGATCTTTCTCGATCTTTTTACTTTTAGCCTATGGATGTCATTCATGTCAGATGGTTCTCTTGAAGACAGCATATAGTTTGGTCTTGCTTCTGTATCCAGCTTGCTACTCTGTGTCTTTTAATTGGAGGGATTTAGCCTACTTACATGCTAGTTTAATATGGAAATGTTCAGATTTGATCCTATTATTGTGTTATTAGCTGGTTGTTACATAAATTGTGTAGTTGCTTTACAGTGTCAGTGGTCTATGTACTTATTGTTGTGGCCAGTAATGGTTTTTTGTTTCCATGTTTAGCACTCCTTAAAGATCTATTGTAAGGCAGGTTTGTTGGTAATGAATTCCATTAGCATTTGCTTGTCTGAAAAGAGTTTTATTTCTCCTTTACTTTTGAAGTTTAGTTGGTCTGGATATAAAATTCTTGGTTGGAATTTATTTTCTTTAGGAATGCTGAATATAGATCCCCAATCTCTTCTGGTTTGTAGGGCTTCTGCTGAAAGGTCAGCTGTTATCCTGATAGGGTTTCCTTTGCAAATGACCTGCCCTTTCTCTGTAGCTGTCTTTAATATATATTTTTTCCACACTGACCTTCGAGATTCTGATGACTATGTGTCTTGGGGATGGTCATCTTTTATAGTATATCAGAGGTTCTCTGAATTTTCTGAATATGAACATCGACCTCTCTAACAAGATTGGGAAAATTTTTGTGGACGATATTTTCAAATATCTTTCCCAAGTTGCTTGCTCTCTCTTCCTGTCTTTCAGGGATGCCAGTGACTCATAAGTTAGGTCTGTTTACATAATCCCACATTTCTCAGAGGTTTTGCTTATTTTAAAAATTTTGTTTTTCCTTATTTTTGTCGCACTGAACTAATTCAAAGAACCAGTCTTTGAGCTCTGAATAATTTCCTCAGCTCAGTTGATTCTGCTGTTAATATTGTGTTATGAAATTCTTGTAGTGAGTCATTCAGCTCTATTAGATCAGTTTGGTTCTTTCTTAAAATGGAAATTTTGTCTTTCATCTCTTGAATCATTTTACTGAATTCCTTAGATTCTTTGGATTGGGTTTCAGCTTTCTCCTGAATCTCTATGATATTCATTGCCATCTAGATTCTGAATTTTATGTCTGTCATTTCAGTCATTTCATTCTCCTTAAGAAGCATCACTGGAAAGCTAATGTGGTCTTTTGGAGATGAGAAGCTTTGGCTTTTAGAATTGTCAGAGTTGTCATGCTGGTTCTTTCTCATCTGTGTGGGATGATGTTCTTTAACTGTGGTGTCATTTGAGCAGTCAATTGGCTTCATTTCTAGATGTTTTCAGAGGGCCAGTCTTTGTGCAGGGTCTGTCTTTGTGGCTGAATTCTTGCTCATGGTTTCACAGTGGGATGTATTAGCAAAGTATTTTTGCTATTGTAGTTTCAGCTGCAGTTCAGTAGATGGCACTTAAACATAAGGGCCATTAGATAGGTTCTCACTCAGTTGCATGGCTCCTCTGTATTTCCTCCTGCTTGCCTCCATCCTCTCAGTGCTCTGACAGTGTAGGCTCCTCTCCCAGTCAAGTGCTGGCCACAGATCTTGGCTTGGCACTCCCAGGCTGCACACTGCAGCCCTGGGGCAAGCTTGGGCTTTTGTTTCCTCCCTAGCTTAAGGTCTGCAGGGGCAGAGACCTTGGCAGTGGCAATGGCATAAGGCCTGTCGCTTGTACCTGGGAGCTCCACCCCAGAGAAAAGCATAAGCACTGCCAATTGGAATCATCACCTACGGGTGGGGTGGCTGCTCTGTAGTCCCAAACTGGGGGCCCTGCATGGTTAAGAAGAGCAGGGAGTCAGGGTCTCACAGTGAAGAAAGACTGGGCTCCTGTCTGTATGGAAGCTGCATGATGAAGCTCTGAGCAAAATGAACAGGGTCTTTGTTCACTCCCCAGCCCAAGAGCAGCAAGGGCAGGTACCATGGCAGTGGTAGTGCCAGAGGGGTTGTCAGTTGCTTCTGGGAGCTCTGCCCTGGAGAAACACAGAGGTGCTGCCAATGGGAACGTTTAGCTGAAGGTGGGACAGCTGTGTTGCAGGCCTAAGCCAGTGGGCCCTGCCTGGTGAAGAAAAAGGTGTGTAGAGGGCTCTGGGGGAAGACAGTCTGGCCTCTTTTCCATAGGTCTTCTGTAGTGTGCTGGAAATGTGAGTAAAGCACTCAGGCTCTTTGTTGTTCCTTTCTCAGCCAGAAGGTAGCAGTGGCAATGGCAGAGAGGCTGTCAGTTGCTTGGGGGAACTCTACTTGAGAGAGACACGGGGCTGTCAGTGGAAATGTTCAGCTGGAGGTGGGATAGTTACTCTGCAGGCCCAAGTGGGGGTTTCTGCCTGATGAAGAGCAGGGTGTCAGGAGCTCACAGGGAAGAGAGACTGGGCTCCTCTCTGTATGGTGGCTGAGGCATGTTGGATATGTGAGCAAAGCAATCAGGGTCTTTGTGCGTTCCCCAACCCAAGAGCAGAAAGAGTTGATATGCTGCCGTGGCAATGGCAGAGAGCCCGTTAGTTGTTTCTAGGTATTCCACCTCACAGAAATGCACAGCCACCACCAACTGAAGTGAGAAGGTGGCTGTGGTGGGAGCCCAGGTTGGGAGGCCCTGCTGAGTGCAGTGTAGCAGGGGCAAGGACCAGTGTCAAGAATAATCTGGCTCCTTTTCTGTATGGCATCTACTACAGCATGTTGGAGGCTTGAGACAGTATTTGGGCTCTTCACTACCTCCCTAGCCTGAGGGAAGTAGAGGTGAGGGCCAAGACAGCAGACAGCAAGCAGCAGCAACTAAGGGTCTGTCATTTACCTCTGGGAGTTCTGTCCCAGAGAAATGCAGAGCTGCTACTGGCCCAAATGCTTAGGTGGGAGTAGGGTGGCTGTTCTGGGGTCCTGGGCCAGTGGGCTTTGCCTGAAGATATGAAGCAGAGGTGAGGCTTGCAGTCTGTCCCTTCCTCAGCACTGTGGACACAAACCCTATCCTGGGGGTTAGCAAGAGAGCCTGGCATTCCTTATTGGTGAAATACACACTTACAGCAGGTGGTGTCGGGGTGCTCAGGGATCCAAGACCCTTGGGGATCCATGTGAGCCTGAGTGGTAGCTCTGCCCGGACTCTAGGCAGTTGTCCATGTCAGTTTGGAGGCCTGGGAGTGGGGCGTTGTGGGGAGGGTCACAGGGAAAATCCTGTGCCCAGAATTGCAAAGATCTATGGGAATAGTGTGGTCACTGGGGCCTCTTGCTCACGCACCCTTTCCCCATGGTGGGGATACTCCCTTGCTTCCATGCCAATCCTTGGTGGGCAGCTGTCCTGCCTCATTCCTCTCTGCTCTCTGTGGTTCACTGTTGCTTCCTTGCTGAATTCCAACATGGCTTCCTGGACAATCTTGTCGAAGAGCAGTACTAAGGAAAATTTATAGTGTTTACTCACAACTTTATCTCCATTCCATGAGAGCGGTGCACAGTAGCTGCTTCGGTCAGCCATCTTGGCACCTACCCTCTGGAAAAAAATGTTTATCCTAGAGTAGTATATCCAGCCAAAAAGTTCTTCAAACATGAAGGAGAAATAAAGACTTTCCCAGACAAACAAAACCTGAGGGATTTTATCAACACCAAACTTATCCTACATGAAATGCTAAAGGGAGTTTTTTAATCTGAAAGAAAATGATGTTAATGAGCATTAAGAAATAATCTGAAGGTGAAAAACTTACTGGTAATACTAAGCACAGAGAAAAATGTAATATAATAACATTGTAAATATAGTGTATAAATTACTCATATCTTGAGTAGAATGACGAAAAGATGAGTAAATAAAAAATAATAACTACAACAACAACTTGTCAATACATTGAAAGTACAATAATATATAAATAGAAATAATAAAAAGTTAACAATCAGGGCAACAAAGTTAAAGTGTAGAGTTTTAAAATTAGTTTTCTCTTTGCTTGTTTGTTTATGCAATCAGCGTTAAGTTGTCATCGGATTAAATTAATAGGTTATAAGATATTATGTGGAAGCCTCATTGGTACCCTCAAATAAAAAACCATATAACAGGTACAAAAAAAAGTAAAAAGCAAGAAATTATAACATACCACCATAGAAAACTGCTTTCACTAAAAGAAAGACAGAAAGGAGGGAAAGAAGAAAAAGACCACAAAACAACCAGAAAAATAAGCAACAGAAATGGCAGGAGTAAGTCCTTACTTAATAATAGCATTGAATATAAATGGACTAAACTCTCAGTATTAGTTCTTTCTCACACTGCTTATAAAGACAAGCTTGAGACTGAGTAATTTACAAAGGAAAGAGATTTAATTGACTCACAGTTCTGCAGGGCTGGGGAGGCCTTGGGAAACTTACAATAATGAAGGATAAGCAAACACATCCTTCTTCACATGGTGGCAGCAAGAAGGAGTGCCAAGCAAGAGGGGGAAAAGCCCCTTATAAAATCATCAGATCTCCTGAGAACTCACTCTATCACGAGAACAGCTTGAGGGTAACTGCCCCCATAATTAAATTACCTCCCAGCAGGTCCCTCCCACTACATGTGGGGATTATGAGAACTACAATTCAAGATGAGATTTGAGTGGGGACTCAGCCAAACCATATCACTCTCCAATCAAAAGACATAGGCTGTCTAAATGGAAAGAAAAAATAAGTCTCAATGATCTGTTGCCTACAAGAAACACACTTCACCTATAAAGACACACAAAGACTAAAAATAAAGAAATAGAAAAACATACTTCATGCCAATGGAAACCGAAAAAGAGAAGGAGTAGCTACATTTAGACAAAATATATTTCCAGATAGAAACTATTTAAAGCGACAAAGAAGATCATTATATAATGATAAAGTGGTAAATTCATCAAGACAATATAATAATTGTAAATATATATGCATCCAATGATGGAGTACCCAGATATACAAAGCAAATATTATTAGAGCTAAAGAAAGAGGTAGATTCCCATACAATAATAGCTAGAGACATCAACACCTCACTTTCAGCATTGAGCAGAACACTGAGACAGAAAATTAACAAAGAAATATCAATGTAATCTGCACTATAGACCAAATGAATCTAATAGATATTTACAGAACATTTCATTCAATGGCTGCAGAATATACATTATTCTCCACAGCTCATGGATCATTCTCAAGAATAGACCATATTTTAGGTCACAAAAGAGTCTTTAAAAAGTTCAAAAATTGAGATTATATTAAGTATCTTCTCTGACTATAATGGAAGAAAACTAGAAATCAATAACAGGAGGAATTTTGGAAACTACACAAACACATGGAAATTAAACAATACGTTCCTGAATGACCAGTGGGTCAATGAATAAATTAAAATAGAAATTGAAAAATTTGCTGAAACCAGTGATAATGGAAACACAACAAAGCAAAACCTTTGGGTTACAGTGAAAGTAGTACTAAAAGAAAATTTTATACCTATAAGTATCCACATCAAAAAATTAAAAAAATTCAAATAAACAAGCTATCAATGCATCTTAAGGAACTAGAAAAACAAGAGCAAACAAAACCCAAAATTAATAGAAGAAAAAAAAATAAAGATCAGAGCAGAAAGAAATAAAACAAAGAAAACAATACAACAGATCAACATAACAAAAAGTTGGTTTTTTGAAAAGGTAAACAAAATCAGCAAACCTTTAGCCAGACTAAGAAAAAAAAGGGAGAAGACCGAATTAAATAAAATCTGATATGAAAAAGGAGACATTACAACAAATACCACAGGAATTTAGAGGATCATTAGAGGCTACAATGAGCAACTGTACACCACTAAATTGGAAAACCTAGAAGAAATGGATACATTCCTAGATACATAAAACCTACCAATATTGAACCATGAAGAAATCCAAAACCTGAACAGACCAATAACAAGTAACAAGACCTAAGCCATAATGAAGTCTTCCAGCAAAAAAAGGCCTGGTACCCAATGGCTTCATTGCTAAATTTCACCAAACATTTAAAGAAGAGATAATACCAATACTACTCAAACTATTCTGACAAATAGAAGTGAAGGGAGTACTTTCAAACTCATTCTACAAGGCCATTATTACCCTGATACCAAAACCAGATAAAAACACATGAATAAAGGAAACTACAGGCCAGTATTCCTAAAGAACATTGATGCAAAAATCCTTGACAAAATACTAGCAAAAGAAATTCAATATCACGTTTAAAAGATCATTCATCAAGACCACGTGAGATTTATCCCAGGATACAAGGATGGTTCAACATTTACATATCAATCAAAGTGATACATCATATCAACAGAATGAAGGACAAAAACCATATGATCATTTCAACTGATGCTGAAAAAGCATTGGATAAAATTCAACATCCCTTCATGATAAAAACTCTCAAAAAACTGGGTATAGAAGGAACATACCTCAACACAATAAAAGCCATATATGACAGACCCACAGCTAGGGTCATGCTGAATGGGGAAAGACTGAAAGCCTTTCTTCAAAGGTCTGGAAAATAACAAGGATGCCTACTTTAACCACTGAAGTTCTAGTTAGAGCAATCAGACAAGAGAAAGAAATAAAAGGCATCCAATTTGGAAAGGAGAAAGTCAAATTATCTTTATTTGTAGATGACATGATCTTATATTTGGAAAAACCTAAATACTTAACCAAATAACAGAACTGGCTAAACAAATTCAGTGAAGTTTCAGGATATAAAATTAACATAGAAAATCAGTAGCATTTCTATATGCCAGCAGCAAACAATCTGAAAAAGAAATGAAGAACATAATCCCATTTACAATATCCACAAATAAAATAAAATACCTAGGAGTTAACCTAAGAAGTGAAAGGTCTCTACAATGAAAACTATAAGACATTGATGAAAGAAATTGAAGAGGATGCAAAAACCATAGAAAGATATTCCATATTCATAGATTGGAAAAAATAATATTGTTAAAACGTACATACTACCCAAAGCAACATACAGATTCAATGCAATCCCTATCAAAATATCAATGACATTCTTCACAGAAACAGAAAAAAAATCCTAAAATTTAAGGTACCATGAAACACCCAGAATATCCAAAGCTATTCTGATCAAAAAGAACAAAACTGGAGGAATTGCATTACCTGGCTTCAAATTATAATACAGAGCTATAGTAACCAAAACAGGATAGTACTGGCATAAACACAGACACACAGAGCAATGGAAGAGAATAAAGAACACACAAACAAATCCATACATCTACAGTGAACTCGTTTTTAACCAAGGTGCCAAGAACATACACTTGGGAAAGGACAGTCTCTTCAATCAATGATGCTGGGAAAACTGGAAACTCATATGCAGAGGAATGAACCAACATTCCTATGTCTCATCATATTAAAAAATCAAATCAAAATTTAAGACCTAAAACTATGAAAATACTGAAAGAAAACATTGGGGAAACTCTTCAGAACATTGAACTGGGCAAAGATCTCTTGAGTAATATCACAAGCACAGTCAACCAAAGCAAAAAATGAACAAACGGGATCACATCAAGTTAAAAATGCTTTTGCACCACAAAAGAAACAACAAAGTGAAGAGACAACCCACAGAATGGGAGAAAATATTTGCAAACTCTACATCCGACAACCAGTTAATAACTGAAATTACAAAGAGGTCAAACAATTGTATGGGAAAAATTCTAATAATCCAATTGAAAAATGGGCAAAAAAATCTGAATAAGCATTGTGAAAAGAAAACATATAAATGGAAAACAGGCATATGAAAACGTGCTTGATATCATTGATCATCGGAGAAATGCTAATCAAAACTGCAATGAAATATCATCTCACCCCAGTTAAAATGGCTTATAATCCAAAATACAGGCAAAGGAACTCTTGTATGCTGTTGGTGAGAATGTAAATTAGTACAACCACTATGGAGAACAGTTTGGAGGTTCCTCAAAAATTGAAAATAGAGCTACAATATGATCTAGTAATCCCACTGCTGGGTATATACCCCAAATAAAGGAAATTAGAATGTTGAAGAGAAATCTGCATGCCCATGTTTATTGCAGCACTATTCACAATAGGCAAAATTTGCAAGCAACCTATGCCTATTAACAAATGAATAGATATGCAAAATGTGGTACTTATACACAATGGAGTACTATTCAGCCATAAAAAGAATAAGATCCTGTTGTTTGAAAAAACATGGATGGAACTGGAGGTCATTATGTTAAACGAAATAAGCCAGGAACAGAAAGACAAACTTTCCATGTTCTCACTTATTTATGGAGGCTAAAAATTAAAAAGATTGAATTTTTGGAGACAGAGAGAAGAACAATGGGTACCAGAGGCTGAGAAGGATAGTGTGGTGGTGAAAGCGTGGATGGTTAATGGTACAAAAATATAGTGATATAGAATGAAAAACGTCTAGTATTTGACAGCACAACAGAGTGACTATAGTCAATGATAATTTCTTGTACATTTTAAAATGAAAGAGCATAATTGGATTGTTTGTAACACAAAGAAAGAATAAATGCTTGAGGTACAGGATACCCTATTTTCCATGAGTATAAGCGTGCAATGTGTAATGTGACCATTAAGCATTGCATGCTTGTATCAAAATATCTTATGTACTCCATAAATATACACCTACTACATACTCACAACAACTAAAAATTAAAAATTAAAATAATGAAAAACCTTTCAGTAGCCTCCCATTATTCTTATAAGAACCCACTGCCTTTGAAGTTCCCGTAAGAGTGAAAAACCTGCTTTGCCTCCTTTCATGAACTCAGCACTCACTGTGGTGTCTCAAAAAAGGCAGATGTTCTATATACACCTGTTGAAGAAGTGAATTGAGTTGGTGGTACCAAAGCTGCTTACAAAATGTAAGATATATGTATATGTAATACAGGAAGTGGCATGCAAAACACTTAATTTAATAGTCTCAGAAAAACTGTCCTTCTCCTCTTGTCATCTCTGTAGCCTCATTTATTCCTTGGCATGGGCTCTCTAGGATCACCAGCGATCTTTTTATGTGAATATCTTCCTAGCCTCAAGCAACTGGGTCTTCTCTCCAAGGAGCCCACAGAGTTTGGTGCTTATTTATTGAATAGCAGGCATTTAATAAATGTTCATTGTAGTTGATATTGATGGTTTCACATAATCATGGTTGTTAACTTGTCAAAGTCTTGTGCCATTTCCTTCTCATAAGCTGTAAGTATAAGAAGGGCACAGTGGGAAGAGCAGAGGCCCTGTAATGGTGGGTCCTAGGGTTTGGGATGGTTGGGCAGGGTAGGCTTGGCTTTGGGAAGCCTTGAATGACAGACAAATGGTTTGGTTGGGATGGCCTGGGAGATTTGTAAGCAGAGAGGTAACACAGATGATAAGTCTGAAGGAATGGAAGGGGGATTGGAGGAGACAGACTCTGACGACCTCAAACCCCTTTCCTAACATCACTTTTTCTGAGCTTGTTCAGCACACACACCGCCATTCATTTATTCTTTCAACAGACACTAGAATGTAAGCCCCAGGATGGCAGGGGCTGTGTCTGCTTCATTTACCAGTGGTTTTTTGGTGTCTAGTACAGGGGCTGCCACATGATAGGAGCTCAATAAATATTACTGCATCAACGTTTATTGGATACCTACTATGTACCAACAAAGTGGTGGGTTCTAGGATGCAAAAATTGAAAAAAGACTCAGTCTCTGTATTGAGGGAGTTAACATAATATTCCTTTTCGCAAGAGGGCAAGGAAAAAGGCTGAATGCAAAACCAGAATGTCAACAGGGTGCTAACGGAGACCAATGGAAGGGGCAACTGACTCTCCCCAGGGAAGGTAGGCAAGGAGATTGAGGGAAGTAGCAATGAAAGGAGAGCTTGCAAAATGAAGTCATCAGAGCTTTGCATAAGAAACAATTCATGGACCTTAGATCAAGTAGTGAGGATTAAAACTATGTCTATGTGAGGCTTTGGCTAGTTTTTCTACCTAAGACATCCTTACCTCTCCTTTCCACTTGGGAATCATCTTCCTTTCCTAACCATCATCATCAACCCTCAAGGCAGTCAGGGGCATCTGTGGCGCATTCCCCCAGCACTTGGCCCCACACAGCCAAGCTCTAACACCTACCCACCCCACTGCTATTTCCCTCTCATAAGCTTTAAGTTGTGGGGGAGCAGGTTATTTTGTCTGACTCACATAGTTCCTGTGTGGGGGTACCTACAAATTTTGGAAGCCTGTGGCTTATAAAACTTTGGGGCTCTATTTAAGGAAAGGAATACAAAATTTTAAATATAAAATTTGATAGAAAAATGAATATGTCTTTAGAACAAAAACCCAAGTAAATGCCACCTTATTGAAGGCTGGCAAAATGCCACAAATTCCAGGTAAATTATATAATATTTTTATTAATAAATTATCTAATCAACCGCTATAGTAACTGTTTCTGTATTTTTGGTGTACACTGATTATCTCATAATTTTTACTTTCATTATCTTCAGAGAGAATAAACAGATAATTTATTTTTTCTATAACATGATTGAAATTTGTTTTTTTATTATTGATACCATAGATACGTAAGACATATTGCTTCACACACAAATATACTGAAATGTGTAGTTGTAGAACCACTAAAGATTTGTGCCTTACAAACAGGAATTCTCATACATTGATTTCACACAATTCTCCACAGAAATGGGGAAGAAAGGATGTGTGTTTTTGCTTTATTATCAAGTATATTCCTGACAAGGAGAGAAATTCTGTTTTGATCAGGGATTAGAGAGAACTAGACCCCATATAACATGCTCTCCAAACTTCTTCTCAAGACCTTAAGACCTAGTAACTCAGGAGAGTGGACAGCAGGGGTGTTCTGGAATCTCTTCTTACACCTAGACAGCCAGCAAAACAACTCTTATAAAAGTCAGTGCAAAAGATGTCAATATAACCACTAACTATACACAAATGAATTTTCATCCTATCTTGTTCTTATCTGGATCTCAAAGGTGTCTGTGGCCACTGGCCATGAGGAGAAGCATGATGGAGAGGATGTTAATGTGGGAAGAGATGGCAGTCATACCTAACTGTGGATTAACTATCTTACTTTGGCAAATTAAAAAAAAAAAGATGAAAATATGTAACCAGACAAACTCATTTCTAGAGTTCCTCTAAGAGCCTCAGAGCTTATGTAGATGTGAGGCTCTAAAGCTTTAGTTCATTAGCTACATGATGAATCTGCCTCTGCTGTCTCTGAGTAGGTGGTAAACACATACTGAATGAATGAATGGCAGAAATAAAATAAAAAGAGCATTGAACTTGGACTCAGATAGCCTGTGTGACTTTGAGCAAGTTACTTAACTACTCAGTTTATTTTCTCATTTTTAAAATGGGGTTAGCAATCTATACCTTACAGATAATGTATTTGAAAATACTCTGTAAATCAAAATGTAAAATACAAATAGAAAAATAGTTTTTAGAAAGATAACACATAATAGAAGTTCCCTAACTTAATATCTCAATGAGTCCCAGTTCCAGAGATATCTTCTCAATGATTAGACTGAAGAGCACAACTCAATAGATCTCTTTGTTCCTTCAAAAGCAGAGATGGAGCTATCTCTGAGAATGGCATTCTCTCCATCTACTTAGCAGCCTAAGAGTCATCTTTGACCTGTTTCTCATGCTGGCTCATATCTAAACTGACTCCTCTTTTTAAAATTTCTAAATTTTTCTCAAATTCATCCTATTTTCTTCATCTCCACCCTCAGTACCACTTTAGTCCAAGGCATCATGGCCATTTCTCACCTGGACAAGTGCAATCACCTATTAGCTGCTTTCGATACCCTCCATTCCACTCTCCACCTTGCAGCCAGAGTGGTCTTGTCAAAACGCACATCTAATGGAGCCACCTCTGATTACACACTTCAAGGGCACTCCACCTCTCAGGATAAAGATAAAAGTTCCTTGCCATGGTTGACATGGTCTACCCCAAGGAGCTTTCCACTCGCATCTTCAACCAAGTTCCCCATTGTTTCTGCAATATGACCTTTGCTCATGCTATTCCTTCTGCCTGGAAGGTTCTGGAAGGTTCCAGGTTCTTCCCTTCCCTTTTCATCTAGATATTTCTACTTTGCTCTCTGAGATTGCAAAAACTTCCTAGGGAAAAGTTCTCACAGCATTATGTACATCTCCTTCATGACACTTGTTAAGATTACAAATTTGAATTTATTCCTGTGATTTGACTAATGTCTGTATTAGTCTATTCTCATGCTGCTAATAAAGACATACCCAAGACCGGGTAATTAATAAAGGAAAGAGGTTTAATTGACCCACCATTCTGCAGGGCTGAGGAGGCCTCAGGAAACTGACAATCATGGTGGAAGGGGAAGCAAACACATCCTTTTTCACATGGTGGCAGGAAGGAAAAGTGCCGAGCAAAAGAGAAAAAAGCCTTTTATAAAACCATCAGATATCCTGAAAACTCATTTATTACCATGAGAACAGCAGCATGGGGGCATGAGAACGCCCCAATTTGGGTGGTGGCACAGCCAAACCATATAAATCTCCATTTGCTAAAAGAAACATAAACTCAGGAAGGCAGTTATAATCATAGAACCTAGAAAAGTGGCTCTCTTGCAGCAAAAGCTGAACAAATATTTTTAGATTGGGTGGGTGGATCTCATGTCTAGTCCCCCAAGTGTCTCCTTAGCCCTAGACCTCAGCCACCTTTTTCCCTGGTGAGACAGACACAGAGGAATTAGCAAAAGAATTTATATCCACAATCAGGTCTGTGTCTTATCAGGAAACTGAGCACCCCATGGCCTGATGGACTGTGTACCTCAGAATATGTGCCTCCAAAATTTTTTATTAGATGAGTAGTGACTGCAGTCTCCAAAACTCATGCTTTCAAATGGTCAAACCTACCAAGTCCCTGCAAGGGTCAGGGGTCTCTAAGTGGATAGGGGTGTTTAGACCACGCCCCTTCCACTAAACATTTTGCTTCCCTTGAGAACCAGAGGGAAAAGATAATGGGGACTTTCTCCAGCCCTGACATCACCATACCTGATATTTTGCTTTCTATCCCAGAAGACTACAATATCTCAGACTTCTCATCCACACAATGAGAATACTAAAAACCTATCAGTCAACAGTAATTTATTGTACATTTAAAAATAACTAAAAGTATAATTGGATTGTTTGTAACACAAAGAAAGGATAAATGCTTGAGGTGACAGATACCCCATTTACCCTGATGTGATTATGACTCATTGTATGATTGTATCAAAATATCTCATGTACCCCACAAATATATACAACTACTATGTACCCACATATATTAAACATTAAAAAATTTTAAAATAAAAGCGTATCTCATTGGACTGTAGAAAGTATCAAGTGAGATAACCTTTCCGATGTGCCTGGTACTGAATAACTAAGTGCTGAATTAATTTTTGTTTCTCTCTCTTTCCAGAAGGAATGAAATAGAAAGAATAAAGCTGAAGGACATTTCATTTATGTTCAACTAGAAATCCAATATAGTTTTAGGCAAACTATATTTTCCCTTGCAACTGTACTCCCTTACATACATGTAAGTGGGAAAGAATAAATGTGACAAACAAAATATCACTCCTGATTCCACAATCTAAACAAAACACTGCCTCTTTCTAGGTTTTGTTTTTTGGTTTTTGTTTGTTTGTTTTTTGGCATAGGGTTGGGGTGTATGCTTCTTGACGTACCTACATAATGAGGAATACAAGGCTTTGTATCTTTTATCAGTAATTATTCATAGCTTAATTGTGTAAATTGTAAAATATCACACTTTTATAATCTTAATTTTTTTTTGTGGCTGCAGCTATTATTTGAATAAACTGTAATTAATTATTTTCCCTGAGCTGAAGATTTCATTTCTCCCCACACTATCTGGAATCATGTTGCCCTGAACATACTTGTGCATATTTTTCTACATTTCTGATTATACTAGTAAGCATTGAACACATAATGTGCATCAGGCACCATGCTTAGTCCTGAGGATTTAGAAATACTGATATTTGATCTCTGTCCTGAGAGTTCTTAGTCCAGGAGAGGAGACAGAAGAGTGGAAACAAAATCACAAGAGAGTGTGTGAGTTTGCAGAGAAAACTGCCAGGCAGTATCTGGGCCAAGGAAGGATGCCCACCTCTGACTAGGAGCAATGAGTCAGAAAAAAAAAAAAAAAAAAACTTTTTTGAAGATGTAGTGTATGAATTGACCTGGTGAGTGTTGATCCTTACTCCTAAGCCTTCCATTTTGGCAGCCTCCCCTAGCTTTCACCTTGAATTTTTCTTCAGACCAAGCATACCCTGATAACTTTGGATTTGATGTCCCTTTCTCTGTTATCAATGGCTGAGCCTTCTCTGCCCCTAAGTGTCTTCTATTCCTAATGACATTGTTGCTCTGTCCTCTGAGCCATCAGACTTCAATCCAGTCCTATTTGTGACTTTGCTACCATAGTAATAGTCAGTGGGGTTGCGGTAAATGTTTAGCAACCCACCCACCCAAACAAACAGTGCTTGCTAATTATCATGGTGTAAAGACTCACTCTATGACTGACTTCAAGCTACCAACATCATGTCACTGAACACAGAATTGGGAAGAGAGGTACAGTAGCATATTATGTCATATTTCTACCACATAGATACAATGGACATAAAATAACATTAAAAGCATAGGTAGTAATAAAATGCAGTAAAGTAATTAGAAGTAATCTTCTTGGAGTATTTATTACCTTTGTTTTTAATATAATTGATTCAATCACAAATTTACATAATTTTGTTTTTAATTGTGGTTCTGTTTAGAAATATGCTCACAAAATTATTGATAAGTTCTTGAAAAATAGTCTCTGGAATGTCTATGTGAACTATCAGGTTGGTGCAAAAGTAATTGTGGTTTTTGCATTTTTTTAATGGCAAAAACTGCAATTACTTTTGCACCAGTCTAATACTTTTAGCTCACAACTGGCTATGAACCAGTTACATGAATTTGTCGTGCCTACTTCTCCAGACTCAGCTTACACCTCTCTCCTTTTCACTCTCTTTACCCGCCCCCCCAACAACTGGCTTATGTATGCTCCTCAGAAAAGTCCCATTTACTCATATATTAGAGATTTTGTATAGATGTTTCCTCTACCAGAAATCCCTTCCCCTAGCTCTTTGCATTTGGAGCCTTTCCATAATTCAGTTCTCAGCTCAAACATTACCTTGTTGAATAGATCTTCCCTCAGCACCCGACTTAAACCAGTATCCCCCATATAGTCTCTTACCTCTTTTTAAAACTCAGTGTCTTCTTGGTCACTGTAAGTACTGAGTTTATCTTGCCTTTTTTGTCTATTTATTTAATGTTCCTGTTTCCTAATAGGATGTGAAATTACTTTGAGTAGACTCTCCTGTTTATCATAAACAGTGCCTGGCACTTAGTACATCTTCAACAAACGTTTGTTGAATAAATGTGTGCATGAATGACAGCACCTCAGTGATCTCACTCTGATGTTGCCGAGAAGGGATGCTCATGCAATGACTTCAGAGTCTTGAGATCATACATATAATGTATATTATATATATATTGGTTTGTACTTAAACTTGGATCAAATGCACTTGATTTACTAACTGACTTTATTATGACTCAATGTAAAGTCTAAATTCTGCTAAGAATTCCTGGAATAGCCTGCCTGAAATCTTATTTTAATGAAAACCATGACTTCATACCTTAATTGCATTGGGTTTATGTGGGCTTTGGCTGATCTTTAGATTTCTGGGTTGTCTGTGAGGGAAAAGTTAGACTAAAACGAAGGATGCCATTGAAACAAGGTTCTGAAGAAGTTCGTGAGTCATGCTGACTTATTAGGAAGTCTCCTTTGTGTCTGCAATGAGACGTTGCATTTTTCTCTGAAGTCTGATGAAGAAAGAACAGTTTTAGGACAAGTAAATCCATCTTAAATATCAATCCGTGTCTCTTAGATTGTTGTGATTAGATTTGATTGTGAGTGACAGAAACGTCAAAAAAATGAGTTTAAAGAAAGTAGAAGTTAATTTTTCTCATCAAATTCTAAGTCAGCAGTCTAAGGCTGCTGAAGTGATGCTTTATGATATCAATAACCACAAATGCTTCTTCTGTCTTGAACCTTTCCTCCTTTGCTCTGAAAAACATGTCTCCATTCCTAAATTTACCTTATAATGCAATATGGCTGCTCCTGCTCCAGTCAGCATATCTGCATTCCATCCTGCAAGAAGGAGAAAATAAAAGGAGAAGGGTGTGCCTCCTCTATGGACACTACTTAGGTATTGCACAGACTACTTCTCCTTGCATTTCTTTGGCCAAATATTAGACCTGTAGTTACACTCAGCTGCAAGAAAGGCTGGGAAAGGCAGTTTTTATTCTATGAAGGATTGGGGAAAACTAATATTGAGTTTCCATTTCCATGCGAAAGAAGGAAAGAAAATGGAGAACCTAGCTGTATATGCCACAGGTCCCTTTCTTTCCTATCAACTTGCCAAGCAATTCCTGAACATCAGTGTAACTTCTAGGCAGACTTTCCACACTTTCATAACATTGGCAAATGAGTAAACCAGGAATCCAAATGAATTTACACAGTTTATTGTTCAGGGCACAATAGGCAACATGAGGTCCATATTTTCATTGATTCTCCTTGTCCCCCAAGTCCATGGGTAATGCAGAGTAGATCCAGGTGTATGCTGAGCATACAGTTTCACAGCCAAGGAACACTGAGCTTAGGACATTCTGATTCATACAGAAGCTGATGGCAACTTCCTCATCCTCCTCTTCAAAGATAGGCATTATCTTTACCTTGGCATGGAAACAAGTTTTCTTCTGGTGAGAGGTTGAAGACTTTATTATTATGGAATGTCTTCAGAGATGGAGATGTTCTCTGTAATTATTATACTGGACAATAAATAATTCTGCTGTCTGACCCAAAGGGACAGACTAGCCTCTAATGCTCTTTGCTGTGCATATATCCTTGAAAAGGTAGTCCAAGATATATAGAAATGCCATAGAAATTGTCTCTAACATCTCCATTTGTTAAATTCTTTACAAATGCATAAAACTGGTTAAATATTTAAGGAAGTAGCTTAATTTAAAAAAAAAACCCATCAGTCTAGTTGCTGCTAATAGTACATTGAATGTGATTGTTTTGTTTTTGCTGCTTTGGAGTTTGAGACTTTCTATACAGGACATGCATGCTAAGAGATGGAGAATCCCATTTTGCAGCATTAGATTCAATACTCACTGTAAGGATTTATAAGAACAAACCAGAAGACTAAAACAAATGGCTGGGAAGAGAATTTCACTAGAGATGTGTCAATGTGCTGTGACATTTCTCTTTTGCTTCCATTGGAAGGGGAGAAGTATTCCCTCCTCTTTACCTTATACCAAGTTAGGGTGGTTAAAAAGAACCTACCAGAGAGCTTGGCCTACGTCCTCTGGATTTTGCAGGTGTAGAAACTGCCTAACTCGTGTATAAAGGCAAGAAACTGGATAACTTCTTTGAATATTGAGCATAGACAGAAAAGAAGTCCAGAGAAGAAGCTGGACTCCACCATTGGCAGGACAAAGGTATGTTTTTCTTAAAATAGGCTGCACGGTGAGATAACCCCAAAAGACAATTGATTGTGGGATGGACCTCTTTAAGTCAGGTGGTATTATCTGGACTGTGAGACCATGTTGAAAAACCTCTGGGAAATCCCCAAGACAGGTACAAAATATCCCATTAGAGAAATAATCAGAATTTAGACATCTTAGGTGTAGACAGTTCACAGAAATAACAATAGAAATTACTTTTAAATATGTACAAACATTGCTCAAAATAAGGTACATTCTAATTTAAACTATAATATGTTTTTCCCCCTCTAGAATGGTGAGAATCAAAAATTTTGGTAAGTTCTCATGGATGGTCTATAGGCCACATGCCTGGGTACCTAACATTTGTTCTGGTCCCACAGCAATAAATTTATAAATGTTCTTGGTTCAAGCAACTTACATTAGCATGAAGAGCTTGAATATGATTAATGAGAAGTTTGTTCAGGCATAAGGGTACCCTGTGCTATATCCATTTCACCAAACTGTGCAATGTGTGATTAACGTGTTATGCTGAAACCAAGTTTGTTGTATACAGTCAAGTCCCTGTCCAGAACTGCTTTAGTCTCATGCTCATCAGGCTGTGTGTGAAGGAGGAGCTGAGCTTCCATAAGGTCTAGCATATCTCTCATTCACGCAGGCATTATCATCCACAAGTGTGTACCCCCTGCTGTAAACATATCCTGCTTGTTCATAGGTGATACTGATGATCTTTTTGCTGTGAATCTTGACTCAGCAGACCTCTTGATTTACTCAAGTGATGTCTGGTCTTTCTGTAAATCTGAACTTACTTGTTGACATTTGCCCAGTGGTAAAGTATACAATGTCACATTGGGTTGAAAACTATAGGGAAAGTGGACATTCTTATATTTTGTTGGTAAAATGTAAGTTGGTAGAACTCATATGGATTGATAGACCATACATAACCGTTTAACGGAGACAGTCCAATTTATATCTGGTTTTTTTTCTGTGTAATTATAACTAGTACCTCCTTTCACTATCAAAACATTCCAACATGGATAATAAATTATATGGTCATCCTCTAAAGGGTAATTTGTCAGTATGTACTAAAATGATACATTCTCATGTCCTTTGACTCATACATTCAACTTAATGTATTATTTCACATAGCTATCTTCTTACACATGTGTAAAATGATACATACAAAGTTCTTCATTAAAGCATTACTTGTAATAGTGAAAGATTAGAAACAACATAAATGTTAATACTTACCAACAGAGTACTGATGAAATAAATTACGATAATCCACATAAAAATACAATGGAGCCATTACAAAAGAATAAATAAGGTCTTCCTGTAGTAAACAGCGTGACCTCAAGATATATCATTAAGTTTAAAGTTTAAAAAGGCAAGGTTTAGGGCCGGGCGTGGTGACTCACGCCTGTAATCCCAGCAGTTTGGAAGGCTGAGGTGGGTGGATCATGAGTTCAGGAGATCGAGACTAACCTGGCCAACATGATGAAACACTGTCTCTACTAAAATACAAAAAATTAGCTGGGCATGGTGGTGCGCACCTGTAGACCCAGCTACTAAGGATGCTGAGGTGGGGGAATCACTTGAACTGGGGAGGTGGAGGTTGCAGTGAGCTGAGATCGTACCACTGTATTCCAGCCTGGCAACAGAGCGAGACTTCATCTCAAAAAAAAAAAAAAAAAGGCAAGATTTAGAATCATGTATAGTATGCTACTATTTGTGTAAGAAAAGGAGGGAAGGAATATATGCATATACACTAT
The DNA here is from genome assembly GCF_000001405.40 of Homo sapiens. Classification (NCBI taxonomy): domain Eukaryota; kingdom Metazoa; phylum Chordata; class Mammalia; order Primates; family Hominidae; genus Homo; species Homo sapiens. The sequence continues at coordinate 102,922,117 of NC_000012.12, read as the reverse complement.
CATAAATATTTGCTTAAAGATCTCTAGAAGAAACTGACAACATTGGTTATCTTTGGAGAAGAGAATCAGGTGCCTGATGAACAGGGGAATGTGAAATAATTTTCACTAGGTTTTATATTTTGATGTTTGAGCCATATGAGTGCTCACCTCCTCAAAAATAAATGAAAAAAGTTATATCTAAAAGGAAAAAATTATATAACTTGGAGCAAAAAAATAAAAATACAGCAAAAAAATTAAAATATAAGGGATAACTTTCAAATCAGAGAAAGAAAATTTGATCTATATATCTAGCGGAAAGTTAAAATAGGCTCTATGGTGAGAAAATCCCAAAAGACAATTGATTGTGGGATTGGCCTCTTTAAGTTAAGTGGTATTACCTGGACTGTGGGACCATGTTGAAAAGCCTCTAAGAAATCCCCAAGGCATGTACAGGTATATCTACAATGCAGGTAGATTAAAGATCTAGCTATGATAGATCTAGATGCTAGAGAGAAGAGCACCTCTTTGGAACTTTGGGATGGGGAAGGACTTCTTAAACAATACTCTATAGTACAAACCACAAAAATTTTTAAAAGGATGGACTTGTTATTTCAAAATTACTTGTTTTATTGTTTAATCAAGGAAGGACACCAGTTGACAATTAACTGACAGTGACACATTGGGAGGCAATGTGTTCAGTGACTGAGAAGGGCACAGAGCTAATATTTGGACACAGAGCTAACAGAAATTATTGCAACAAATCTACAAGACAGGAATCCTAGTAGAAAATGGGTAGAAAATATGATGATAAACTATTCATAGCATGGGAAATCTAAGAGGTATAAGTATATAAAGAGATGCTCAAACTCATGAGTTATGAGAGAAATTCAAATTAAAAACAACAAGACACCAGCTTATGCTGATCAGATTGGCAAAAATTCTGACCTTTGGAGAATACCACATATTAGGTATACCCACCAATAGGAACTCTTTTGCCTGCTGGTTGGTGTGTAGACTGGTCCAAGCCACTCTAAAGGGCAATCTGGCAGCACTTTGTGAAATTAAGAGTGCATGTTCCCTATGATTCATAATAGCACCACTCTTCTATCCCAGAAAATTTCTACCCCAGGCCTATAAGGGAAGAAAGATAAGGAAATTTATCACAGTATTGTTTGGGGTGGTGAAAAATTAGCAATGACTTAGATGTCCATAACTGGAAAATAAAGAAGTCAAGTGTGGCAAATACACACTGGGATATTCTGAACCATTTAGAAAAGCAAAGAACTAGATACATATTCAGCAGCATGGCTGGATCCTAAGAACACAGTTGAAAGAAAAAAGAAACTATGAAATCTATAGTACATCCATAGATTGTAGTAAATCTATAGTGCCACATCACATATCCATGAAAAATACATATACGCACAAACATTTCTATGTATTTTACAAGTTCAAGGCTAAACATCATATTAGAGAAGTTGCCTCTGGGGAAAGGCAGTGAGAGTGAGGAATTATGATAAAAGAGAATGAATAAAAAAACAAGAGAAGGGTCATGTAGGTTTTGTTTCTGTGCCATGAACTCATGGATTATGATTAACTCAACCTTCTGCACATGAAGATAAACAAGAAAGAACTGATAAACCTGCAATGGTTGGGTAATCTTCAACTTCCAAATCAGCAAAGGTCAGCTCTAAGTTTGCCAAGTACACAACTTCTCATCTTGTGACATGTTCCCCACCTCTGTGCAGTGTTAAAAAATACCTCAGTGGTCTACTGACTGACTGTGGATGCTTCTTCTAGATGTGCCTTTTTTTCCTCCATTTCCTTAGCACCCAGCACTGCTCTCATTATAGCAGCACATTGCATTCCAACCAAATTGAACAAAAAGGTGGCTTAAAAATCATCTGCAAGTTTATGGCACAAGCAATCTCTTATTTTTATCTTAGTGCATAAATAAATTTTTCCTTTTTGCCAGAATAATTTTTTTTAAAGAAGCGATTAGTTTTTCTTCTCTCAGATAGCAATGATGTGCTTTCCTCTCAACCTAGATTTAGGGCATTTTTATGTGAGATAGGATTAAAAATTCCATTTTTGTACAACCACTATGGAGAACAGTTTGGCAGTTCCCCAAAAAACTAAAAATAGAGCTACTATATGATCTAGTGATCCCACTGCTGGGTATATACCTATAAGAAAGGAAATCAGTATATCAAAGAGATGTCTGTTCTTTTATGTTTGTTGCAGCACTGTTCACAATAGCCAAGATCTGGAAGCAACCCAAGTCTCCATCAACATGGGTTTTAAAAAAATGTGGTACTTTAATACACAATGGAGTACTATTCAGCAATAAAAAAGAATGAGATCCTGTTATTTGCAATAACATGGACAGAACTGGAGGTCATTATGTCAAATGAAATAAGCCAGGCACAGAAAGCCAAACATCACATATTCTCACTCATATGTGGGGTCTAAAAATCAAAACAATCTGATTCATGGAGCTAGAGAGTAGAGAGCTAATTACCAGAGGTGGGGAAGGGTAGTAGGGGCCTGGAGGGGAGGTGGAGATGGTTAATAGGTACAAAAAAATATAGAAAGAATGAATAAGACCTAGTATTTGATAGTACAACAGGGCGAATATAGTCAAAATAATTTAATTATACATTTAAAAATACCTGAAAGAGTATAATTGGCTTGTTTGCAACACAAAAGATAAATGCTTGAGGGGATGGATGCCCCATTTTCAATGATGTGATTATTACACATTGCATGCCTGTATCAAAATATTGCACATACTCCATGAATGCATACATCTACTATGTTCCCACAAAAATTAAACATTAGAAAAAAGAGTTGCATTTTCAGCTGTTATGGGGAGAAGAAAGAAAAGCTATCATTTTGTTGTCCTAAAAATTATGTTGTCCTCATTTCAAACAGGAAAGCAAAAGTATTTGAGAGCCAGTGCAGTGCCTTGGTGTTGGGTGAAACATAGATTGAATTTGGGCCATTTGTTTAAACTTCCTAGGCCTCAGTTTCTTGCCTATTAAAAGGGAGTGCATAGTTCATGGGATTGTTAAGAGGAAGAAGTGAAACCATGCACGTGGAGAGCGTGGCACAGTGTCTAAGACAGAGTGTGCATGCAAATAAGTAGATAATATTCTTTGCTTTTCTTTATTGCATGCCTGTAATATTTTTGGAGTTGTCACATTCATTGCCCTCAAGTAGCATCAAGGGATGAAATTATGTTTGTAAGAAAATCCTGAGGCTGAGGAATACAACATGTTTTATGTCTACTACACTGAAAAATGCCGGAGTCAGATAAAGAATACAGATTCTCCTGAGGATGGAAATCAAGATCTTCGCCTTCAATATTTAACAACATTGAGCTTCCAACTTACTATGGGAAATATTCATCAGGCCCCTAAAGGTTCCTTTTGGACAGAAATTGCACTTGTTATATCTGTATTCTTAGCAGACAGTAGACAGCCTGGCACATCATAAAGGCTTAAGGAATCCTAAATATCCCTTAAAATTCTCATTTTAAAGACAAAAACAAAACAAAAAAAAAAAACAAAAAAAAACTGAGGCATGGGCTTGACCAAATCAGTGGTAGAACCAAGAGTTAAACCACTTGTTTTGAATCCTAAACCTGAGTTTTATTTTACTTATTTATTTATTTATTTGTTTATTTATTTTCAGATGCTTGGTCAAAGAACAGTGGGAGGAGAGGGATGGGCTTCCAGCAACCTTTATTATTGGCTTATTTTCTTACAGCCCATTACTTTCTCTTGGGAAAATATTAAGCAGGCACTCAAGGCTTGAGGCCCCTGAGTTTTCACATCCTTTCTGAACCTCTGAACCTGCTTTCCAGCATTCTTTTATACTTTGTTTTACCTCCTGGTCAGTAATGCCTCACCCTCAGTCTTCTCTAAAAGTGTGGTTAATGGCATCTTCCTGACTATTTGAAGACCACTGGCCAAATCCCACCAGCTCACTCATAGACCATCCCCCTACTTTACTTTCTTCAAAAGACTTAGCCCTACCTAAACTTATTTATATGTTTATTTTCTGCCCACCAGAATGGCAGCATAGCTGGGGAGGCAGAGTCTGTTTTGTTCATTGCTGTATTCCCAAAGACTAGAACACCACCAAGCACACGGTACAGGTCTCAGTAATTATTGTCAAATTTATGTGGATTTGCTTTTAAACAATATCTTCCATTTACTGAGTGTTTATGTGGAAGAACTGTACTAAATTTTAATGCATTTCTTTATTCCTATTCTTAAAACCTTCCAGCAAGGTGGCTCTACCACCCTCTTTTCCGAGCTTCAGGAGCAGTTGTGCGAATAGCTGGAGAACACCAGGCTGGATTTAAACCCAGATCGCTCTTACATTTGCTCTTTACCTGCTGTGCTCAGCGTTCACGTGCCCTCTAGCTGTAGTTTTCTGAAGTCAGCGCACAGCAAGGCAGTGTGCTTAGAGGTTAACAGAAGGGAAAACAACAACAACAAAAATCTAAATGAGAATCCTGACTGTTTCAGCTGGGGGTAAGGGGGGCGGATTATTCATATAATTGTTATACCAGACGGTCGCAGGCTTAGTCCAATTGCAGAGAACTCGCTTCCCAGGCTTCTGAGAGTCCCGGAAGTGCCTAAACCTGTCTAATCGACGGGGCTTGGGTGGCCCGTCGCTCCCTGGCTTCTTCCCTTTACCCAGGGCGGGCAGCGAAGTGGTGCCTCCTGCGTCCCCCACACCCTCCCTCAGCCCCTCCCCTCCGGCCCGTCCTGGGCAGGTGACCTGGAGCATCCGGCAGGCTGCCCTGGCCTCCTGCGTCAGGACAACGCCCACGAGGGGCGTTACTGTGCGGAGATGCACCACGCAAGAGACACCCTTTGTAACTCTCTTCTCCTCCCTAGTGCGAGGTTAAAACCTTCAGCCCCACGTGCTGTTTGCAAACCTGCCTGTACCTGAGGCCCTAAAAAGCCAGAGACCTCACTCCCGGGGAGCCAGCATGTCCACTGCGGTCCTGGAAAACCCAGGCTTGGGCAGGAAACTCTCTGACTTTGGACAGGTGAGCCACGGCAGCCTGAGCTGCTCAGTTAGGGGAATTTGGGCCTCCAGAGAAAGAGATCCGAAGACTGCTGGTGCTTCCTGGTTTCATAAGCTCAGTAAGAAGTCTGAATTCGTTGGAAGCTGATGAGAATATCCAGGAAGTCAACAGACAAATGTCCTCAACAATTGTTTCTAAGTAGGAGAACATCTGTCCTCGGTGGCTTTCACAGGAATGAATGACCATTGCTTTAGGGGGTTGGGGATCTGGCCTCCAGAACTGCCACCAATTAGCTGTGTGTCTTTGGACAAGTTACTGTCCCTCTCTGTTGTCTGTTTACTCTTCTGTACACTGAAGGGGCTGGTCCCTAATGATCTGGGATGGGATGTGGAATCCTTCTAGATTTCTTTTGTAATATTTATAAAGTGCTCTCAGCAAGGTATCAAAATGGCAAAATTGTGAGTAACTATCCTCCTTTCATTTTGGGAAGAAGATGAGGCATGAAGAGAATTCAGACAGAAACTTACTCAGACCAGGGGAGGCAGAAACTAAGCAGAGAGGAAAATGACCAAGAGTTAGCCCTGGGCATGGAATGTGAAAGAACCCTAAACGTGACTTGGAAATAATGCCCAAGGTATATTCCATTCTCCGGGATTTGTTGGCATTTTCTTGAGGTGAAGAATTGCAGAATACATTCTTTAATGTGACCTACATATTTACCCATGGGAGGAAGTCTGCTCCTGGACTCTTGAGATTCAGTCATAAAGCCCAGGCCAGGGAAATAATGTAAGTCTGCAGGCCCCTGTCATCAGTAGGATTAGGGAGAAGAGTTCTCAGTAGAAAACAGGGAGGCTGGAGAGAAAAGAATGGTTAATGTTAACGTTAATATAACTAGAAAGACTGCAGAACTTAGGACTGATTTTTATTTGAATCCTTAAAAAAAAAAATTTCTTATGAAAATAGTACATGGCTCTTAGGAGACAGAACTTATTGTACAGAGGAACAGCGTGAGAGTCAGAGTGATCCCAGAACAGGTCCTGGCTCCATCCTGCACATAGTTTTGGTGCTGCTGGCAATACGGTCCCCACAACTGTGGGAAGGGGTTAGGGGCAGGGATCTCATCAGGAAAGCATAGGGGTTTAAAGTTCTTTATAGAGCACTTAGAAGATTGAGAATCCACAAATTATATTAATAACAAACAAAGTAGTGTCGTGTTATATAGTAAATGTGAATTTGCAGACACATTTAGGGAAAAGTTATAATTAAAAAAATAGGCTGTATATATATCAATGGTTCCAAAATTTTCTATGGTTAAGAATCACCTGGGATGGTTTTGAAATGGCAGATTCTAAGACAACTTGATTCAACAGGTTTAGGTAAAGCCCAGGGAACTGCATTATAAGAAGGAATCACCTGTAATTTTGGAGTCAAGATCCAAGGAACACTCATTGAGAAACACTGATTTACAAAGTGCATGGAGAGAAATGGAGCAAGTGAAGGGGGATCAGCATGGTGAAATATAGGCTGTTAGGAGTGCTATTGACTAACTGTCTGGTGACTGGACCAGAGTAAATCTTTTACTTTGCAAGAAACAGGACTAAATTCCCATATTATGTCCATAGCAAAGGGAATTATGTAGAAAAATTGATAATTAGGAGCCTGAGTTCTTGACCAGCCTCCACTACCTATGTGGCCTCAGGTGAGTTATTTTCTCCCTTTGGCTCTAAGTTTTCCCCATCTGTAATGTAAGGGAGTTTAACTAGATGAGCACTAAGGACAAATCAATTTCTGTGAGTCAATTATTATGAAATACCATGTGGGCATCAAATGCCAAGTGGAAAGCATAGATAAAGAAGTGATTGTGCACCTGGGCTGAGGGGAACAAACATTTCCTAAGAGAATTGAGACCCAAAAGAGCCTTTAAGGAAGGTGAGATCTTGGAAAGGGAAATTTGGTGAATACTCTAATGAGGAGCTAAAAAGGCAAGAAAGAAAGCAGCTTGGCTGGAAAGGAGGTTCCTGTAGGTGGGCCTCCAGAGATTCGGTACCACAGAAACTGCCAAACATCAGCAAGAAGCCATGGGGATGGAGCGTTTGAGGGATTCTAAATAGAAGGACAAGAGTAAAAATGTCAGGCTGGATCGATGCAGGCCACTAAGAAATGGATTCAGGTGATGGCAGTGGGAAGAAAGGACCTGATGCCCAGAGGCATTTCTGGAGAAGATGAGATCAGACTTGTGATTGGCTGAACACACACTGTAGTGGGGTGGGGTTTAGGGGGTGACTCAACTTCAAGCCCAGGTACATTCAAGTCTGAATTGCCCTAGTCAAAAGTGGCATCTGTGGATGTGTATCAGAAATATCTTACTTTTCTTGGAAGCCAACAGGAGAAAAGAGTGCTACCAAGTGAACTAGAGAC